>NC_000014.9:59914743-60217773 GCF_000001405.40 Homo sapiens
ATAGCTTGCTTGATTTAACAGGTTCACAACTGGAGACAAATTTGTCTCAGAATGAAATATACCTTGAGTCTCACCCATCTCTGATTTAGATATTTAAATGAGTCTCTGGACTTTAGATTTAAATTGATGCTGGAGTGAGTTAAGACTTTGGGGGTTACGGGGATGGAATGAATGTATTTTGCATGTGAGAAGGACATAAATTTTGGAGGGCCAGGGGTGGAATGCTATGGGCTGAATATTTGTGTCTCCCCCAAATTCATATGTTGCAATACTAACCCCCAAGGTGATTAGGAGGTGGGGTGTTTGGGGAGGTGATTAGATCATGAGGGTAGAACCCTCCACAGGGATTAGTGCCCTCATAAAAGAGGCCCAAAGAAGCACATTTACCCTTTCTCCTAGGTGAGAACACAGTAAGAAGTCAGCAGTCTGCAACTCAGGAGAGGGCCCTCACAAGAATCTGTGACCATGCTGGCACTCTGATTTTGGACTTCCCAGCCTCCAGAAGTGTTAGAAAATGTCTGTTGTTTATAAGCTACCCAGTCCATGATATTTTGTTATAGCAACTCAAATGGAATAAAACATACTCCTTCTCAACTCCCAAATGCTCCTTTAAGATGATTATTGTTTTGTTTGTTTGTTTTTTAGAAACAGGGTATTGCTTTGTTGCTCAGGCTGAAGTGCAGTGGCATAATCATAGCTCACTGTAAACTCAAACTCCTGGGCTCAAGTGATCCACCCGCCTCAGCCTTCCTGAGTAGCTGGGACTACAGGCATGTGCAAACATACCTGGCTAATTTTTGTATTTCATTTTGTTAGAGGTAGGATATCACTATGTTGCCCAGGCTTAAAATGATCATTATTAATTGTATAATGCTCCCAGTCCCTTCCCAAGATGCCAATATGTTGTTCAACTGTTTGATTCCCTCACAGGATAGTGCATTTTATTACTTACACCAAACTTCATCTATCCCAATTGTTGCCTGTCTTAAAAATGTATTCTTCCTCTATAAGTTACACTTTATTTCAAATTATGGCCTTCAATTTTTTTTATTTGAAGAAGCACTTGTTCAAACCTTTCTATATTTGTAATGACCTGTTTGCTGCTCATCATCCACAGGTCAATTGTCAGACAGAATATACTAACCTGGATGCATAGTTCTTTTGCTACATTTCCTAATGACAATTTACTAACCCATCTATCTCATCATAACAATTCGCTAATTCCTTCCCCTAAAACAAAGCACTGCACAGAAAACAGAAAATATAGCCTCCACATATATTGCTCCTGTGAATCAAAAGGCAAACTCTTTGCTTTGGTCTGTACAGGGAAGATCTCTGGGACAGCTTCCAATGTGTCAGGGAGCAGAGCAAAGCCTTCAGTGACTGACAATGGACACTAGGGAAACACAATACGAGTTAGATGCAGAACTCCTCCAACAGGTGACTTTGGCTCAAGGGCTCCCCACCAACCTGGCAGAACATTTCTTTGAACTGTACCATAGTCTGAGGTTCTCTCTATCCAATCCTTCCTTCCTCCTCTCCTTCCTCAGGTATCAGGTCTGCACTGTGGTCTGACGACTCTTCCTACCTTCTCCTGCTCCTCTGCCCATTATATCTTTTGCCAGTCAAATCCTATCTACTTCTCAGGAGACCCTAACTAATGATTTGACAACCTGTCAACATACACACAATCCTTGCACTGCTAAAAAAACAAACAACAACAACAAAACAAAAACAAAAACACCCTGAAGATCACTTTCTAGAGCCATCTAGAGGTAATCAGTCCTGTGGCATTCTGCTTCCATTTATTCCCTCCATTTAGCTCTACCCTTCACCTCCAGCAACAGAGACAGGGACCTAGAGTACACAATGGAAAATGTGCTATATTCCTACTGGCACCCCAGCTAGCTCTCATAGCTGACAATAGGAATCTATGAACTAGATGAACATATAAAAATGTGGATAGATCTTAAAATAGCATGGAATAAAAAAGGATCAGAATAAAATTTATAGCGTGATACCACTTATGAAAATTAAAAATAGACACACAAATAACACTGCCTGTTTTTCAAAGATAAATACATAACTAAAAGTGTATAAGAAACATTAAATATGGTTGGGATAAGGGTGGGGGCTGGATAAAAAAAACTGGAGAAAAAATAAGAGAAGGCTTTTGTATAGACCAATGATGATGATGTGCTTCAACCTGAGAAATATAATCAACGTTATAAGCCTAAGGTCTAAAGGACAGAAAATAAAAGAGGAAGAGAGGAAAGACTTCTCCGACACAAAGAACTGGTGAGCTCTCCAAGGAATTAAGACTACTACCCCCACTTAAATTCACTATCCTCAATTTGTTGCCTTAGAGCTAAGTACAAATATATCTGAAACAGAGGCAATGTCTTCTTAAAATTCCATTCTGGCTGCCTTTTAAGAAAAGCTTATCCATTAATTATATATCAACAAATCATGAACAAAGGCTATTTAGCATTTTTAGGTAGACCCATTAGAAATAGCGTTCTGTTGGTCTAATTAAAACTTTACTTCAGAATAATCCCTAACTTTTAAATGGATCTTAATACACATGTGTTGCTAGGCATCAATAACAAGAGGGCCTCTGTTGATGACTTTATAAGCACCACATAATTATATCTTCCAGTGACAAAGTAAACCCTAAGTAGTGATGCATTTGTGATTTTTATGATATATCAAATTTAAATGTGAAACAGTAAATTTTTACAGATAAAATCATTAGCTGGAAAGGACTCATTTACATAAGGATCAAATGTCTACACAAATATAAAAATCGAATTAGCATTTAAAACCTCCAGACTTGGTTCTCTGGAAGTAAAGGCACTATTAAAAGGGAGAATTGAAATTAGATGTCTCCACAGTTCTCTACCAATAAGGATAGGGCTGCTTTGAAAAATAAATTTAACAATCTATTTAAAAGGTTCTAATTAACAAATAACTATGTAATTCAAGATTTTCTTATTTGGGTCTGCAAAGTCACCTCTATTTTGTTAAAATAAGTGATTCTTTAATTCAGGATATGATATAGCAAATTTGCTATAATTAGTGGTAATATCTCTTTCCAGTTGTTTTCAGATTCAAGATGCCTTTACCCATAAATAAATAGATTTAAATTAATATGGCTTGGCCTTTGTCTAGTATGATCAGAGGTGAATAAAGTGAAGTCTTATTTCAATTAGATGATTACTTAATTTGCTTGACTCTTCAGTAGTTTCAATTTCCAGCGTTTTTTGTTCAGACATAAAACCTTATAATAAAGCTACTTTAAAGTGAGAAAAGGAGATTAACAAAAATGATCACTCTTTTTGCATTGCTTCTATGGCTTTTAACTGTAAGCATCTTTTGCTTCAAACAACATTTCGAATATGTGAACAGAAGGTGATTCTCTTAAGACTTACCCTGTGGACAAAGGCTTTATTTTGGCAAGTCACCAATAGTTCTTAAGTCTACAGCTATGCAAGAACTCAGACTCAGTTGCTGACTGGCCAGATCCTTGAGCTTTACCTAGAATAATAACAATCTTAAAATTATTTGTTTATATCATGTAAAGAAAACTGTTAGCTCTCTCCTAGTCTTTCACTGGTCAGGAAAATCCCAATAGATTCCTAAAAATATACTTTGATAATGTTTATACTTTCATCCCAGAGCTGGACCCCTCAAATTAAGAAACTTAGTGTAGATAATTCGCTGAACTGGTTTCTGTTCAAATTTCTATGTCTAGAAGTGTAGAAATCTCAACTATTATGTTCTAATTCATCTTTATACTCTATGAAGAAAACTTCCCCAAAGACAGGTCACCTTGTTCAACTACATTTCAGAGAAGATAATAGTAAAAGTAAAAACTATGAATCTGACTTTTCTGGCATTAGTTTGAAACCCCTAAGCCACAAATAACTTTAATTAGCTTATTTCGAATTATCTATTAATGACAGATAGAAACAATTTTCTGTGAAATAAGAATGTAGAGGGAAAACCAGTTAATTTTTGTTTATGTATCTTTACAAACGGTCTATATTACAGATAAAGTTAATTGAATAAAGGCAAATATGCTGAAATTGTTGACAATTGTTAAATGAGAATATTCCTAAAATCTGAACTTTTTCTTGGGAAAGCAGTTCAAAACTATAGTCTATTTAATGAGGTGGCCATCTGGTGACAGAAAGAAGCACTACAGACAATATTTTGCATTAACATCACAACTATTCTACACAAACCGACTGAACCACATAAAAGAGAGCACAGTCCAAAAGAAACATAATTCAAGTCATACATGCAATTTAAAATTTATCTAACAGCCGCATTTTCAAAATAGAAACAATAATTTTAACAATATTTTTTATTTAACCCAATGTATCAAAAATATTATTTCAACATTTAATCAATATGAAGATTAATAACGAAAGAGTTTATTTTTTTCATACTAAGCCTTCAAAATACAATGCGTACCTTACAGCACATGTCAATTTGGACAAGCCACATTTCAAGCGATCATGGGCCCTGCGAGTCTGTGGGTAGCGGCTCACCCTGCTGGACTGCGCAGATCCAGAGAACGACACGAGACCTGCGGTTGCTTTGGTTTGCCTTTTACTAAGTTCATTTCTCAGCCTCTCTGCCCACTCTGAAAAGTCTCCCCTTTCCCCCCTTTTAATTCTACTCTATTTTGTAAATTACTGTTGTCTCCTGAAAATTTTGGAATGCTTAAAAGGCACTCAAAAGCCTGTCCGAGATCGACTAGAAGACCCTCGGAAGGTCCCTCTCTTCTCTGGACCTCACTGGGCGTTCGTTTGCCCGCGCCGTCCTTCCATTCGGCTTGCCGGGCGCGCAGCGGCTTGCGGCTGTGGTCAGCCACCTTCCCGGGAGGCGGTGGTCGCTGGCCGCGGGAAGGATGCCGCGCTGGGGGTCGGGGTTCGTCCCGGCTGTCACGCCACCTTGTGACATCACAGGGCCATGCCCTCGGGGCTCAAGGCCAGAGAGGCTCCGCGCTTCCAGGACCCGAGAGCTAAAGATAATGAATGGGAGAGAGCGAGACTGGAGGAGGTAACGAATAAGTCCCCACCACCTTGCCCATAACGCGTTGCTTTCAGTCACGTTCCGCGAACTGGCGAAGGTAAGTGAAAAGATAAGCGCAGGTACAGAAAAACCTGCCAGCGAGAAGCTCCCGCCGTTTCCCAGGAGCCCCAGGTGGGGTCTTCCGGTTGGACCCCTGCTTCCGCTGATTGGTTGGAGGTCGCCACCACGTGATGCAAACCCGGGTCGGCCTCCGCTTCCCCCCCACCCTTTTATCCCCCTCCCCGCCCCTTTTCTCCTCCTCCCCACCCGGAGGTCGCCGGAGGCGGAGATCAGGTTACCTAGGCAACCGCCACAGGCAGTCTGTACACACCAGGCCTGGGGCGGGAGAGGGTTTCCTACCTTCTGCTGCAAGACAGGGATTGGGAAATCGGAGTGGACTCGGACTTGAATCGGATTGCCCCGGAATCCACCCTCTCTCTGTGATAAGGTCAGAATCCGTCACCTGGTGGCCTTCGGGCGTACATCACCGGGAGTCTTTGATCCCCTCTTTTTCCTTCCAAGCCATACCAAGGGGAAGACGCCAGTGAAGCAAAGTTGAGGTCAAGGGAACTCCGTAATGGTGCAATGGTGATGATAATGATGAAAGACAGTGAGGTGGCTTTACTGAGGCAGTCAGGGTACCAGAACAAAGTTCAAGAGAAGGAAAGGGAGGGTGGCCTACAGCCAACTATGCAGATTTTACTGCACCAATTAAGATTCTGGGCTGGAAAAACCAAGTGCTCCCTAACCAAACCTGACACTGCTCATCTAGAGAGTGTAGGGGGTTTATTTGGACCATCAGTGGTAACTGATGGATTCTGATCCTTTTATACCCAAAGGAGGAAATAATTTGACCCATACAGGACTTCTACTGGGCAGAGAAAAAAAAAGTTTTCTCAGAATGACATCCTAACCAACTCTCACGGCAGACAGAAACCATGGTCCTTTTTACTCTATCATTATACTCTGGTCATGGAGAACGATTATGTCTTTAAATTATACCATATGCCTGTGGCATGACAATTAACCCATTAAACAATTTTTTTAACAACTAGCATGTGCCAGACAGTGAACCTGTGATAGGTTCACAGTTTCTGCCTTCAATGAACATGTAACCTAGTAGGGAAGAAAGGCCCGTAAACATTGTTTTACAGTGTGACAAGTGCTATACAAAGAGTATGTGCAAGCCCTAACCAGAATCACAAGAAAGAGAATGCTTATAATACTACCAGAGAGAATGAAAGTCTTCAAAGAGAAGATCTTTGATTTAAATCTTTAGGGAAGTATGGAGTATGCCATACAGCCAAGGGAAAAGGACATTTTAGGGAGAGGAAACAGCCCATGCCAAAGTACAGAAACATCCATTCAGTTCCAGAGAACTATAGTTGTGGCCTGAACCTAGGGTCCTCTGTGGAGGTTGTGGCTGATGAGCATGTGAGGTAGGCAGGAGTCAGAGCATGGAAACCATTAATACCTTCCAAAGGGGTAAAGCATGAGCAGATTTACCTTTCAGGAGGCTGTCACAGTAGTGTAGAGGATGAACTTGAGGGAAGACAGACTACAGGGAGGACATCAAGTTAAGGGGAGGTGATGAGGGCCTGAACCAAGGCAGAGGCAATTGGAATGAGGAGGAGGAAAAAAAATGTGGTAAGACCTTTAAGAGGTATATGCAGAAGGATTTAATGAGTGAATGAAAATAGGGGGATAGAGTCAAAGATTGGTTGAGGATAATAGCTCAACCAATAGAAGAATGGTGGTGTTACTTTTCAAGAGAAGGCATACATTAGGAGAAGGAGGCTGGTTGGAAAATATAATGAGTTCAATTTTGAACACACTGAATTTGAGATGCCTGTGGCACATTCAGATGGAGCTTTTTCATGTGGGCAGTTGGATTTTTTTTTTTTTTTTTTTTTGCACAGAAAAGAAGATAAGGATTTTTCACCATGAAGAAAACAATTGGTTTGAAAAGCACAAAGTAGGCCAGGCACGGTGGCTCATGCCTGTAATCCCAGCACTTTGGGAAGCCGAGGCGGGTGGATCACAAGGTCAGGAGTTCGAGATTAGCCTGGCCAATATGGTGAAACCCTGTCTCTACTAAAAATACAAAAATTAGCCGGGTGTGATGGCACGCGCCTGTAGTGCCAGCTACTTGGGAGGCTGAGGCAGAAGAATTACTTGAACCTGGGAGGCAGAGGTTGGAGTGAGCCCAGATTGTGCCACTGCAGTCAAGCCTGGGCAGCAAAGTGAGATTCTGTCTCAAAAAAAAAATAAATAAATAAATAAGAAAGAAAAAAGAAAAGAAGAAAAGCACAAAGTAAGTTTGAAATAACAAGTAGAGAGAAGCCAAGGAGAAAAGTTGAACCAAAGAAGAAAACGTGAAGAAGAGAGTCGTCAGCATTGTCAAATGCCATGTCAAGGTCAAGTTGAGAATCAAAACATGTCCGCTGTCTTTGGCCATTAGAAGGTTATTTTTGACCTTGTAGTGGCTTGAGGTGTTCTCAGTCCAGATGGCAGTGAATCCAGGACTGAAAGCAGGTAGTGATGTGTTGCTAATGATTATCTAAAAGGTGTACCATAAAGGTATCTAAAAACAGCTATTCATAGAAGAATATAGGAGAGACTTTTTAAGATAGGAAAGACTTAATATTTATATACAGAAATAAAGGAGACCGTTGACAAGGAAATTTGGCAATAAATGAAAGAGGAAAATTTGACAGCAGTATTCTGAAAGAGACAGATAAGGATAGGATCAATACATAGGAAAAGGGATTTGTTTTGGACAAAAGGAAGAACACCTACTAAGACAGGAGTCAGAAGGGAAAGAAAAATACGTCTTTGAGAGGAGGGAAATAAGAAACATACATTTGATGGCACCACTGTTCTCTGTGAAAATGGGGTCAAGATCATCTACTGAGAGAGAGACCTTGAAAAGAGTGGTGAAAGTTTAGAATAGTAATGTCATGAATCTCGAGTCTCTAGTCCCACTCTCCTAGGAGAGGAAATTGAGGAAAATATAAAACATTTGTTGCTGAAGATCTAACTGAAGTTAGAGGCAATGCATTTGTAGTGACTTCAGCTCCATGCTGGTTAGGTGAAATTTTCCAGTAGCAATCCAAAGTGGAAAGATTAATCCTATGCAGTTTGAGGTGTAAAAGCTATAGAAGTTCCTGGTGGCTTCTGGTTTTGTGGGGGAACTAGAGATGACCTTTAGCCTCTTAAATGGGCCAGCCCTGAAAGAGCTTCGAAGAGCAGGAGAGTAGTTACAAGCTGGCCAACAGGACATTCACCTCTTGATGAATTCAGTAACTTCATCTGGAACCCTTGAGTCCATTTGTGACTGGAGAAAACATACAAGACTTGTAAGTACCAGGAAGGCCTAGCATCCTTGTGATTCAGAAATAGTTATACAACTTATAGAATTTGGGGTTTTTAAATTAAATTGTATTTTTCTAATTAGCTGTTGAATTAGAATAAGATTTTCTGCTAAATAAGTGCATTGATGAAGAGAAAATAAGTTGAAGTGAGAGGTAAGATTTGTATCCCAAATAGGCATATTTTTCTTCCAAGGAAAAGTAGTCTCAAGTAAATGGAGAGCTATCCCTTGTTCTTGAGGATGACTCAAAACTGTAATATGGAAGTTCTCCCTAAATTAATCTTTACAATGCAACCTCAACCAAAATCCCAACTGCATTTTTTAAAACTAAATACAAAATAATCCTAAATTTTATTTGGAAAAATAAATATGGAAGAATATCCAGGAAACTGCCAAAAAAGAACATGAGGTGGGAATTTAAAATATAAATCACAGTAATTAAAACAGATACAGTCAGGCGAGGTGGCTCACGCCTGTAGGCTCACGCCTCCCAGCACTCTGGGAAGCTGAGGTGGGTGGATCACGAGGTCTGGAGATCAAGACCATCCTGGCTAACACGGTGAAACCCCGTCTCTACTAAAAATACAAAAAAATTAGCCGGGCGTGGTGGCAGGCGCCTATAGTTCCAGCGACTCCGAAGGCTGAGGCAGGAGTATGGCGTGAACCCGGGAGGTGGAGCTTGCAGTGAGCTGAGATCGCGCCACTGCACTGTACTCCAGCCTGGGAGACAGAGCAAGACTCCGTCTTAAAACAACAATAACAACAACAAAAAACAGATACTCGTGCAGGAATAGTCAGAGCTAATGAAAAACACAGACTAGAAAGTCCAAAATTAGGCCCCAGTGTATGTGATCATTTAGAATATAACAAAGAGAATGATTTAATTCCTTCTACAATAGTTATCTTGGACAAAGGCAAGATAACTTAGAACACCATTTGGTGAATTTGGAGCTTTGAAGGGAAGCGTTTGTCCTTTGTGTGGTGGTGGGCAGCTAGGCTATCCTTTGGTAATCACAGACTTTAATCCAGTATATAAGGGTTTCTCTTTCCACGAGTAGAGGTGCTGCAAAACACTTTTTAAGCTTGGTGCACTATTCAAATAAACCTGGAGAGGTAAGACTATGGCCTGCATCTATGTATGGGCCTTTGATGGAGCTTCCAAATTCTTTCAGGTTGCTTTCTTGACTGGCTTCTCTTGCAGCCTATGCTGTAATATCCTGAGGTTGTCCAAGAATGGAGTAAAGATGAAATTGCCAATGGGAAGCAGGGAAGGAATGCGCGGCATTTCCTTCAATATAGACCCATCATCTAACCACTGTCTCCACTGCCTCTACCACCACCCTACTCCAATCACCATCCTCTCCCACTTACATTATTACAACTGCCCATTAACTAGTCTCCCTGCTTTTGCTCCAAACCCTACAATCTATTTTAAATACAGCAACCAGAGTGATCTTTTTCAATACTTATGACAGTTCTTGTTACTCTTCAACTCAAATCCTCATATAGCTTTTCATCTTACCATAATAAAATACAAAATCCTCACAGAGTTCTACAAGATAGCACATGATTTGGCCCTGAAATACCTCTCTGACCTCACATCCTACCATTATTTATTTCTCTCAGTGTACTCCAGGCACATAATTTTCCTTGCTATTCTGCAAACATACCAAGTATACTCTCACTGCCCCCCATCCCAGCTTTTTTTTTTTTTTCCATTTGCTGTTTCCTTTGCCTGTATGCATTTTCTCCAGATTCCCGCATGGCTCACACTCACACTCCCTTATGTCCTTCATTTCTTTGCCCAGATTCCACCTTATCATCTGATAAGGTCCTGATCTTCTTTTTCCTCCCACCGCTGTCATTCTCTGTCTGGGGTTCTGTCTTATGCCTTCAATATGAATATTAACAAAGAGTCAATGAATGAACAAAGAGTCCAATGTATTAGGATAATTTGCTGGCTGTATTTTTCTTTGTGGTGCTAGCTTGGGTCCCATCCCTCCTTCTTGACTCAGTGTCTTCGTCCATTTTGTGCTGCTATAATAAAATACCTGAAAATGGGCAATTTAAAAACAACAGAAATGTATTTCTCACAGGTCTAGAGGCTAGGAAGTCTAAGATCAAGGCATCAGCATCTGGTGTCTGCTTCCACGATGATGCCTTGAAGTCTGCCTCCTCTGGAGAGAAGGAACAGTATGTACTCACATGGCCAAGTCAGAAGGGCAAAAAAGGGATGAACTTTCTCCATCAAGCCCTTTAAATGCACAGCTAATGGGCAGCTAATGCCATTTGGAAGGGGAGGAGCCCTCATAACCAAATTACCTCTTAAAGGCCCACCTCTTAATACTATCATATTGGCAACACCTGAAGTTTGAAGGGGACACATTCAAACCGTAGCATTCAGCATGGTAGGGCAATGTCCTCAATTTACAAAGCATGAGTACAAATACAGACTGTGTGCAATTTTCTGGTGCATTTCTCAAACTCCTTTGATTTGGTCCCTTATATATAATACACAGCTACCCCTTCCCAACCACTGCTTCTCTCAATTTGAAGATTTTTTAGAATTGTTTGGTGAAACTTCTTTCCCTGGTACCTTGAATTTTGGTCTGTAATATGGTTTGGCTGTGCCCCCACCCAAAATTTCATCTTGAATTGTAATAATCCCCACATTTCAAGGGCGAGACTAGGTGGACATAATTGAATCATGGGGGCAGTTTCCCCCATGTGTTCTTGTGATAGTGAATTCTCACAAGATCTGATGATTCTACAAGGGGCTTCCCCCTTCACTCAGCTCTCATTCTGTCTCTTGCTGCCATGTGAAGAAGGTTGGTTTGCTTCCCCTTCTGCTGTAATTATAAGTTTCCTGAGGCCTTCCCAGCCATATGAAACTGTGAGTCAATTAAACCTCTTTCCTTTATAAATTATCCAGTCTCGGGCATGTGTTTATTAGCAATGTGAGAACAGACTCTGGTTTGTGTTAATGGGCTTTTTTCTCAATCTGATGTTGTCTGTGTCATATTTAAAGACTTCTCTCAATATTTCTGGCAATCATTGCTCTTTTTGTAGCACTGCTATATTCTTTTCTTGTTTTCATATTTCTGTAGTCATTCTAGTGAGATTTGGGGAGGGAAGATAGGTAAATACATGGACTCAAATCATCATCTTTTTTCTTAACATTTTAATTTATGTATATGCCAGCACATGTACATAATTTAGCATAAATGAATAAAAATGAGCATATAAATGCCTTTAAAATAAAAATTTAAGTAGAATTTCATTGAAGTATAGCATACATCCAGAAATCACACACATCATAGGTATCTAATTTTATTTTCAAATTGAACATAACCAGCACCTAGATCAAATAATACATTGTTATGAACACTCTATAAGCCCCTCTTTTTGCCTCCTCTTAGTTGCTCTTCCCTGAAAGGTAACCAATATCCTAACTTCTAACACTACAGTTTGTTTTAAAATCTTACATGAATTGAGTCATACTCATTATGAGTATTACTCATTGTGTGTCTCTTCTTTTGTTCAACATTTGTTTACGTGAAACTCACTTATGTTGCAAATAACAGTAGTTGTTTCTTTCTCATTCCACTTTTAGGTAGAAACCCCAAAGAAATTTGTAGCTATGACCTGTATGACAAAATGTTCAGAGAAGCACTATTTAACCCCCAACTGGAAACAGTCAAAATGTGTACCCATAGTAGAAATAATAAATAAATGTCTATACATTCATACTAGGCAATTCTAAACATGCTTTTTTAAAAGTATCATTTTTTCTTTTCCATTTTTGCCTAGATCTCTCCCATCCAGCTTTACATTTGTATTCTGGCCACAAAGGCTTTCACCTGCATCTAAGGAAACTCATATTAACAACTTAGTATATATCTTTCCATATTTTCTCCTGACAATAATTATACATATACATGCATTTACATATATACACATGTATACACACATGCCTATGGGGGAGTTGTTATTGTAAAGAAAGGGATTATACTGTATACCATTTTCTAAATCTCGCTTTGTCAGTTCATTATATTAAAGGCAGGATTCTTATATTTTTTAGATAGTATGTATCTGGAATAATATACAGAAAATATTACAAATTATGAAAGTTGGATTAAGTTTCATCCAACTGAAGTATTAGTTGGTTCATATTCTCTAGAATGAAGGAGAAGTTGGAGTATTTATTTTAATAAACACTTATTACTATGCCAAAAATGTTGCTAAGCCCTAAGGATTCTTCTCTTTGCAGTCTAGGTATACTTAGAGAACTGTGTTCACGTTTAGACACCGCAGTGTAATACAAAGGACAACTAGAGCCTGTTCAAAGGAGAGAAACATGAGTATATAGTGAGAGAACTAACAACTTGAACTGGGAGTAAGATAAGAGTGTAGATGAGAGATGACCATTTTCTTCAAGTATTGAAGGCTCATCGTGTGGAAAAAAAGTTATACCGAGGAGGTATACTGACAACAAAAGGGAAGGAATTATGGAGAGAGAGATTTAAAATTAAAATAAAAAATAACCTCCTAACAGAAAACTCCCTCAGAGTTTATACAGATACTTGGTAATATACTATGTGAAGATTTCAAACTACAGTTGGGTGGTTCAACCTCAGTAGCTTTAAGGTCTATTTCAACTTGGAATGACAATGACTTTAATATTTATTTCATTTTTTCATTTTCCTTAAAAGTTATAATATTATGATCACTGTTTTTAATGGAAGATGATTGAAAGTGAAAACCTAAACCAAGAAGAAATAATTAAAGAACTGGTGAGTCAAAGTCAAATTTCTTTTAAATAACATTTGCAGTAATATAAAATGGAAAGTTTTTATGCTCCTTTCTAGAGCTGGAAGGGTTACTTAGTCATTTCCTCTACCTAGTGACTTTGGGAAGCAGAGAATAATCATATATGTGATATAACTTTCTCTCTTGTGAGATTATAAAAATGGCATCAGTGCAGTTGACAATTTATAATTTCTAATGGTAAAAGTCATCTTTTAATTATTTAAAATAGGTAATGACCAAATTTCTTTCCTTTAAAACAGTGTTTGTGCAATGGCTTATCTTATGAGATGGTTGGACAAGAAGGATCAGATACATCAAAGTTGGAGATGTTTTTCTTAGGGTATCCTCGTATAGTTGGATTATCATTATTTCCTAATTTAACGAGTCTTACCATTGTTGCTCAAGATATAAAAGAAATTTCAGGGTTAGAGCCTTGTTTACAACTTAAAGAACTTTGGATTGCTGAGTGCTGCATAGAGGTAAGTGTAAACATAAAACCTCACATGGAGTATTTTATTCTGAATTATTTGGCTTTAGAAAAATAATTCATTGAAATATATGCATAAGGCATGGGTTAAGACAGATAAATGAACAAAGGCTAGAAATTGATTTGTACAAAGGAAAAAATAAAAATAAGGAATTAGAACATAAACATATTCTACTTTTTAGTAATCAAAGCAAATCAAATCAAAACAGCATGTTACTGTTACAAAACAGACACATAGACCAATGGAACAGAATAAAGAACCCAGAAATAAGGCCACACACCTACAACTATCTGATCTTCGACAAAGATGACAAAAACGAGCAATGGGGAAAGGACCATCTATTCAATATATGGTGCTGGGATAACTGGATAGCCATATACAGAAGATTGAAACTGTACCTCTTCCTTATACCATATACAAAATTAAACTCAAGATGAATTAAGGACTTAAATGTAAAACCCAATATAAAAACCCTGGAACACCACCTAGGCAATATCATTCTGGACATAAGAACAGGCAAAGATTTCATGACGAAGACACCAAAAGCAATTGCAACAAAAGCAAAAATGGACAAATGGGATCTAATTAAACTAAAGAGCTTCTGCAGAGCAAAAGAAACTATCAACAGGGTAAACAGACAATCTACAGAATGGGAGAAAATTTTTGCAAACTATGCTCTGACAAAGGTCTAATACCCAGCATCTATAAGGAACCTAAACAAATTTACAAGAAAAAAACAAACAACCCCATTAAAAAGTGGGCAAAGGACATGAACAGACACTTTGCAAAAGAAGACATACATGTGGCTAACAAGCATAAGAAAAAAAGTTTAAAATAACTGATCATTAGAGAAATGCAAATCAAAATCACACTGAGATACTATCTCACACTAAGACAGAATGGCTATTATTAAAAAGTCAAAAAAAAAATAACAGATGCTGGCAAAGTTGTGGAGAAAAAGGAATGTTTATACACTGTTGGTGGAAGTGTGAATTAGTTCAACATTGTGGAGAACAGTGTGATGATTCCTCAAAGACCTAAAAACAGAAATACCATTCAACCCAGCAATTCCATTACTGGGTATATACCCAAAGTAATATAAACCATTCTATCATAAACACACATGCACGTGTATGTTCATTACAGCAGTATTCACTAGCAAAGACATGGAATCAACCTAAATGCCCATCAGTAGTAGACTGGATAAAGAAACTGTGGTACATATACACCATGGAATACCATGCAGCCATAAAAAAGAACAAGATAATGTCCTTTGCAGGAACATGGATGGAGCTGGAGGCCATTGTCCTTAGCAAACTAACCCAGGAACAGAAAAGCAAATACCACCTGTTCTCATTTAGAAGTGGGAGCTAAATGATGATAACACATGGACACATAGAGGGGAACGACAGACTCTGGGGCCTACTGAAGGTGGAGGGTGGGAGAAGGATCAGGAAAAATAACTAATGGGTACTATGCTTAATACGTGGGTGATAAAGTAATCTGTACAACAAACCCCCATGACAGAAATTTACCTAAATAACAAACCTGCACATGCACCCCTGAACTTAAAATATAAGTTCAATAAATAAATAAATTGATTTGTGCAAAGGAAAAACAGAAATAAGGGATTAAAACATAAACATATTCTACTTTTTAGTAATCAAATCATAACCAGTACTACGTAGTAATAAAATTGGTCCACTTAGACACTATTGGCTGTGTTGAAATTATAACATCTATTTTGAAAAGAAATATTGCAAAACATCAAGAGCCATCACAGAAATGCACAGGGCATACGTTTTGTCTTAGAAGTCCCTACACTAAGATTTTATCCTAGAAAAGTTAACTCAATAGCAGAAAACAACCATATGCACGAAGCTACTTGTTGCAGCATTATTTATAACTAAAAATTTGAAACATAAATATGCCATACATCAGGTAATTTTTCAGAAAATTATTATAAACTTGAAATATTTCATAATTATTAAATATAATTTGAAGGATTATGAAAACATTTTAGTCTTAATTTAAAGAGTCCCACAAAATTGTGTGTGCATTAGGATTATAAAGTGCTTACATTGTTATAATCATAACCATATGATCATAATCATTTCTATATGATTATAATCATAACCATATAGAAATATGATATGTGATATATATGATTACAATTATAACCATATATAAATAGATATAGGGTTGATCAAAATTTAAAGAGAACATGCAAAATTGAAAATAGTTGTATTTAAATGGAAAACATGGAATATATTTTTTTCTTTTAAAACAGTTCATTTTGCTGGATATTGATTTTGCAATAAAATATGATATTTAAAAGAAAATATACTTAGAAACCTACTTCATTGGAAGGATTAATAGCAAAACATAAACTAACATTATTCAGTCTCCTTTTCTTTTACAGAAAATTGAAGGTCTTCAAGAATGTAGAAATTTGGAAAAACTATATTTATATTTTAATAAAATTTCCAAAATAGAAAATTTAGAGAAATTAATCAAATTGAAGGTTCTTTGGCTGAACCACAATACAATTAAAAATATTGAGGTAAGATAATAATTTCAATTATCTATATGTAAAGCCAGTTACTACTGTAGAGTTTAAACCACAATGTTCAAGATCATATTGTGGTTAAAGGCCAAACTATTCTTGACTAGTACAATTATTGTTGTCAAAAAGAACTAACATGTATATAGCATTTTATAAGGTACAGAGGGCATTGTGTACATTACTTTCTTTACTCTTTACAAGGCTAAGAGGTAGGGCATTGTTATTCTTTCTTTGAAGGTTTAAAAATAAAAAGAGGTTTAGATAAGTTACATAACTTGCCTAAGATTATAAATATACTCTGTGTGATGTATTCTTTTTCCTCCTACTCCTCCTTTTTTCCTCTCTACTCCGCTTCCTGTTCCCTCCTCCAATAATTCTGAGTTCCAGTATAGAGAACAAAGGTGGCTTCTTGGAGGCACTCATTTCCTTCTGTGCTTGTGGAGTACAAAGTACCCTGTGCTCAGAGCACCTGCAGAACTAACCAGATTAATCAGAGATGATTTGTAAATGTTAATTTTAATTATCTGTTCTAAATAATATGTTGTCTAAATTTTTAGGGTTTGCAAACTTTGAAGAATTTAAAAGATCTCAACCTTGCTGGAAATCTAATAAATAGCATTGGTATGTACTATTTCATTTGGAATCTGAGATAATGCTATAATCATTTTTTATCAATATAAAAAGTACATGCTTAGATTTTTTTTCTTTTAGGCTTTTTTCTGTGACATATTTGCAAAGCATATTGAAACCTGTGAAAATATTACTCATTAATCAGTGGTTACTAATTATACAATGGTACCATTAGTCTATTTATATGCAAGAAACGATGGCTACATACAACTCAGAAGTATGACAGAATATGAACAGAAGGTAAAATAATTGAATTCTTTTCGTCTATTTTTTAAAGGTCGATGTCTTGACTCCAATGAACAACTGGAAAGATTAAACCTTTCTGGTAACCAAATATGTTCTTTCAAGGTATGTTTAAGTGGAATAATTAATTTTTATTTATCATCCTGAATCATGAACCATTGTGTTGCAGAAACTGTACTAAAAAGTCCCCCATTAAGGAATAAGTTCATTATTTTGGGCTGATGCTCCAGGAAATTTGAAAGTCATCTGACTACATTGGCCTTAATGATCTGACACTATTAAAACCAAACAAATAACTATTTACCTGGCTCTTAGGATACCATTTTCTCTTAGTTTTCTTCCAATCTTTCTGGCTACATCTCTTCAGTTTCTGTTCTTTCATCCTCTCCTAGCATCTAAGATATGGACTGCCCTTGGTCAGTACTGACATCTTTTCTCATTTCTGTCTGCATTCATTCTCTAAATAATCTCATCATGCCTTAAGACTTTAAATACCGTTTATCTACCCTTTAAACTAGTACCTTTACTTTCCTTAACAACTCTCCAGAACTGTACACATATCTTAATGCAAACTAATTTTTCCTCTACCAGGCCTTCTCCTGCAGTCTTCCTCACCTCTCTAAATGGAGTCTCCATTCTTGCAGTAACTTAAGCCAAAATCCTTACAGTCATTTGTGACTCTTCTTATTCCTTCATACCCTCATCCAATCCATCAGCAAGTACAACTGGGTGCACCTTCAGAATATGTCCAGAGTCTGATCACTTCTTACCATCTGCATCACTACCAAGCTGATTCAAGACACTATCATCTCTAACCTGCATTAATGAAAAATATCTTCCTAACAATTTTTCCTGTGTTTGTCCTTTCCCTACTATAGATCTGTTCTCCACACAGAAGCCTGATGGAACCTTTAAAAATCTGTCAGATAAAAATCACCCTTCTGCTTAAAACCCTCCGTCGCCTTCTCATCTATTTCAGAGTAGAAGACATTTCATATAATGGGGCCATAAGACTACCTAATCTAGCCACCCCACCACCCCTACCTATCTCTTTGACTACAGTTTCTACCACTCTCTCCTTTGTCCAGTTTCAGCCACACTGGTCTGAATACACCTAGCACACAGTAATCTTATGGCCTTTGCACTTGCTGGAATTTTCTTTCCTCATATACCTGCATGGCTCATTTCATCGTTTATTTCAAGTCTTTTTCAAAATATTGTGTTGTAAGTGACACCTTTCCCTCCCAATTTAGGTGTAATAGGAAAACCGTCACAACCTCCCCAACCTGCAGCACTCCCTATCACAGTGCCACTGTTTCATTTTTCCTTTTGGCACATCCCTTACTAGAATACCAGCTCTCTGAGTACAGGAACTTTGCCTGTTCTCTTCATTGCTGTATCCACAATCCTTAACACAGTGTTGGACATGTAGTAAATCTCAATAAACATTTGTCAAGAACATGAATGAAAGAGAAACAACCAAATAAAGGGACTTAATGTTTATCACATATAATGTTGGTTAAAAGGTGGCATTTATAATTTTGCCAGTGTAAGATTGAAGGTGCATATTCAAACACATCCTCTAGAAAATACTGAAGAAAGATAGGTAAATTTACTATAGAAATAATTTTGAGTTCATAAGTATTAAAGTAGGCATTCTTTTACTCAGGCAAAAATATAAAAATACCAAAAAGCTATAGAATGAGGCAGATTAAGTCCCTTAAAAAGAAATGTAAACAAAATTGTATTAGTCAAATTCAAGAGGAAATATTTGATAAGAACTTTGAAGTGTCAACAGAATTTGAACAAGCATTGGTGGGAGGATCTTCTGGGTAGCAGGGCGTGGGCATTCTAAGACGGGGAAAACAATATGTACAAAGGCAGGGAAGTGAGAAATCAAGGGGTATATTTGAATAACACCAGCATTGTCATTTGACTGGAGTATAGAGTATATATAGCAATATTGGAAGTTAACACTAGAAAGGTCAATTGGGTCTCGAATATAGACTGTATTTTATAGACAACAGAGAGCTGTAAAATTTTTGAGCAAGAAAGTGATATGATCAGAAATGTTCTTTAGGGATAGTGATCTGGAGTTAGTGTTTATTGATTTGGAACAGCTAGAAGAAGAAAACCCAGTCAGGAGATTCCAGGAATAATCTAAATGAGAAATTATGAGACTATGAATTGGAGTGTTAACAGAAAAAAAAAGAAAAAAAGAAGAGGAGGAGGAGGAAAGACGAGGAAGAAATAGATGCAAGAGACATTATGGTTGTTGAATTTGCAGAATTTCACAGCTAGTAGAATGTGAAGAGCTAGAGAGTCCAAAATGAATCCGTGATTACAGTTCTTAGCAAGCTCAAAAAATACACAAATCAGAAAAAAAATAGCTAGTTTGGTGGGGGTGAGGGGAAGAGAATGTATCTGGTTCTGGATATGTTGAGTTTAGAATACCAGTGGGGCCATCCAGGTAAAGATCTGTACACACAACACTGAGAAATGGGTAAAGAGCAGTCATACCTTACAATCTTGGCATAACAAGCAAGAGTGTGAAGCGATGCTTAGGGCCATGGCAAATTGTCTCTACCAACATTGAGACCATCAGATAAGGGATCAGATTAAACATGTGGAAAAGAAGCCATGATAGAAATCAGAGACACTGAGAGGATGGTAACAGTTGTGACAGGGACAGGCAGTAAGATAGATAACAAGATTGTGTGTGTGCACGCATGCACGTGCACACATGTGTATCTTTCCCCTTCTAGTTCTGCCAGCTTAAGATACTACACTAAATCTTTAAATCATACTTACTATATGGAAATTCTAATTATCAGGCTGGTAAACACATCATAAAATTAAAACAAACCAACAAAAAACCTTTGAAATAATTCTTACTTTTAAAAGAGCTCTTTTAAATCAATTAGAAACAAATAATCTAAGATACCCAGTAGAATAAAGGATAAGTGAGCAGATAATTCATAGAATTGAACTCCACATGACTAGTAGATTCATAAAATAATTTTCAATCCTACTAAGAATGAATAAAATGAAAAATAAAACATGATATAAGGCCGGGCATGGTGGCTCACGCCTATAATCCTGTCACTTTGGGAGGCCGAGGCGGGCGGATCACTTGAGATCAGGAGTTTGAGACCAGCCTGGCCAACATGGTGAAACCTTGTTTCTACTAAAAAAAAAAAAAAAAAAAAATAGCCAGGCGTGGTGGTGGGCGCCTGTAATCCCAGCCTATTCAGGAGGCTGAAGCAGGAGAATCACTTGAACCTGAGAGGCGGAGGTTGCAGTGAGCTGAGATTGCACCACTGCACTACAGCCTGGGTAACAGAGTGAGACTAGGTCTCAAAAAAAAAAAAAAGATATAATTGTAATTGATAATAAATTGATAATATTTTATATAGTCAACATTTTATAAACATGTTACTCTGTGCTAGAAAGATAAGGATAAGATGGGCATTTATACGACATTGGTAATCATTAAAATGATAGAACTTTTCTAGAAAGCATTTAGATAATGTGTACCAAGTCCTTTAAAAAGGCTTCTATCCTTTGACCTATCAATTCCTCTTTTAGGAATCTATTCCAAGAAAATAATGTGAAATGTGCATAAAGCTTTATACTTAAAATAGGCTAAAATTCCAAAAGAGATCAGAGAGAGCTATGAACATTAAATTCAGAGTGCTGTGGGAACATATAAAAGGGAGACCTAGCCTTGTTTGGGATGTCAGGACAAGACATCCTTGAGGAGCTAATGTTACAGCTAATGATATCAGACGTGAGTAGGAGTTGCCCAGGCAAAGACCCTTCCAGGCAAAAGTTAGAGCATGTGTGGAGGCTCAAGGTGGTTGAAAGGGGTATGGCAGATTCTAGGAACTAGAAATACTGTGTGACTTGATCACAGCAAGGGAAGCAATTATGACATAAGGCTGAAGAAGATTAGTTCAGGGTTCTGGGAAAATAAGGCATTGCCCTGCCAAGAAACTATATGGAAGTTTAACTTACTCTGGCTAGCCATGGCACCCTTATGGTGGTTATAAGCCATGGCTGCATAGACAGAAAGACCTCTCAGGTCTTGCTCTGCCTCATACTAGAGGCAGCATAATACGGTGGAACATGAAGTTTTGGTGAAATAACAATGTAAAGTACCTAAATAGTGACCAGCACATAGTAAGGACTCAACAGATCCATTGTTTTTATTATTTTATTACCATTACTTTAATTACATTGAACTGCTGTATTTCAGTATCTTCATTTTAAAAATGATGATAGCAGGATTATTATAAAAATTCATTGTGTGACATAATATTTAAAAAGGCTTTTTATGGCATTATGACTATCATAAAAACATT
Source organism: Homo sapiens (assembly GCF_000001405.40). Taxonomy (NCBI): domain Eukaryota; kingdom Metazoa; phylum Chordata; class Mammalia; order Primates; family Hominidae; genus Homo; species Homo sapiens. Next base: position 59,936,299 of record NC_000014.9, read on the forward strand.
GAACGTGATTCACAGGAAGTTTTACTATCTTCATATTAAAAATGTTCCTGGAACACTATTATCTTAGATTTTTATCTCTAACCTTTCCTCCTACCCTAAGAAGATAACTATCTTATCATGGTGGTGATTGAATCAATTCTGTGCCCACCTTCCAACCATACCAGGCACCAGAGCACTAATTTTCAGTGAGATTTTGTGCCTTTGTAAACTCCAGTGTCACCTGAATTTGGAATGTAGTTGGGGGATTTCTGTGTAGGACTTCAGAGTTTATACCCACCATCTGCTAGCTCAGACTAATGGTCAAATGAAACATAGCAACCCAGTAATCAAGTGGTTTACCTTCTTGCCCCTGCAGAATTTGACCAAATAATTCTCTGCACAGCTCTGTCCATAAATCTTCCTTTTAGAGCAACTCTGCTTAGTCCTCCTCCCTGCATAGGCTCAGCCCAAGCCTCAGGTCAGACCAGTGAGCCACATTCTCACTTGTCCAGAGAGAGTTTGGAAATACATTAACCGCCTCAACCTGTATTACTCTTGCTTCCAGCAACCTGACTTCACTATTCCCTTTTCCATTCCATTTTTACTGTAGCTTTAGACCTAATGCTTCCTAGTTCTTCCTTTGGATTTCCCTTAACTCTGATTCTGATTTTTCTAGCTAGCATTGCATCCTTTCAAGTTTGACCCCACCACAGTACCCTCCTACCTCAGGCACCATCCTGGTAATGAGAAAGGTATGAGGATATCCTCGAAGTTGGCTGAAAGTAATAATTAATTTACTTTACATATTTATTTAGTGCCTGCTGTGTTCTAAGTGCTGAGTGTTGAGAATACAATGTTAAACAAGACACAAACCTTGTTCTTCACAAGTTTATCACAGGGTTAGCAAATGTTTTCTGTAAAAAAAAAAAAAAAAAAAAAAAGCCAAATAGAAAATCTTTCAGGCTTTGTGGGCCACATGTAGCCTCTACTGCATATTCTTCTTTGTTTTTTTTGAATACTTAAAAAATGTAAATAACATTCTTTTTTTGTAGACTGGGGACCAAAGCCCATATAGACCCTTGGCTTATAGACACAAGCATTTGGCAATAGGGTATAATAAAATCCATACCAAAACTAAGCTCAGTGGCTAAAAGAGCTCATAGGAGGAACATCTATCCCAACGCTGGGGGATGAAACAAGGCTCCCAGGGAATATGACACTGGGTTGGGCTCTGACAGATTAAAAGGTAAAATTGGGGTGAAGTTCAGGCCACTCAAAAGGAGCAGCATGAGTAAAGGTCTAAGGACAAGATAGGGCTTGGCACATTCCAAAACTTCAATTGGTTCAATATGGCTAAATCATAAAATATTAGGGTTTAAACAGGAAGAGGCAAGACTGAAGAGTTAATCAAGAGCCAGATGACAAATAAAGGAAAGTATAAACAATGACTTAAACATCAGGATAAAATATGTTAAGGAGAAACATTGGACTGAGAGTGCATATCAATCCCTCCTCATCCATAGGTTGTGAGAAAACTGAGGCCCTCAAAAGAAAGTTAGGCTTTAGTTGACCATAATAGGTAAAACAGGTGTTTATGGAAAAAACAAAACAAACAAAAAAAACAAAAATCAGGAATTCCATGGTGACTGTAATGAACAGGGGATCCCATAGCCTTTAATGAGTAGAGCAGATCTGGAGGCAGCGAGGATGAAGAGGAGTGTTTCTAGGTGATAAGTACAGGAAATAGGGGTGAAGAAATCAGAGACCTACAGGTATCCTGGGGGCAATTAGCAAGAGGGGCTGTGTAGGGGAAGCAACTTATTAATGAATAAATGTGCTCACATCACTGGCTTCAAGGTTCCAGCTGGAATACATGATTTAGTAAATATTTAAAAGGCATAGTGGTGTAGCATGTTGTTTAATTATTGTTGATATTTTCTTCAGGAATTTAGCTTTTCAATAGAGAGAAACATTTTAGGCATCTAAATCACTTTAATGTATTTAAGCGCATAATTAGAATGCATTAGACTATGGCTGATCTTAGGTGTTCAAATACTGCCTTTAGAAATGACAGTCACAATTAACTGAACATTATCTTTGCTGGCATTTTAGGAACTCACGAACTTAACCAGGCTGCCTTGCTTAAAGGATTTATGTCTGAATGACCCTCAATATACAACCAATCCAGTTTGTCTTCTGTGTAATTATTCCACACATGTATTATATCATTTGCCTTGCCTTCAAAGATTTGACACATTGGATGTGTCAGCAAAGCAAATCAAGGAACTGGCAGATGTAAGTACATCCCTAATCAGGCATCTGTGATTTCAGTTTTATTAGTTAACGGCTTCTTTCTGGCCATGTCCACATACGGTAGGTAGGATTATCAGTTCAGTTCTTGTTGCCAAGTCTGCTTTTGCCCTAGTGAACTGGATATTACACATAAAAGTATATAAATAATAATATTAATACTAGAATCTTAATTTTGATGACAGTACTGGAAGGTGAAATAATAGAATAATAATGTTTCTAATCTATACAAAACAAGAAGGAAATTGAAAAAAAATCAGTGTTAAAAATAGACTAGTGCCATATATATATACACACATATATACACATATATATACATATATACACATATGCATATATATACACATATATACATATACATACATATATACACACATATATACATATATACATATATACACACATATATACATATACATATATACACATATATATATACATATATACACATATATACATATATACACATATATATACGTATATACACATATATACACATATATACATATATATACACACATATATATACATATATATAAATTAAAGCTTAAATAACAGAAATGTAACAACCACTTCTCCTTTGGAATATTACATATCAAAATTAGAAAATATCTATGGTTTATGGTAGTCTACCAAGGATTAGGTAGATTTTAATCTAATTAAAGATGGTTTGTGATTCTCTGAAAGTTTAAGTAGCTGAGGACATCAGGGGAAGAGAAGTAACAGATGAAGACAGGAGTGGTAGAGGCCAGATTATGTGAGACTGTAGACTGTTGTAAGGACTTTGGTCTTTACTTTGAGGAAGATGGGGTCCACTGGAAAATTCTGATCAGAGGAGGGACTAAGATGACTTATGTTTTAAAAGGATCCTTTTGAATAATGGATTAAGAATAGAGAGTTAGAGGGGGAAAGTTGAAAGCAGAGAGACCAGTTAGGAGATTATTCCAGTAACTTAGATGAGCCATGTGGATGGTTCGATGCATGTTCATAGAGAAAGTGGTAAGAAGTCAGATTCTGGTAGCAGTTACAAGATGGAACCTATATGGGTTTACTGATGGATTGAATATTAAGTACAGAGGAAAGAAGTAGAGAATAATTCCAAGATATTGGCAAGAGCAATTCAAAGAGTAAGTTGCTATTTGACGACATGAGGAAGAGTATGGGAGGTGTAGGTTTAGGAGGAAGAATCATGATTCTAGAATCATGATAACTTTAGGCATGTAAAGTTTGAACAATTTTTTGAATATCCTAGGGGACATGCTCAGTAAGTAGTTGGATATATGAGTCTACTATGTAGGAGAGTTTCCTAGATTGGGGGTATAAATTAAAATATGAGAATTGAAAGCAGAAAGTTGGTACTTAAAGCTGTGGACTGGATGAGTCACCGAGGGAATGGTATAGAAGAGAAAGTGTGTCACTTGGGTGTTAAATGTTGGGTAGAAGAGAAGGAGCCTGCAGAGGAGACTGAAAAGGAGAACTAAGAGAGGCAGGTTCATTCTGACTGAGATTCTCATACATTTGGTTCAGTCTTGTAAACGTCAGGAGTAGCATAAAGAACAAAAAAAGGAATTGTTAGACAGTTTCTGACATCTTAAATTAAGTCATTATATTTCATTTTCTTATCGTAAAATATTTATCCTCCCTTTACCTTTTAAGGCACAAATAGGATATATACTATAGTCCAACTTTTGATTCAGACCAAAATGATTTTCAAATTCAAAGTATTTTTAATTTATGGATTGATATAGATTTATAAAATGCTTTCTTCCCTACTATGCATGAGACAAATTGTGGCAGTTCTTTGTGATAAACTCTTGAACAGAGTGCTATTGATTCTTCAGATTTTCACCTATGACTGTGAACTAGTTTGTGTAAACTACAAGTGTCAGGTAAAGTCAGAACCTACCAGGAGGACCACCAAAGAGTTAGTGCAAGACAGAGGGAAGAACATATGGATTCAAATCAGAAGACTTGGATTCAAGCCCCCAACTGAATGTGCCACTACTGAAGAGCTCAGTTTTCTGAACTGAAACAAAGATGATGAAAATAGTATCTGCTTTTCAGTACAGGGTTGTTTTGGGGGAGCCAATGAGTTAATGTACATAAAAGCCCATTTTAATTGTTAAGTAGTATAAAAATAAGTGCTATGAAACTATAGTTGAATATAATTCTGTTTATGACTTTGAATTCTTTTTTGGCCACCTAAGATGCAAAGGGATCAAATTTTGTCTTAGTACAAACATGCAACTGAATTTAGCATTATAATTAGTCTAATTTCTTTTTCTTAAAAGTTTGTTTTAACAGGTGTGGAATTCTACCAAAGTCTTTGAACGTGACTTTGACATTAGTTTTTTAAAGTCCAAATACAAAAAGCAAGTTGCATGTGGTCAGCCTACAAAGTTGATTTGCTATATAGTTACAGTTTATAAAATAGTCTTCCCTCTTTCCCCAAAATCTTACTATATACTCTCAAACAAGGACAAAAAAAAAACCCTTATTGATAACTCTTATTTATTTTTATGACATACTAAGTGATTTTGAAAAAGTTTAGAAATAGTAAAATATCATAATTTTTGTTTCTATATGAAGATATAGGTACATACTTAATAAATTAGAAAAAGTTGAAACTATGGTAAGATATAGTAGACACTAAAATCAGTTGTTTTTTGTGGAAGATGGGGCAACTGAGAAGATGGGAAACATAAGTGGGAAGTACACTTTTCATTGTATAAATCAAATTTTTTGGTTTTTGAAATGTGAATATATTGCTTATTCAAAAAAATTAAAATAAAACTAGTATGTTTTAATCTTTTTTTTTATCCCACCTAGGGGGATTCCAAGTTAAATTTAAATTTTAGATAACCTATTAATAGATATTTAATAATAAAATATCTATTAAATTTTAGATAATAAAGATGTTTTGGGATAATTAAATAAGTATAAGTAAGTTTAGTAAGTATTATGTATATTAAAACATTATTTGTTGTTTATCTGAAATTCAAATTTAATTTGGCATCTTGTATTTTATCTGACCAAATTAACTCCATCCCAAGTTCTCTTGTTGTGTTATTTTTTCCCTTTTATTTACAGTTGATGCACAATAATTCTATGTATTCTATAGGATACCCAATGGTGTTCCAATACACATTTACAATGTATAATGATCAAATAAGGGTAATTACCATATTCATCTCCTCAAACATTTATTCTTTCTGTCGTGAACATCCAAAATCCCTTCTTCCAGATTTTTGAAAATATACACATTATAGTTAACCATATTCACCCTGCAGTGCTACAGAACACCAGAATTTATTCTTCCTATCTAGCTGTAATTTTGTACCCTTAACCAACCTTTCTCCCCATTCTTTCCTCCCCACTACCTTGCCTACAGCCTCCAATAGCTACAATTCTACTCTGTACTTCCATGAGCTCAAAAAATGTTTTTAGTTCTCATACGTGAGTGATAACATGCAGTCTTTATTTTTCTGTGCTTGACTTATTTCGCTTAACATAATGTCCTCCAGGCTCAACCATGTTGCCACAAATGACAGGATTTAATTCTTTTTTATGGTTAAATAGTATTCCATCATGTGTATACACATATGTGTGTGTGTAATGTGATATATATATATTACATTTTCTTTATCCATTCACCTGTTGATGGCATTTAGGTTAATTCTAAATCTTAGCTATTGTGAATAGTGCTGCAGTAAACGTGGGGGTGCAGGTATCCCTTTGATACACTGATTTCCTTTGTTTTGGATAAATACCCAGGAGTGAGATTGCTGAATCCTATGGAAGTTCTACTTTTAATTTTTTGAGAAAACGCCATCCTGTTTTTCATAGTGGCTGTACTAATTTACATTTCTACTACCAGCGTATGAGAGTTCCGTTTTCTGGGCCCAGGTGGGCGGATCACTTGAGGTCAGCAGTTTGTAACCAGCCTGGCCAACATGGTGAAACCCCATCTCTACTAAAAATACAATAAAAATTAGCCAGGCGTGGTGGCAGGTGCCTGTAATACCAGCTACTCAGGAGGCTGAGGCAGGAGAATCACTTGAACCCAGAAGGCAGAAGTTGCGGTGAGCCGATATCACACCACTGCACTTCAGCCTGGGTGACAGAGTGAGACTCCGTCTCAAAAAAAAGAGTTCCCTTTGCTCTGCATCCTCGCCAGCATCTCTCTCTCTCTTTTTTTTTTCTGTCTTTTTGATAATAGCCATTCTAACTAGGTGAGATTATATTGTGATTTTTATTTGCATTTCCATGATGGTTAGTTAGTGATGTTGAGCATTTTTTCATATACCTATTGGCCATTTGTATGGTCTGTTGAGAAATGTCTATGCAGTTCCTTTGCCCACCTTTTGGTTGGATTATTTGTGTGTGTGTGTTTCATTTGTGTGTGCGTATGTGTTGGTTTTTTTGTATTTTGTTTTTTTGCTGTTGAGTTGTTTGAGTTCGTTGTATATTCTGGATATAAGACCCTTATTGGATGAGTAGTTTGCAAATATTTTCTCCCTTCCATAGGTTGTCTCTTCACTCTGTTGATTGTTTCCTTTTGCTGTGCAGAAGCTTTTCAGTTTAATATAGTCCCATTTGTCTATTTATGTTTTTGTTGCCCATGCTTTTGAAGTATTTGCCTAGATCAATGTCCTGAAGTATTTTCTCTCTTTTCTTCTAGTAGTTTTATGGTTTCAAGTTTTACATTTAAGTCCATTTTTTGAGTTGATTTTTGTATATGTTGAGAGACAGGGGTCTAGTTTCATTCTTCTGTATGTGGATATCCTGTTGTTTTAGTTTTCAGAATTTATTAGAATTATTTTTAGCTGTCACTGACCCACAGAATTTTGTATTGGATTTCCTATTGTCTCCAAATAGGCAAGAAAAAAAAACAAGAAACACCATTTCCCATTTCTTAAGTTACGGTTTTTTCTTTTAACTCAGTTGCACTTCAGAAATTAAGCTTTTCTTTATCAGATATACTTAATCAGTTTATCATGATCCTAAAACAAACTTTTTTCTTAACTGTTCTTTGTTATAATTGTTTTATTTCTGGCAGGGGAATTTGGTGATTTCAGTTGCAGTACTTCATAATATGCATGGGGAAAGAGGATTATTTTGGCCTCTCATCATACTATGTATTTGTTCCTATTCTGTCTTTTATGCCAGATAATTATATTAGGATCTTGATTATCCACTCCATACTAAGTAAATTTCATAAGAAAAGACTGCATCTGTAGAAAATATATGTCTAAGAGTGTAAAAGCCTTCCAACTTATTCGCTTTCATTATTTCAGGTAAACAAAACCATGTCAGATTTTTTATAATGCCTCAAATTTGTTTATGGTCTCCTCAGATAGTTCTTTTTAACTAACATAACTCTCAAACACCATTTAGCTGTTGCATATCTTAATTATGGAATTAATCAATTTATCATGATAAATTTATTAATAACTGAATGATGCATTGTTATTAAGGAACGCAAGATAAATGGATTTGATAGACATTTAGTAATTTGCTCAGCCTAACATTCTTTTATACATTTGAAAAAAAATTATATTCCTTAGCCATGCTTTTAAAAAACGAATTGAGTAATGTTGTATTTGCTTTTAATTCTTATTAATTTATTTTATTCCCTGAGTTAATCAAATAGGAATAATGAGTTATATGTTTGCTCTAATTGTACTACCTCATTACCTACACTAGTTTATACATTAAATTTTATCTGTAGTCTCTTTTTGTTGTTATCCTGGAAATAAATGTGAATACGCCTCACACTTTATGCCTCACAAAGGAAATCTTTGGAATTTTATATTTTGTATTAAGTTTAAATATAGAACTCTGTGTAGCCATTGTCACTCCAGCTGTCATCATTATTAGTAACTAAGCATGCAAATCATCTAAATTGTTATATAGAACATACTGTATTTATATAATACCACTAACAATTGCCTATAATTTGTTTTAGCTAATTTTTTGTTGTTTTCTTTCTTACTTTTAGACCACAGCAATGAAAAAAATAATGTATTATAATATGCGTATAAAAACTCTTCAGAGGCATCTTAAAGAAGACCTTGAAAAACTGAATGATCAAAAATGCAAATTACAAAAGTTGCCAGAAGAACGAGTAAAATTATTCAGCTTTGTGAAGAAAACTGTAAGATTTAATAATGTAAAATCCCAGTGGCCATACCTTAAGAAAACCGTTAGATAAGATAGCAAGCAATATCTTTTAAATTATGTATATACACACATATATAATACACACACACACACACTCACACACACACACACACACATATGTAATTACTACTGAATTTCAAGTTAAGCTTGCCCCCAAAAAAGTTCTGATTCCAGGTACTTAACTAAGCTACATTCTGTGCTTAGAAATCTGCAATTCAAAAAAGGTATAGGCTTATTAAATTATGAATTTTGTTTAAAAAAACTGTGTATTTCAATATGATTTAGAGTGTTACAAAAATTATTAGACTTATTCAGCTGTGTTTTTATTAGATGCCAGTAGGCTGTGCTCAAAATTCATTTTCTTGTTTAAAGTGCTAAAAAAAAAAAAACCCTTTCCTAATAACACTAAGGTATACAACAAAGTGGGAACTTTAAATCAAGCTATATGTTAGTAGTATGTATGCATTTTTATTTAGAATAAATTGGATTTCTTTTACTAAAAGTAGACCCTGAAAAAGTAAGCATTATTTAACTCAAAACGGAATCTTGTATATATAGTAATTCCTGTATTTTTTTCAGTATGAGGAAATAATGGATTATTCAACAAATGGTGTTACAAAAATAGTCAAACTATTTGGGAGCTGGAGAGTTGGCTCCTTCATTTGCACTTTACCAAATGTAAATACCAGTAGGAAAAAAAAGAATTAAATGTAAAAATGAAAACATGAAAAATTGAAGAATAAATATATAGATGGATATATTTATCTGATCTCAGCCTGCTAAATGAAAGAAATACTAGAAATCACAAAGGAATAAAATGTAGAATTGATTTTTTAAAAACCAGTGAAATGCTTTTGTATTTAAAATAATAAATGTAAACAACAAATGAAAATCTGAAAAAATGTCTTCAACAAACATGATGGACAAAGAGTCAATATCCTTAGTATAAAAAGGTGCTCATATGTAAAACAAAATAAAAGGTAAATGTCTAAATAGAAAAATTGAGCAAAGTACATAAACTAGAATTTTACAAGAGTAGAAATAAAAATGACTAATAAGCATTTGAAAGAACTCAATTTGATGATTAACTTCCAAATGTTAATTAAGATAACAAGAAACTGTTTCACCTATAAACTGTCAAAGTATGACACATGACAGTACTCAGGCTGGTGAAGATGGATGTGACACACTAGATACCACTTATGGAAGTGTAACTTTGGTCATATGTATAACAGCATAAAAATGCTGAGTTTTTGACCCAGTAAATCTACTTCTAGCACTCTATTGTAAATATGTATATAAAAGGATATATATAAAAATATTTATATATCATTGCACTATTAATAATTAAAAAATTGGAAACTATCTAAATGTTTAATAAGAGAAGAGTTATATACTCAAGACAGAATAGTGTGTAGCTATTAATATTAAAAACCAAGGTTTTGAAATATATTTAATGCTTTTTTAAAGTGAGCAGTTCTTATTATAATTAGAAAAATATTCTTAAAGTAAAACATTAATAAAATTTAATTAAAATTAAAATTAATAATAAAAAAGATTATTTCCATAAAAATCACAAGAGATCAATAAATGGATATCATTTTATATCTGCTATTTTCATGTGCAAATGCATGTATTAAGTAAAATCTGCAAATGAGAAAAATAATGGCTATAGATATATACAAATATATATATTTTAATGAATATGCTTAATCTATTTTCTTTTTTTTTGTCTTTTTTTTTTTTAAATTATACTTTAAGTTTTAGGGTACATGTGCACATTGTGCAGGTTAGTTACATATGTATACATGTGCCATGCTGGTGCGCTGCACCCACTAACTCGTCATCTAGCATTAGGTATATCTCCCAGTGCTATCCCTCCCCCCTCCCCACTCCTCACCACAGTCCCCAGAGTGTGATATTCCCCTTCCTGTGTCCATGTGATCTCATTGTTCAATTCCCACCTATGAGTGAGAATATGCGGTGTTTGGTTTTTTCTTCTTGCGATAGTTTACTGAGAATGATGGTTTCCAATTTCATCCATGTCCCTACAAAGGACATGAACTCATCATTTTTTATGGCTGCATAGTATTCCATGGTGTATATGTGCCACATTTTCTTAATCCAGTCTATCATTGTTGGACATTTGGGTTGGTTCCAAGTCTTTGCTATTGTGAATAATGCCGCAATAAACATACGTGTGCATGTGTCTTTATAGCAGCATGATTTATAGTCCTTTGGGTATATATCCAGTAATGGGATGGCTGGGTCAAATGGTATTTCTAGTTCTAGATCCCTGAGGAATCGCCACACTGACTTCCACAATGGTTGAACTAGTTTACAGTCCCACCAACAGTGTAAAAGTGTTCTTATTTCTCCACATCCTCTCCAGCACCTGTTGTTTCCTGACTTTTTAATGATCACCATTCTAACTGGTGTGAGATGATATCTCATAGTGGTTTTGATTTGCATTTCTCTGATGGCCAGTGATGATGAGCATTTTTTCATGTGTTTTTTGGCTGCATAAATGTCTTCTTTTGAGAAGTGTCTGTTCATGTCCTTCGCCCACTTTTTGATGGGGTTGTTTGTTTTTTTCTTGTAAATTTGTTTGAGTTCATTGTAGATTCTGGATATTAGCCCTTTGTCAGATGAGTAGGTTGCAAAAATTTTCTCCCATGTTGTAGGTTGCCTGTTCACTCTAATGGTAGTTTCTTTTGCTGTGCAGAAGCTCTTTACTTTAATTAGATCCCATTTGTCAATTTTGGCTTTTGTTGCCATTGCTTTTGGTGTTTTGGACATGAAGTCCTTGCCCACGCCTATGTCCTGAATGGTAATGCCTAGGTTTTCTTCTAGGGTTCTTATGGTTTTAGGTCTAACGTTTAAATCTTTAATCCATCTTGAATTGATTTTTGTATAAGGTGTAAGGAAGGGATCCAGTTTCAGCTTTCTACATATGGCTAGCCAGTTTTCCCAGCACCATTTATTAAATAGGGAATCCTTTCCCCATTGCTTGTTTTTCTCAGGTTTGTCAAAGATCAGATAGTTGTAGGTAAGCGGCGTTATTTCTGAGGGCTCTGTTCTGTTCCATTGATCTATGTCTCTGTTTTGGTACCAGTACCATGCTGTTTTGGTTACTGTAGCCTTGTAGTATAGTTTGAAGTCAGGTAGTGTGATGCCTCCAGCTTTGTTCTTTTGGCTTCAGATTGACTTGGCGATGCAGGCTCTTTTTTGGTTCCATATGAACTTTAAAGTAGTTTTTTCCAATTCTGTGAAGAAAGTCATTGGTAGCTTGATGGGGATGGTATTGAATCTGTAAATTACCTTGGGCAGTATGGCCATTTTCACGATATTGATTCTTCCTACCCATGAGCATGGAATGTTCTTCCATTTGTTTGTATCCTCTTTTATTTCCTTGAGCAGTGGTTTGTAGTTCTCCTTGAAGAGGTCCTTCACATCCCTTGTAAGTTGGATTCCTAGGTATTTTATTCTCTTTGAAGCAATTGTGAATGGGAGTTCACTCATGATTTGGCTCTCTGTTTGTCTGTTGTTGGTGTATAGGAATGCTTGTGATTTTTGTACATTAATTTTGTATCCTGAGACTTTGCTGAAGTTGCTTATCAGCTTAAGGAGATTTTGGGCTGAGACGATGGGGTTTTCTAGATAAACAATCATGTCATCTGCAAACAGGGACAATTTGACTTCCTCTTTTCCTAATTGAATACCCTTTATTTCTTTCTCCTGCCTGATTGCCCTGGCCAGAACTTCCAACACTATGTTGAATAGGAGTGGTGAGAGAGGGCATCCCTGTCTTGTGCCAGTTTTCAAAGGGAATGCTTCCAGTTTTTGCCCATTCAGTATGATATTGGCTGTGGGTTTGTCATAGATAGCTCTTATTATTTTGAAATACGTCCCATCAATACCTAATTTATTGAGAGTTTTTAGCATGAAGGGTTGTTGAATTTTGTCAAAGGCTTTTTCTGCATCTATTGAGATAATCATGTGGTTTTTGTCTTTGGCTCTGTTTATATGCTGGATTACATTTATTGATTTGCGTATATTGAACCAGCCTTGCATCCCAGGGATGAAGCCCACTTGATCATGGTGGATAAGCTTTTTGATGTGCTGCTGGATTCGGTTTGCCAGTATTTTATTGAGGATTTTTGCATCAATGTTCATCAAGGATATTGGTCTAAACTTCTCTTTTTTGGTTGTGTCTCTGCCCGGCTTTGGTATCAGAATGATGCTGGCCTCATAAAATGAGTTAGGGAGGATTCCCTCTTTTTCTATTGATTGGAATAGTTTCAGAAGGAATGGTACCAGTTCCTCCTTGTACCTCTGGTAGAATTCGGCTGTGAATCCATCTGGTCCTGGACTCTTTTTGGTTGGTAAACTATTGATTATTGCCACAATTTCAGCTCCTGTTATTGGTCTATTCAGAGATTCAACTTCTTCCTGGTTTAGTCTTGAGAGAGTGTATGTGTCGAGGAATTTATCCATTTATTCTAGATTTTCTAGTTAATTGCGTAGAGGTGTTTGTAGTATTCTCTGATGGTAGTTTGTATTTCTGTGGGATCGGTGATGATATCCCCTTTATCATTTTTTATTGTGTCTATTTGATTCTTCTCTCTTTTTTTCTTTATTAGTCTTGCTAGCGGTCTATCAATTTTGTTGATCCTTTCAAAAAACCAGCTCCTGGATTCATTGATTTTTTGAAGGGTTTTTTGTGTCTCTATTTCCTTCAGTTCTGCTCTGATTTTAGTTATTTCTTGCCTTCTGCTAGCTTTTGAATGTGTTTGCTCTTGCTTTTAATTGTGATGTTAGGGTGTCAATTTTGGATCTTTCCTGCTTTCTCTTGTGGGCATTTAGTGCTATAAATTTCCCTCTACACACTGCTTTGAATGCGTCCCAGAGATTCTGGTATGTTGTGTCTTTGTTCTCGTTGGTTTCAAAGAACTCTTTATTTCTGCCTTCATTTCGTTATGTACCCAGTAGTCATTCAGGAGCAGGTTGTTCAGTTTCCATATAGTTGAGCGGCTTTGAGTGAGATTCTTAATCCTGAGTTCTAGTTTGATTGCACTGTGGTCTGAGAGATAGTTTGTTATAATTTCTGTTCTTTTACATTTGCTGAGGAGAGCTTTACTTCCAACTATGTGGTCAATTTTGGAATAGGTGTGGTGTGGTGCTGAAAAAAATGTATATTCTGTTGATTTGGGGTGGAGAGTTCTGTAGATGTCTATTAGGTCCGCTTGGTGCAGAGCTGAGTTCAATTCCTGGGTATCCTTGTTGACTTTCTGTCTCGTTGATCTGTCTAATGTTGACAGTGGGGTGTTAAAGTCTCCCATTATTAATGTGTGGGAGTCTAAGTCTCTTTGTAGGTCACTCAGGACTTGCTTTATGAATCTGGGTGTTCCTGTATTGGGTGCATATATATTTAGGATAGTTAGCTCCTCTTGTTGAATTGATCCCTTTACCATTATGTAATGGCCTTCTTTGTCTCTTTTGATCTTTGTTGGTTTAAAGTCTGTTTTATCAGAGACTAGGATTGCAACCCCTGCCTTTTTTTGTTTTCCATTTGCTTGGTAGATCTTCCTCCATCCTTTTATTTTGAGCCTATGTGTGTCTCTGCACGTGAGATGGGTTTCCTGAATACAGCACACTGATGGGTCTTGACTCTTTATCCAACTTGCCAGTCTGTGTCTTTTAATTGGAGAATTTAGTCCATTTACATTTAAAGTTAATATTGTTATGTGTGAATTTGATCCTGTCATTATGATGTTAGCTGGTGATTTTGCTCGTTAGTTGATGCAGTTTCTTCCTAGTCTCGATGGTCTTTACATTTTGGCATGATTTTGCAGCGGCTGGTACCAGTTGTTCCTTTCCATGTTTAGCGCTTCCTTCAGGAGCTCTTTTAGGGCAGGCCTGGTGGTGACAAAATCGGTCAGCATTTGCTTGTCTGTAAAGTATTTTATTTCTCCTTCACTTATGAAGCTTAGTTTGGCTGGATATGAAATTCTGGGTTGAAAATTCTTTTCTTTAAGAATGTTGAATATTGGCCCCCACTCTCTTCTGGCTTGTAGGGTTTCTGCCGAGAGATCTGCTGTTAGTCTGATGGGCTTCCCTTTGAGGGTAACCCGACCTTTCTCTCTGGCTGCCCTTAACATTTTTTCCTTCATTTCAACTTTGGTGAATCTGACAATTATGTGTCTTGGAGTTGCTCTTCTCGAGGAGTATCTTTGTGGCGTTCTCTGTATTTCCTGAATCTGAACGTTGGCCTGCCTTGCTGGATTGGGGAAGTTCTCCTGGATAATATCCTGCAGAGTGTTTTCCAACTTGGTTCCATTCTCCGCATCACTTTCAGGTACACCAATCAGACGTAGATTTGGTCTTTTCACATAGTCCCATATTTCTTGGAGGCTTTGCTCATTTCTTTTTATTCTTTTTTCTCTAAACTTCCCTTCTCACTTCATTTCATTCATTTCATCTTCCATTGCTGATACCCTTTCTTCCAGTTGATCGCATCGGCTCCTGAGGCTTCTGCATTCTTCACGTAGTTCTCGAGCCTTGGTTTTCAGCTCCATCAGCTCCTTTAAGCACTTCTCTGTATTGGTTATTCTAGTTATACATTCTTCTAAATTTTTTTCAAAGTTTTCAACTTCTTTGACTTTGGTTTGAATGTCCTCCCGTAGCTCAGAGTAATTTGATCGTCTGAAGCCTTCTTCTCTCAGCTCGTCAAAATCATTCTCCATCCAGCTTTGTTCCGTTGCTGGTGAGGAACTGCGTTCCTTTGGAGGATGAGAGGCGCTCTGCGTTTTAGAGTTTCCAGTTTTTCTGTTCTGTTTTTTCCCCATCTTTGTGGTTTTATCTACTTTTGGTCTTTGATGATGGTGATGTACAGATGGGTTTTCGGTGTGGATGTCCTTTCTGTTTGTTAGTTTTCCTTCTAACAGACAGGACCCTCAGCTGCAGGTCTGTTGGAATACCCTGCTGTGTGAGGTGTCAGTGTGCCCCTGCTGGGGGGTAGGCCTCCCAGTTAGGCTGCTCGGGGGTCAGGGGTCAGGGACCCACTTGAGGAGGCAGTCTGCCCGTTCTCAGATCTCCAGCTGCGTTCTGGGAGAACCACTGCTCTCTTCAAAGCTGTCAGACAGGGACATTTAAGTCTGCAGAGATTACTGCTGTCTTTTTGTTTGTCTGTGCCCTGCCCCCAGAGGTGGAGCCTACAGAGGCAGGCAGGCCTCCTTGAGCTGTGGTGGGCTCCACCCAGTTCGAGCTTCCCGGCTGCTTTGTTTACCTAAGCAAGCCTGGGCAATGGCAGGCGCCCCTCCCCCAGCCTCGCTGCCGCCTTGCAGTTTGATCTCAGACTGCTGTGCTAGCAATCAGCGAGATTCCGTGGGCGTAGGACCCTCCGAGCCAGGTGTGGGATATAGTCTCGTGGTGCGCCGTTTTTTAAGCCGGTCTGAAAAGCGCAATATTCGGGTGGGAGTGACCCGATTTTCCAGGTGCGTCCGTCACGCCTTTCTTTGACTCGGAAAGGGAACTCCCTGACCCCTTGCGCTTCCCAGGTGAGGCAATGCCTCGCCTTGCTTCGGCTCGCGCACGGTGCGCGCACCCACTGGCCTGCGCCCACTGTCTGGCACTCCCTAGTGAGATGAACCGGGTACCTCAGATGGAAATGCAGAAATCACCCGTCTTCTGCGTCGCTCACGCTGGGAGCTGTAGACCAGAGCTGTTCCTATTCGGCCATCTTGGCTCCTCCAATCTATTTTCTAACAGCTGGATATATCTATTATAGAGGAGTACAGATAACTATTAAATTTCCACTTATATATATTTTCCCTTATAGAGTACAATTTATCTGTTGTTGTTATTGTTGTTGTTGTTGCTTTTATTTTCCTTTAAATTCTGGGATACATGTGCAAACATGCAGGTTTGTTACATAGGTATACATTTGACATGATAGTTTGCTGCACCTATCAACCTGTCATCTAGGTTTTAAGCCCCGCATGCATTAGGTATTTGTCCTAATGCTCTCCCTCCCCTTGCCCCCCACCTCGCAACAGGACCTGGTGTGTGATGTTCCCCTCCCTGTGTCCAAGTGTTTTCATTGTTCAGCTCCCACTTGTGAGTGAGAAAATGTGGTGTTTGGTTTTCTGTTCCTGTGTTAGTTTGCTGAGAGTGATGGCTTCCAGCTTCATCCATGTCCCTGCAAAGGACATGAGCTCATTCTCTTTAATGGCTGCATAATACTCCATGGTGTATATGTGCCACATTTTCTTTATCCAGTCTATCACTGATGGGCATTTGTGTTGGTTCCAAGCCTTTGCTATTGTAAATAGTGCTGCAATAAACATACATGTGCATGTGTCTTTATAGTAGAATGATTTCTAATCCTTTGGGTGTATACCCAGTAATGGGATTGCTGGGTCAAATGTTATTTCTGGTTCTAGATGTTTGAGGAAACGTCACACTGTCTTCCACAATGGTTGAACTAATTTACACTCCCACCAACAGTGTAAAACTGTTCTTATTTCTCCACATCCTCTCCAGCATCTGTTGTTTCCTGACTTTTTAATAATCACCACTCTAACAGGTATGAGATGGTATCTCATTGTGGTTTTGATTTGCATTTCTCTAATGACCAGTGATGATGAGCTTTTTTTCATATGTTTGTTGGTGGCATAAATGTCTTCTTTTGAGAAGTGTCTGTTCGTATCCTTCTTGTAAATTTGTTTGCAAATTTGTAAATTTTTTCTTGTAAATTTGTTTAAATTCCTTTAAGATTCTAGGTATTAGACCTCTGTCAGATGGGTATCTTGCAAAAATTTTCTCCCATTCTGTAGGTGGCCTGTTCAATCTGATGATAGTTCCTTTTGCTGTGCAGAAGCTCTTTAGTTTTATTAGATCCCATTTGTCAATTTTGACTTTTGTTGCTGTTGCTTTTGGTGTTTTAGTCATGAAGTCTTTGCCCATGCTTATGTCCTGCATGGTATTGCCTAGGTTTTCTTCTAGGGTTTTTATGGTTTTGGGTTTTACATTTAAGTCTTTGATTCATCTTGAGTTACATTTTGTATAAGGCTTAAGGAAGGGGTCCAGTTTCTGTTTTCTGCATATGGCTAGCCAGTTTTCTCAGCACCATTTATTAAATAGGGAATCCCTTCCCCATTGCTTGTTTTTGTCAGGTTAGTCAAAGATCAGATGATTGAAGATATGTGGTGCTATTTCTGAGGTCTCTCTTCTGTTCCATTGGTCTATATATCCATTTTGGTACCAGTACCATGCTGTTCTGGTTACTGTAGCCTTGCAGTATAGTTTGAAGTCAGGTAGCATGATGCCTTCAGCTTTATTCTTCTTCCTTAGAATTGTTTTGGCTATACAGGCTCCTTTTTGGTTCCATATGAAATTTAAAGTAGTTTGTTTCTAATTCTGTGAAGAAAGCCAATGGTAGCTTGATGGGAATAGCACTGAATCTATAAATTTCTTTGGGGAGTATGACCATTTTCACGATATTGATTCTTCCTATCCATGAGCATGGAATGTTTTTCCATTTTTTTTGTGTCCTCTCTTATTTCCTTGAGCAGTGGTTTGTAGTTCTTGAAGAGGTCCTTCATGTCTCTTATAAGTTGTATTCCTAGGTATTTTATTCTCTTTCTAGCAATTGTGAATGGGAGTTCACTCATGATTTGGCTCTCTGCTTATCTATTATTGGTGTATAGGAATGCTTGTGATTTTTGTACATTGATTTTATATCCTGAGACTTTGCTGAAGTTGCTTATCAGCTTAAGGAGTTTTGGGCTGAGAATATGGGATTTTCTAAATATACAATCATGTCATCTGCAAACAGAGACAATTTGACTTCCTGTCTTCCTATTTGAATACACTTTATTTTTTTCTCTTGCCTGATTTCCCTGAATAGAACTTCCAATACTATGTTGAATAGGAGTGGTGAGAGGGGGCATCCTTATCTTCTACAACACTTCCAGCTTTTGCCCATTCAGTATGATATTGGCTGTGGGTTTGTCATAAATAGCTCTTATTATTTTGAGATATGTTCCAGCAATACCTAGTTTATTGAGAGTTTTTAACATGAAGGGCTGTTGAATTTTATCAAAGGCCTTTTCTGCATCTATTGAGATAATCATGGTTTTTGTCATTGGTTATGTTTATGTGATGGATTATGTGTATTGATTTGCTTATGTTGAACCGGCCTTGCATCCCAGGGATGAGCTGACTTGATCGTGGTGGATAAACTTTTTGATGTGCTGCTGGATTTGGTTTGCCAGTATTTTATTGAGGATTTTTGCATCAATGTTCATCAGGGTTATTGGCCTGATATTTTCTTTTTTTGTTGTGTCTCTGCCAGGTTTTGGTATCAGGATGATGCTGGCCTCATAAAATGAGTTAGGGAGGAGTCCCTCTTTTTCTATTGTTTGGAATAGTTTCAGAAGGAATGGTACCAGTTCCTCTTTGTACCTCTGATAGAATGTGGCTGTCAATCCATCAGGTCCTGGACTTCTTTTGATTGGTAGGATATTAATGACTGCCTCAATTTCAGAACTTGTTATTGGTCTTTTCATGGATTCAACTTCTTTCTGGTTTAGTCTTGGGAGGGTGTATGTGTCCAGGAATTTTTCCATTTCTTCTAGATTTTCTAGTTTAGTTGTGTAAAGGTGTTTGTAGTATTCTCTGATGGTAGTTTGTATTTCTGTGGGATCAATGGTGATATCCCCTTTATCATTTTTATTGTTCTATTTGATTCTTCTCTCTTTTCTTCTTTATTAGTCTAGCTAGTGGTCTGTCTATGTTGTTGATCTTTTCAAAAAACCAGCTCTGGGATTCATTGATTTTTTTGAAGGGTTTTTCATGTCTCTACCTCCTTCAGTTCTGCTCTGATCTTAGTTATTTGCCTTCTGCTAGCTTTTGAATTTGTTTGCTCTTGTTTCTATAGTTCTCTTAATTGTGATGTTAGGGTGTCGATTTTAGATCTTTCTAGCTTTCTGTTGTGAGCATTTAGTGCTATAAATTTCCCTCTTAACACTGCTGTAGCTGTGTCCCAGAGATTCTGGTACGTTGTCTCTTTGTTCTCATTGGTTTCAAAGAACTTCTTTATTTCTGTCTTAATTTTGTTATTTTCCCAGTATTATTCAGGAGCAGGTTGTCAATTTCCATATTTTTGTGTGGGTTTTAAGTGAGTTACTTAATCCTGAGTTCTATTTTAATTGCACTGTGGTCTGAGGAACTGTTTGTTATGATTTCCATTCATTTGCATTTGCTCAGGAGTATTTTACTTCCAATTATGTGGTCGATTTTAGAATATGTGCTGTGTGTTGCTGAGAAGAATATATATTCTTGATTTGGGGTGGAGAGTTCTGTAAATGCCTATTATGTCTGCTTGGTACAGAGCTAAGTTCAAGTCCTGAATATCCTTGTTAACTTCCTGTCTTGTTGATCTGTCTAATGTGACAGTGGGGTGTTAAGGTCTCCCACTATTATTGTGTGAGTGTCTAAGTCTCTTTGTAGATCTCTAAGATCTTATTTTATGAATCTGGGTGCTCCTGTATTGGGTGCATATATATTTAGGACAGTTTGCTCTTCTTGTTGCATTGATCCCTTTACCATTATGTAATACCCTTCTTTGTCTTTTTTGATCTTTGCTGGTGTAAAGCCTCTTTTATCAGAGACTAGGATTGCAAATCCTGCTTCTTTTTTACTTTCCATTTGCTTGGTAAATATTCCTCCATCCCTTTATTTTGAGCCTATGTGTGTCTTTGCACGTGAGAGGGGTCTCCTGAATACAGAACAGCAATGGGTCTTTACTCTTTATCCAATTTGCCAGTCTGTGCCTTTTAATTGGGGCATTTAGCCCATTTACATTTAAGGTTAATATTGTTATGTGTGAATTTGATCCTGTCATCATGATGCTAGCTGGTTATTTTGCACATTAATTTATGCAGTTTCTTCATGGTGTCATTGGTCTTTATATTTTGTTATGTTTTTGCTGTGGATGGTACTGGTTTTTCCTTTCTCTATTTAGTGCTTCCTCTTGTAAGGCAGGCCTGGTGGTGACAAAATCCCTCAACGTTTGCTTGTCTGTAAAGGATTTTATTTCTCCTTCGCTTATGAAGCTTAGTTTGGCTGGATACAAAATTCTGAGTTGAAAATTCTTTTCTTTAAGAATGTTGAATATTGGCCCTCACTCTCTTCTGGCTTGTAGGGTTTCTGCAGAGAGATCAGCTGTTAGTCTGATGGGCTTCCCTTTGTAGGTAACCTGACCTTTCTCTCTGGCTGCCCTTAACATTTTTTCCTTTGTTTCAACCTTGGAGAATCTCACGATGTGTCTTGGGGCTGCTCTTCTCGAGGAGTATCTTAATGGTGTTCTCTGTATTTCCTGAATGTGAATATTGGCCTGTCTTGCTAGGGTGAGGAAGTTCTCCTGGATAATATCCTGAAGTGTGTTTTCCAACTTGGTTGCATTCTCCCCATCACTTTCAGGGACCCCAATCAACCAGAGATTTGGTATTTTCACATAGTCCCATATTTCTTGGAGGCTTTGTTCATTCCTTTTCATTCTTTTTGCTCTAATCTTGTCTTCATGCCTTATTTCAGTAAGTTGATCTTCAATCTCTGATATCCTTTATTCTGCTTGATAGATTTCAGCTATGGATACTTGTGTATGCTTCATGAAGTTCTTATGCTGTGTTTTTCAGCTCCATCAGGTCATTTATGTTCTTCTCTAAACTGGTTATTCTAGTTAGCAGTTCCTGTAACCTTTTATCAATGTTCTTAGCTTCCTTGCATTGGGTTAGAACTTGCTCCTTTAGCTCTGAGGAGTTTGTTATTACCCACCTTCTGAAGCCTACTTCTATTAATTCATCAGTCTCATTCTCTGTTCAGTTTTGTGCTGTTGCTGGAGAGGAGTTGCGATCATTTGGAGGAGAAGAGGCATTCTGGTTTTTGGAATTTTCAGCGTTTTTGTGCTGGTTTTTCCTCATCTTCATGGATTTATTTACCTTTGATCTTTGAGGCTGATGACCTTTGGATGGGGTTTTGTGTGGGGGTCCTTTATGTTCATCTTGATCTTGTTGCTTTCTGTTTGTTAGTTTTTCTTCTAACAGGCCCCTCTTCTGCAGGTCTGCTGCAGTTTGCTGGAGGTCAACTCCAGACCCTGTTCACTTGGGTATCAGCAGTGGAGGCTGCAGAATAGCAAAGATTGCTGCCTGCTCCTTCCTCTGGAAGCTTCATCCTGAAGGAGCACTGGCCTGATGCCAACCAGAGCTCTCCTGTATGAGGTGTCTGTCGACCCCTGTTGGGGTATGTCTCCCAGTCAGGAGGCACGGGGGTCAGGAACCCACTTGAGCAGGCAGTCTGTCCCTTAGCAGAGCTGGTGCACTGTGCTGGGCGAATCCCTCTTGTCAGGATTAGCTGCTCTCTTCAGAGCTGGCAGGCAGGAACGATTAAATCTGCTGCAGCTGTGCCCACAGCCACCCCTTCCACCAGGTGCTCTGTCCCAGGGAAGTGGGGTTTTTGTGTGTAAACCCCTTACTGGGGCTGTTACCTTTCCTTGAGAGATGCCCTGCCCAGTGAGGAGGAATCTAGAGAAGCAGTCTGACCACAGCTGCTTTGCCACCGGGCCCAGACCTCCCAAACTCCTTAGCACTGTCAGGGAAAAACCACCTACTAAAGCCTCAGTAATGGTGGACACCCCTGCCCCAACCAAGCTCAATCGACCCAGGTCGACTTCAGACTGCTGTGCTGGCAGCGAGAATTTCAAGCTAGTGGTTCTTAGCTTGCTGGGCTCTGTGGGAGTGGGACCCGCTGAGCAAGACCACTTGGCTCCCTGGCTTCAGTCCGCTTTGCAGGGGAGTGAAAGGTTCTCTCTCGCTGGGGTTCCAGGTTACCCTGCGGTACGAAAAAATACTCCTGCAGCTAGCTCAGTGTCTGCCCAAACAGCCACCCAGTTTTGTGCTTGAAACACAGAGCCCTGGTGGTATAGGCACACGAGGGAATCTCCTGATCTGCAGATTGCAAAAACGGTGGGAAAAGCATAGTAACCCGGCTGGGTAGCACAGTCCCTCACAGCTTACCTTGGCTGGGGGAGGGAGGTCCCTGCTCCTTGCACTTCCTGGGTGATGTGACACCCCACCCTGCTTCTGCTCACCCTCTGTGGGTTGGACCCACTGTCTAACCAGTCTCACTGAGATGAACAGGGTACCTCAGTTGGAAATGCAGTAATCACCCACCTTCTGCATTGGTCTCACTGGAAGCTTAAGACCAGAGATGTTTCTATTCAGCCATCTTGGCCCCTCCTCAGTACAATTTATCTTTAAATTACATAAGGCTGAGATTAGAGTTAGACAAAAGAGGTTCTTGCTGTGGGCCCAGAATTTAAGGGAGTACCCAAAAACCTTAAGTAATCAAGATAAATAATATTCCATGCAACATTTTTAAAATATCCAAATTAATGCAAAAAGTTCATTATGATAAATTTAAAAACCCCAAAATAACAAAATCTTAAGACCAGTGCTGTGCTGAGTCATGTAAGAGACTAAAACAAAAGGAAAAATGTGCACCCCTATATATATGCTTTCGTGTAATTTTAATAGTTATTTTTTTCCAGAACACCAAAGTGGTGAAAAATACTGAAAAATTGAAAAGTATGTGTGTTAAAAATTACATTATTTGAATTTTAAATATTTGTACTAAAATCAGTATTTATTTTAATTTTACTTTGGCTTTAATAGAGGCGAACTTATTAAAAAGATTTGAAAATCTGTTGCTTTGCTTATTTTCAATTGGGAGACTGCCCTATTTGAAGTGGTTAAGGTCGGCACTTGGTCAAGAGAAACTGGCTGACTGAATTTGCACCCAACTTGAAATCACATGTTTGGCATGTTTTTATGACATCTGGCCTGTTTATTACCTAGATTTCCACTTTGTTCATTTAAATTAGACATTTGTTTAATAGATCCCATTAAAACTTAACATCTGAATTCCGACTTTGCCTAGACCATGTTTTATTTTTATTTTGCTCTCTGACACATTGTTTTCCACAGTTGGAACGAGAACTGGCTGAACTCAAGGGCTCGGGCAAAGGGCACAGTGATGGATCCAATAACAGTAAAGTAACTGATCCTGAAACACTGAAGAGTTGTGAAACTGTCACTGAAGAACCAAGTCTTCAACAGAAGATATTGGCCAAACTAAATGCCTTGAATGAAAGGGTAACATTCTGGAACAAAAAACTAGATGAGTATGTTTAATTAATTATCTAGTTGTTCTGATCTGAAATGGAGAGAATCAGAATGTTTTGGGCCATCAGTTGACCCTAGTTCCCTTCTTCAGGAGTATGAACAATTACAGTATGAAGTAAAGCATGAAATATATTCTTAGTACTAGTTCCTAGTACATATAAGCATCATGGGATAAAAGCTGGCTTACAGTTTTTTGCAGAGGCAGTTCTTAATTAGGAACAGTAAGCTTCCCCCCAGTGGATTCCTGTCCTATCACTGCTCTAGTGTCTGCAAACTAAAAACAATAGAGCCTCTGCTGGTGGATAAACTCACCAAATAGATGAGACCTGGCAAAGCCCAAACACAGTAGAAACAAGTTCAGGCTCAGTTATCAATTAGAAATGTAAAGCAAGAAGGCTTAGCAAGGACTGTGAATTTTTTTATTTACTAAGGCACTAAGTGGATAAATTAGTGTGCCCTGTGATAATGCTAACAATAATAGTAACATATATTGGGTTTTTACTTTGTGCCAGACTCTGTGCTAAGATCTGTACATGTATTTTGTATGTAACTCTCAAAACAACCATTTTAGGAATAAGGACTACGAATATTGCCATTTTACTGAGAAAACTGAGGCATAAAAAGTCCAAGTGACATGTCTGAGATCTGAAAGCTGTAAGTGGTAGAGCAAGGATAGTCTTCTAGCCTTCACATATTCTGAGAGCAGCAAAATTAAAGGTGATTTTAATTGCCAAAAATAGAATGTCTTTGACATGGTTTAACTGTTAACACCAAGCTTTCTTTATCCATTGAAAGGAAGCCTTGTGTTTTAACATCAGTTAAAAAAAATCTATCATAAGTTTTAATGTTGCGATTTTTAGATCATTCTAATAGCTGTATGTATTTTTCTCTCCAATAGAATTGAAGCAATTTATCATATTGAAGTAAAACAAAAGAAGAAAAGTCATGGCTTATTGATCCCACTTTTGTTAATTGAGTTAGAGACTGTGGGAAATTTCCATTTTGAAGAAGGCACTCGATCTGATGACTGGTAAATCTGTTAGAAATTTAGTATAGCTTTAAAAATAACTTAAGTACTTAGGATCATCAACCAGAATATCAACTTATAAAATCTTAAAATGTCCCATTTTTGAAACATTTCTCATGCAGAATATTCATCTATTGAAAATTGGCAGGCATCTATTGAAAACTGAAAATTACCTACTTTCCGCCTATACATTTCTGTTTATGCCATTACCGTGAGCCAACCTTGAAGACATCCTAATGGTTTATCATTGCTCTTTACCCAATTTTTCTTAGCCCAAGAGCAGAATATAATTTAGAAAAAAAAATTTATAATCAAGTTTTAATTTTTAAAATATGTTTATACTGTTTGTTTCCTGACTGGATATAGTGCATGATTCTGAATATTGGTTGAGAAACTGGAAGAGAGCAGGAATGCCAAAGCAGGATTGGCAACAGCAGGTTGCCAACATGGGAGGAGACTGTCTAGCAAATCTTCTGTAGGTCTGTGGTCAGAGTGGAACCCACTGTTTAGAGATAGCTACAGTCAGGGTGCACACGAACACTACATGTTAGCATAAAGTATATGCTTATACCAGGAATTCAGGTCAAAAGCTTGTATCAACAAAAATGGAGAGACACCAGAATCAAGCAGAAAGCAGACAGCCAGGCTTTAGAACCAAGGCCTACTAGTAGATACTAGGAAGTGGTTGTGTTGCTTCAATTAGAGGGGCACAATTTCAAATTACCCTTAAAAAAAGTCTTGAAGAAAAATATTGTTAAGTATCACTTTCACATTTCTGAGTCATTTTTTCAGAACTGAAGAGCCTGTGAAACAGAGAAAGATTGCTCTAGAGCCACACAATAGGAACTGGGTACATGGAAATACACCAGGAGACATGTCAAACTATAGAATGGACTTGGCACATAACCCTGGAGCATGATTTTACTTGAAGTCAATGTCAAAATAAATACTAATTTTTATAGTGTAGAATGTAAAACTTACACTAACTTTTTAGAAAAAAAAACTGTTATTGTTATGGGTTACTTTAAACCAAGTCCCCTGATTTCTATTAGACATGGCTTTTTTCTCACCTCTGTGAGTAAAAGCTTCTCAAAGGTCTTGGGAGAACTCTGATGGAAAAGTGTAAGAAGCTCTTCGCAAGGGAAAAAGAGGCCTTTGAAAATACTTTCCTTTGTATTAGTACATCCATTTGCCCAGCAGTTACTACTGTTTGCTTAACCACATTTTTTGATTTTTATATACAAAGATATAAAAGGTGTTCATCCAGCTCCCATGTAAACAAGTAAAGGCCTTGATTTTTCAAGTGCAAAAACTGAATGGTGTGTCTCTACTGGGTGCACATTTATATTCACTCAACCTAAACAGGATTTTTTTTTTTTGAGATAGAGTCTCGCTGTGTCCCCGAGACTGGAGTGCAGTGGCCCGATCTCAGCTCGCTGCAACCTCTGCCTCCCAGGTTCAAGCGATTCTCCTGCCTCAGACTCCCGAGTAGCTAAGATTATAGGTGCATGCCACCACACCCACTAATTTTTGTATTTTTAGTGGAGACGGGGTTTTGCCATGTTGGCCAGGCTGGTCTCAAACTCCTGGCCTCAAGTGATCTTCCCACCTCGGCCTCCCAAAGTGCTGAGATCACAGGCATGAGCCACTGTGCCCAGCTCCAAACAGGATTTTTAAAAATTATTTGTTTCTTTTTAAATTATTGCAGAGGAAACTCTTTGCAACAAGTGGATTAGTGAAAAAAAAAAAAATGTAAAAGCAAAATGACCAAAAAGCCATTTAGATAACTATGTCAGCCTGATAGTAAATTAGATAGCTTTGATGGATTTTGATTAGCATTAACCTGTTTACTTGGTTTTAATAAGAGTAACTTTGATTTGTTTTAAGGAATATATCAAATATATGTTAGCAGAATTTAAAGTACTGTTTTTTAGTTTTAGCATACTGCAAGCTTGGCTACTTTTCCTCTGATCTTTTATGTATGTTAAGAAATAACTACTAAGTGCTTTAAATTGCTATGCTACATTTCTAGTTGTTTTATTTAAACACTGACTTCTCCTATTAATATTTTTAAGGCTAAGGATTCAGTATTTAAATAAAAAGTATTTCAGTAGAACTAGGACTGAAAGATTTTCTGTTAAAATTATCTTTATGTCTTTAACAACAACAAAACACTGCATGTTTCTAATTGTATGTCATTATCTCTTAGCTTCATTTCTTTTATGAAATAAAATTATTATATTTTCCAGTTTACAAAAATCTTATTTTATAGAGACATGCTAGTTGAGTGGATTGTTGCTACTATACCTTTATTATTATAGATTTGTATTATTTACCGATGTGTTGCCAATTGAGTTACCCATTGACATCATACAACATTTATCAAGTAGGGACTTCAAAGCATAAAAGATGCTGTCCTTGTGCCTGAGAAGCTGTCAGCCTGGTCATAGATACAGTGTATTTACAACTAAAAAAAAAAAAACACCTTTAAAATACGACAAAACAATATATAAGTGACTCTGTAAGTTCCTTTGGGGAAGATATGATGTTTTGTGTCTTATAAGACATAACATCTAGCATGGGACTGGATTAATAGCCCAGTACATATTTACTAGTTGAAGCTTCCATATCACTTTATAGATACACAACAGTTTTGCTTTGGTGTATATAATGACTTTCAGTAATTAATCTGCCTCTTTATAAAGATTTCATGCTATACTATCTCAAGGAGCTACATAAGCAGAAACTTTCTGTTTTACAGGGCTTTGAAACTGTTGATTTAAGTCAGTAAGCCTGTAAAAGTATTTATTAAACCTTTATATAGGATTATAAAGTATATTTTAATAGATTACATTAAGCTTCAAACATTTAAAAACGTGTGTAGCCTACATTTGCTAAATGAGCACATTATTGTATATTAACAAAATGTGTAGGCATCTTTCTGTGTAACTGAATATATTAGTCATTGATATATATCATTGTGAATGTTTATACCTTCAAGTACCACTGAATGAATGAGGGTAAGGTACACAGTTCAGCTGACTCTAAAGGATTTGAACAGGAGTTATGATTAGTTTAGAGACCATACAGTGGAGAATATTGAATCCTCTACTGTAGGTGAAGAGTCTGAATGTAATTTGGAAGGTAACAAATGGCTGCAAAGGCTTTTGTTTTGTTTTATTGGCAGACTCTTCACCTACAGTAAAGGATCAGTGTTCTCCACTGTATAGTTTTAGACTATCATAACTTCTGTTCAACTCTTTTAAAGTCAGCTGAACTGTGTACCGCACTGCTCTTGAAGCAAACGCAGTACTCCACCACATAAGTGGTTTTGTTTGTTCTGTTTCCTTCACCCAGAATGCTTTTGCATACCTCACACTTACTTCATCATTGCTCAGCTGCTGAATTCCTGGGCAACATAAAATCTCCATGAAAAAATCACACTTCATAGCTCCTGCCTTCCTGGGGAACCAGCCTAGGAGCTAGGTATTGTTTATTCATTCCTTCCACCCATTCATGAGACGCCTCAAGCCCAATATCCCCTATATAGCAAAAACTTTATCTAAAACGCCTACAGCCCTAGTTTCTATCAGAGTGCAGAAAGCTTCCAGGACATGTTACTTAGGGGAAATTTGACAGATTTAGGCCCAGCAAATGATCCCTCTATAGGAGGGGCAGTAGCTTCCCCACCTCAGATGCTAATGTGGCTGTTTTGTAGGTACTCTAAACTGGTTAGCAGGCATCATGCTTGATTGCAACACTATTCATATCTGTCTCCTCTACCAGACTGCGAGCTCCTCTGGGATTAGTTTGGTTTAGGCAGCTCTCCTTTCAACTCTAAGGGAGAAGTAATTTATAAGATCCTGGCTGCATTGATTAAGTATTTGCTTGTGAGAAATATAGATGCCCTAAGTTAGGAGCTCAGCTATTAGGCTCAAGGAGAGACTACCCATCAGGAAGCTCACCTCTGTGACCTTAGCTCACACCCATTTCAGACCCTGGTTGATTATGTAGGTGAGGACCTAGATCTTTCATTAAAGGCAAATGTATTCCTTATAAGACCATTTACTTCCTTCTCAAAATGATCCGTTTTTCAATCTCATCTTAATCTAGGTTCTGTGCTAGACAGGACCGGAATTTTATGCGTATGGCCAGGTGAGGGCAGCAGAGAGCAAACAAGCACTTCAGTGTTATTTTCACACAGCTGGCCCCTGCTCCTCCTCCTCCAATTTTCAGATCAAATATCTTAACGTCTCTGAAAGGTCGTCCCCAAGGCCCTATCTTAAGTAGGTCCCCTTTGCATTCCTTACCCCAAGCTTCTCTTCAGAGCCTTTTTCAGTTTAGAAATTTTATTTCTGGCTTTACTTGTTTAGGCTTCATTAGAGCAGACAATGCCTCTTTCACATCCGTATTCATTGTCAGGAAGTTATTTCAGTAGTCCAATGAGAGATCGTGGTGATTTGGATTAGGATGGTAACAGTGGTGATGATGAAACACGATCACATTCAGGATGGATTTTAGATGTAGAGCCAGGCGGACTTGCTAAAGAATTAGATACTGGGGCCGGGCGCGGTGGCTCACGCCTGTAATCCCAGCACTGGGAGGCCGAGGTGGGCGGATCACGAGGTCAGGAGATTGAGACCATCCTGGCTAACACGGTGAAACCCCGTCTGTATTAAAAACACAAAAAATTAGCCGGGCGTGATGGCGGGCGCCTGTAGTCCCAGCTACTCGGGAAGCTGAGGCAGGAGAATGGCGTGAACCCGGGAGGCGGAGATTGCAGTGAGTGGAGATGGCGCCCCTGCACTCTAGCCTGGGCGACAGAGCGAGACTCCGCCTCAAAAAAAAAAAAAAAAAAAAAAAAAAAAAAAAAAAAAAGATACTGGTGAGGAAGAAAGGAGAGGATTATTCCTACGGTTTTGACTTAAGCTATCAGTTAAATGGTGGTGCCATATACTGAGATGGAAAATACTCAGAGGAGCAGGTTTGGGGTGCAGTGTTAGTTATGTTAGGTTGGAGTCACCTGTTTAACATGCAGATGGACATACCAAGTAGGTAGTTGGATATTCAAGTCTGGGTATAACCAGCTAAGTTGAGTAGAGATCAAGACTAGAAATAAAATGTTGTAATTTATCAGGATGTATATAAAGCCAAGGAACCACGTGAAATCATCTAGGGAGAGTGTTCGTGGAAGCAAGAGGAAGGCCAAAGGCTGATCCCTGGGCAGTTCAACATCTAAAAGTCTGTCTGAGAAGACCCAGCAAGAAAACTATGAAAGAGCAGCCAATAAGAGGAAGGCGTATGAAGTTTCCCTGAAGCTAAGAAAGTGTTTCAGAAAGTGAAGATTGCTCAACCAACCTGTCTTCCAGGCAGAACAAATGTGCAATAAATGAATAAATAAACGGAGCCACTATATGATTACTGTATCTTTAGCAAAAGACACAAAATATGAGCTATAACTTTTATCACGTAGTTTTCTGTTCTTAAACATTTTAAGGAAAATCTATTATTTTCTTCATGTATATTCTGTATGTATTCCCACATAGGTTTAATTTCTGCTATGAATTAATTCTGTCACGTTTTTGTGCCTGGGACTTCAGAACATACGGTATTACAGGAGTAAAAGTAAAACGCATCATTAAAGTTAACAACCGTATTCTGAGACTAAAATTCGAAGAGAAATTTCAAAAGTTTTTGGAGAATGAAGATATGCATGATTCAGAGTAAGAAGCTGAATTCTTTATGGAACAACTTTACAAAAGTGTGACTGTATTTGTAAAATTTCTATTTTAAAAGTTTACAGCATTAAAAATATACATATACCTTGTTAGTAAATGTTTCCTTTTTATGCATCTCCCATGGCCAGGATGACCTCATAATTTATCCACATTGAGCCTGTTTTTGAGGTTGAAGGCAGGGGAGCTATTAATAATGACACTAGAACATTGCATGTCAATGACAAATATCCCTGGCAGGACATATGGTTATCTTATCTATGGCTAAGCTTTTGTGAAATCAATCCTCAAACTTTTTCTGTTTCAATTATTCTTAAGGAGCTACCGAAGGATGCTGGAATGCCTTTTTTATGTTTTTGATCCTGAAGTTTCAGTGAAGAAAAAGCATCTTCTACAAATACTTGAAAAAGGATTCAAAGACAGTGAAACAAGCAAGGTAGCATAAAATGTCATTTAGAATAATGCTTTCTTCCTAGCAAGTGGAGCTCTGCCGCTGGTTAAGCATGATTTCCCAATCCTTTTATCCATATTTATAGTAAATTTCTACTGCTGTTTCACAAAAAGCTTAGTGTTATCATGGAAAGTATAGCATCTTTCCTCTTTGGATTATACCAAAGTAAGCCCATTAATTACTACTGCCTGACCCTACGTAATCCTTCTAGGCATCTTATTTTTATGTTGTGTTCCTTTTGTTGATGGTTTTGAAATCTGCTTTTTAAATTGGTTATAAATCTTTAATCTTTTGTAAACTCTCCAGTCTTCACCTTGAAGCAATTCAGTCACTTAACTCCACTGTACTTTCTAGCTATTGCTTTCCTTTTACTGCTACCATTTCTTTATTCTCTACTTCACTATCTCCATCTTGCTGCTGATCTTGCTTTATCATTGGTCACTTCTGATGCCCCAAGTATCCAACTAATCTTTCTCAGACCTCCACCATCTTGACAAGGCAGCTGTAGCACACTGGTGTAGAGCAGCGCTTCCCAACCTTTTTCACATCATGACACACATAAAATGATAATATTCCTGCATTTGGATCCCGATTTCACTCCTCACCAGCTATGTGACTTCACCTCTCTGTTAATCTGTTTCTTCCTATCTGTAAAATGAAGATAATAATAATATCTATTTTGCAGAGTTGTTGTTAGGATTTAGTGAGATAATGCATTAAAAATTTCTTGGATATTGGTACACCAGTGTTCATGACATCACTATTCAAATAGCCAAAAAAACTAGAAACAATGCAAATATGCATCAACAGATGAATGGATAAACAAAAGTGGAATATACATACAATGGAATGCTATTCAGCCATAAAAAGAAATGAAATTCCGAAACTTCCTACAACATGGAAGAACCTTGGAAACATTATGCTAGAGAAATAATAAGCCAGACAAAAATGGAAAAATATTGTATGATTCCATGTATGTGAAGTACCTAGAATAGGAAAATTCAGAGACAGAAAGTAGAATAGAGGTTACCAAAGGCTCTGGGAGAGGAGGAGGTAGGGAGTTACTGTTTAATGGGTACAGAGTTTCAGTCTGGAATAATGAAAAAGTTCTGGAAATGGATGGTGGCGATGGTTGCACAACAACGTGAATGTACCTAATGCCACTGAATTGTATGCTGGAAAATGGCTAAAATGGTACATTCTATCTTATGTATATTTTGCCACAATAAAAATATCACCTCCCCAAAAAAGCATTCCATCCACTCAGTGGAGAATGGGTTGGTGGGAGTAGAAGCAGATGACAAGGCACTATGTAGGGGAGCTATTGCAGCAGCTCAGGCCATAGAGGTTGGTACTGTCACTGCAGGGTGGTGGTGAGAGTGCCCTCATTGTACTTTATGGAGAAGTAAGAAGGAGGTGAGGAATTCAGGGTTTTACAAGGCAGAGTGAATTGCTCACATTCGGTCCAGAGAACTATGAACCATTATCGGGAGAGGGTAAGGGAAGGATGAGGCTAACACTTCTGTGTTTTCCACCTACCAGCCCTGTGCTGAGTACTTTATCTTCTGCATCTCCTAAAAGAGATGAACCACCTCCTTTAATTCTCCCACAGCTCTCTGTGCTGCTCTGTCCAAAAGAGTAGCCACCACCCACATGTAACTATTAAGCATTTGAAATGTGGCTAGTCCAAATTGAGTATGCTGAAAGTTTAAAACAAGCACCAGTTTTTAAAGACTGAGTATGGAAAAAAAACACTATAATTTTTATATTAGGTACATGTTGACATGGTAGTATTTTGGACGTATTAGATTAAATAAGATATTTTATTAAGATTTGCCAAAAAAAGATCTCTTGGACCAATGCCTGGCATCAAGAAAGTTTTTGATATTTTATTTTGATATTTTGATATTTTATTTTGAAAGTTTTAAATATTTTTATTTTTGAATTTTTACAATTGTCTGAAACATTTGACACTATTGGTTGCCTTCTTCTTTTTGAAACTCTCCTTTGGCATCCATGATATTACACTATTGTTATCCTCCTATTTTTCTGATTGTTATTCGCTTCCTTTTTGTTCCCCATTTTGCTTCTAAACATGGGAATACCACAGGTTAAAGTCTCCTGATCTTCCCTTTTTTCTTCACACACCATCAATTACTGTCATTGTTAAGATCCTAGAAATGGAAGAAACATCAGTGTGTAGCATGTAAAAGATCAGATGAGCTACATTTCTGTGCTATGATGTGTACATAATGGGTCAGGATAAATATTTATGTTCCGCATTGTTTAAGAGATGGGCTCTGATTTAAAAGACAGCCGTGTAAGCAGTTTAGAAGAGAGGTTTGGCTAAGGTTGGCAGTATCTACAGGCAGAGGGCTGGCCATAGTGGGGAAGAAGAAACTATTTGACTAGCAAACATATCTAAGGTTAAGTCCACTTTTCTAGTTGGAAGAGGAAGGATCTCTTTCTATCAATTCAGGATGAAGTGTTCAGTAGTAAGGGTGGGAGAGTACGTAAGTAAATCTGCTCACATAGCTTGAGTTCATTCCCTACCGAATATTGTTTGTAATCAAGGACTTGGTCAATAAACGCAAAGAGTATCACGTATTCACTTATGGTTTCTCCAAAATGTACATCTTCAGTTAGGCTATCTCTTCCTCTCTGCTCTGCCACCTACAGCTGCCATTCCTGCATGGTTAATATACTTTATTCTCTTATATAGTGTGTCTAAAACCAGCCTTTTAAAACTGTTAAGTTCAGGGTTACATGTGTAGGTTTGTTATTAGGTAAACTTGTGTCATGGGTGTATGTTGTACAGATTATTTTGTCACCCAGGTATTAAGCCTAGTACCCATTAGTTATTTTTGCAGCTCCTCTCCTTCTTCCCACCCCCTCCCTCCAGTAGGCCCCAGTATCTGTTGTTCCTCTTTATGTGTTCATGTGTTCTCATCATTTAGCTCCCACTTATTAGTGAGAAAATGTAGTATTTTGGGTTTCTGTTCCTGTGTTAGTTTGCTAAGGACAATGGCTTCCAACTCCATCCATGTTCCTGGAAAGGCTGCATAGTATTCCATGGTGTACATGTACCACATTTTCTTTATCCAGTCTAAGCATGTAGGTTGATTCTATGTCTTTGCTGTTGTGAATAGTTTGCAATGAACCTATGTATGCACGTGTCTTTATGATAGAACGATTTATATTCCTTTAGGTATATACCCAGAAATGGGATTGCTGGGTCAAATGGTAGTTCTGTTTTTAGGTCTTTGAGGAATCATCACACTGTTCTTCACAATGGTTGAACCAATTTACACTTCCATCAACAGTGTATAAGCATTCCTTTTTCTCCACAACCTTGTCAGCCTCTGTTATTTTTTGACTTTTTAATAATAGCCATTCTGACTGGTATAAGATGGTGTCTCATTGTGGTTTTGATTTGCATTTCTCTAATGATCAGTGATGATGAGCTTTTTTTCTTATGCTTATTGGCCACATGTATGTCTTCTTTTGCAAAGTGTCTGTTCATATCCTTTGCCCACTTTTTAATGGGGTGATTTTTTTTTGTAAATGTGTTTAATTTCCTTATAGATCTGGATATTAGACCTTTGTTGGATGCACAGTTTGCAGAATTTTTCTCCCATTCTGTAGATTGTCTGTTTACTCTGTTGTTTCTTTTGCTATTCAGAAGCTCTTAAATTTAATTAGATCCCATTTGTCAATTTTTGCTTTTGTTGCAATTGCTTTCAATGTCTTCATCATGTAGTATTTGCCCATTCCTACGTCCAGAATGGTATTGCCTATGTTGTGTGAGGGTTTCGATAGTTTTGGGTTTTACATTTAAGTCCTTACATTTAACTCCAACTTGAGTTGATTTTTCATATATGGTATAAGAAAGGGGCCCAGTTTCAATCTTCTGCATATGGCTAGTCAGTTATCCCAGCACCATTTATTGAATAGGGGTTCCTGTCCCCATTGCTTGTTTTTGTCAGCTTTGTTGAAAATGAAATGGTTGTAGGTGTGCAACCTTATTTCCAGGCTCTCTATTCTCTGTTCCATTGGTCTATGTGTCTGTTTTTGTGCCAGTACCATGCCGTTTTCTTACTGTAGACCTGTAGTGTAGTTTGAAGTTGGATAGTTTGATGCCTCCAGCATTATTCTTTTCGCATAGGATTGGCTTGGCTATTTGGGCTCTCTTTTGGTTCCATTTGAGTTGTAAAATAGTTTTTTCTAGTTCCGTGAAGAATGTCACTGTTAGTTTGATAGGAATAGCATTGACTTTATAAATTGGTTTGGGCAGTATGGCCATTTTAACAATATTGATTCTTCCTGTCCATGAGCATGGAATGTTTTTCCATTTGTTTGTGTCATCTCTTATTTTAAAACCAGGCTTTAATCTTTTGCTCATAAGCAGCTCTCTCCTGGTCTTCTTTCCTGATTTCCATAACAATACTGTCATTTCCTTCACTGAACATGCTCAAAGCCTTGGAATTATGTTCAACCCTCCCTTTTCCATTATCCCCACATCTAATCATTTTCCAGTGGCTCTTCATTTCTCTCCCTAATCCCATTGCCTGCGACCACTTTCAACCCTTAGAACTTTCCTTCTAATCTCTGCCATTGTTTCCCAATAGGCAACACTGCCCTTGGTCATGCCCTCTAGTTCTTCCATTTTTCACAGTACAAATTAATCTTTCTTAAAACATTATTTTCATAGTGCACATTGCACTGTGTCCATGATGAGAAACTTTCAGTAGCTTCGCATTACATGTAATGATGATGTCCACATTCCTCTGCCTGGCATTGAAGGCCTCTGACAACCCTCACAATCTATCTTCAACCTAACTCCCCATTACCAAATATGCCAAGTGACCCTAATGAAGTATGTAGTCTACTTGTGATTCTCCTAAGTACAGCTCATACCACCCTTTGATGAAATGCTGTTTTCTATTTTTACCCTGTAACAGACTTACTGATCCTTTAAGTCCCAACTCAAGGGTTTCTTCTTTTGTGTGGCTTTTCCTGAATTTTCAAACAGTAGGTGCCCTTTTACCTAGTTTGCAGGTTAATCCAAAAAGTCAGTTAAAATGGAGAACTGTAAACAGATGATTTACTTAACAAATCCTTTAATATAACTTAAAATACAAATTTACATTCATGTGTCAATCTTCTGTGCAGGTCCAAAGCCTTTGACTATGAAATTGGAACTCTAAGTAGTCTTTCTTGTATCAGCCGTAACCATGTTTCATATTAGTTTTGTTTTCCTTAAAGTTGAGCATGCACTTAAAGATTCTTGCAAAGTAACTCGAATGTAAAAATCCTTCTAGTTTGTCTGATTCCCCCCACCACCCCAAACTTCTGCATTTGCTTTATCTACACATGCCTTGCCAGAAGTTCTTAATGATTATCTTCTATTGAATTTTACTAAATTTTCCAAAATTGTTCAAAGAAACAACTCCTCTTCTATTTTATAGCTTTAAATAATATGCATAATTTCATAACAACTACAACTGGCATAAACAAGCTTGGGAACAAAATTAACTGACTCTTGGTAAGCATACAACACAACTGGATACAGTAGAAGTACATCCATTTTTTAAAAGTTCCATTTTATCCCTGAACTGCCATCATAGTATGAGTTATATAGACAACAGAAAATACTGGTTAATCCTGCAAATTGGTTAAGTGTTAGTTAAGTGGTGAACAACTGAAAAATTTTATTATAACACATTTGTTTTATTGAAATGTAACCATTTGTGTGCATTTTTCTACTAGTTCTTAAGAGCAGGATCTGTATTTATAGAGTAGATTCTTAGTAGAAATCTAGTGAAGGAATTGATGTCAGATGGATGGATAGCAATCACACCTATTTGTATACCTTCATGTTTTCCTCCTCTTAAAATATAATTTCCTTTTAAATTTCTGATTATTTGAATTATGTCCAATCTTCAAAGCCTACCCATGATTTCATTGCCTCTATAAACTCCTTCCTAATCCCTTCAGTTAAAAAGTATATCTTATTTGACACATCTTGTGGTGCCTTGTATTTTTTAAATTATCATATATAGTTTCTATATTTGCCTTTCTTAACTGAGGACCAAGACTACACTGTAGCCTTACAATGCCCTGCACGTGGGTTATATCGAATGGATATTTAGTGATGTTCATTGAAAGTCTAAAAAGGTTACTTACTGGGGTGTGGAATTTGTGGTCGGATAAGCCCTATTAGAGTATACTCACCCATCAGTATCTCTGGGGGATTGATTCCAGGACTCATGCAGATACCAAAATCTGTGAATACACAAGTCCATTATATAAAATGGTGCAGTATTTGCATATAACCTACACATATCCTCTTGTGTACTCTAAAACTCCTCTAGACTACTTACAATGCAATGTAAATACTATTTAAATAGTTGTTATACTGCATTGTTTGCTATTTGTATTATTTTGTATTGCATTTTTTTCCTGAATATTTTCAATCCATGGTTGGTTGAATCCTCAGATGTGGGAACTGTGGATGTGGAGGGCTGACTGTATTTATTTTTTCAGAATGTCTTTGGATTGCAGATTTCAATTAAAAAAATAAGTAATTTGGCATTTACAGATAAGACATAATTCTAAATAATTTGGCTATTAATGTTAAACAAATAGTAATTTCAAACCTTTGAGATTGTGACAAGGACAAATAGACCTGAGTTCAAATCGTGACTTTGCCAATTACTAGTTCTGTCCTTGGACAGATCATATAATCTCTTTTAGCTCTAGTTTTCTTACTACTAAAATCTAAAAATAGAGATTTTTGGTTTTTAGAGCTGTTTTCACGGCAAGCAAGTAATGTGAACATTACCGATAGAATACTTTCAAGAAATAAAGTTAGTCACAATACAAACTAGGATTTCCATGGGTTAACACATGAAAAGTGTTTTGTTTCTAGAAAACAATGTAGATTATTAGCCCCAAAAATTATAGTATAAACAAGAATCTTCACTGATATAATACCTCATTCCATTAGATTTTCTTTTTGGAGTTAGCAAGATTACTAGTGGAGTACTCATTGAAAGCTATTGCTCCTGCTCCACATAGTATTATCAGTCTTGACTGTGGCTGCTTTTCCAGGAACAATTTTTGTTCTGCATCACCTTTTATTAACCTATTTGCATATGAATTTAAGATAAATAAATGGTTTTGCCAAATGAAGTTGCACCTGAAGGTTATCTACTTCTTTTCAGTGAGTCCGGCCTGCAGATTTCTTTGCCCAGACACATAAAAATAAAATAATAAACCCTCTGTATTGAAGTTGAAGTATTGTCAATTTTATAAAAATACTCAGACTTTGTTTTTTCTTTGCAGCTGCCTCTCAAAAAAGAAGCCATCATTGTTTCTAACAGTCTAAGTATAAGTGAGTGTCCCAGAATTGAATTTTTACAGCAAAAGCACAAAGATGAGAAGAAAATCTCTCTTAAGCATGAGCTCTTCAGACATGGTAAATACAAATATGCCATGTTTCTGAACTTTTAAGTTCTGTCTTCAAATTCATTAATTATTTTTATATCGTTTCTGATACTTGGTTTTATCAACCAAGGAGATGTTCTTCAAACCATTTTATTTCATATTTACCAGTGTAGTAATACATGACTTTCTCATCATTAATTTAGCCACACTTTTAACAGATACTTACTGAGTGATTATTATGTCAGCATTAAGAGGAACATTTGTTACTCAGATATTTAATTCAACTTTTCAGGGACATTTTTCACAGTCTGCTTTTGTTTATTATGTTGTGTCACATATATATATATGTGTCACAGCATATATATATATATATATGCTGAACTAAACTATGTGTGTGTGTGTGTGTGTAGTGTATATATATATACATATATATATGTATATATATATATGTATATATATATACATATATATATGTATATATATATATGTATATATATATACACTACACACACGAACACCAAATTCACAGGAAATAGAAAAGAATTTGGCCCATATATGTGATAATTATATAATAATTATATAAAGTACTCCGGAAGATAGGCCTTATTTGTCCTGAATCATCATAATTTAAGATGATAAGAAAACCTGGGTTTAAGTTAAAATCAGCTAAAGACAAATTGTAAAGTGTATGGATTGCTTTATAACTTGTCTTATATAAGATAATTTTTTGATAATTCATTCATAGTTACCAGTACTTCATTTGCAGCTTGAATATGTAGAAATATAAGTACACAAACCAATTTATAGGACACTTCTGGGAGAAACTCCCTGGTACCCATGGACTGGGGAAAAAGACTATAGCTCATCATGTCCTTCTTGCCTCACCCTCTTCCACTGTACATTCTTTAGTTCCACAAGTATTTATTGAATGCTTATTGTGTGTTAGGCACTGGAAGGGATACAGTCTATGCAAACTAGACAGTTTCATCTTTATGGTGCTTATAAATATTAATAATCACATAAATATAAAATCATAGTTATCATATAGGAGCTATAAACATGAAGTATTAATGCGTGGTACCAAAGAATGTATAATATGGAGAATAGATCAGGTCAGGGAGTAAGGAACACCTATTCTTTAGTCTCAACCATCCGACCTACTAAAGCAGGGTCTCCAACCCCTGCCCACAGACTGGTTGCAGTTTGTGGCCTGTTAGGAACCTGGCCACACAGCAGGAGGTGAGCAGGGGGCAAGTGAGCAAAGCTTCATCTGTATTTGCAGCCACTCCCCATCATTTGCATTACCGCATGAGCTCCGCCTCCTGTCACATCAGTGGCAGCATTTGATTCTTATAGGGGCGCGAACCCTATTGTGAACCGCACATGCGAGGGATCTGGGTTGTGCGCTCCTTATGAGAACCTAATGCCTGATGATATGTCACTTGTCTCCCAACACCCCCAGATGGGACCATCTAGATGCAGGAAAACACGCTCAGGGCTCCCACTGATTCTACATTATGGTGAGTTATATAATTATTTCATTATATGTTACAATGTAATAATAATAGAAATAAAGTACACAATAAATATAATACACCTGAATCATCCTGAAACCATCCTCCCATCCCCAGTCTGGGGGAAAATTGTCTTCCATGAAACCAGTCCCTGGTGCCAAAAAGGTTGGAGACCACTGTACTAAAGATTGGGTAGTCAGAAATTGGGTTAACTTAATTCTATAAGAATGACATTCTAGGTTCCAGATTGCTAAGGTGAATCATTCTGAACTAAACGATACGTGTTTTGCAGTTTTTTATCCAGTTAATAATAATTATAAAATTAAGCAGGTTATTGAGTCTAGAAAGAACTCCTTAACTCCTTACTTGAAAAAACCTTTTATTCTTTATCATTCTTCTCCATTTTCATATTAAGAAATGCCTCACGATGTTCTGCTAGATCCTTCTGGAATGTTTCCAAAACAATTAGGTTCTCCTAATTTACATTTTATATCTTGTACATAGTAAAAACAAACAAAATTCCTTTGAACATTTTATGTATTATGATTATAAATTACGTTTTTAGTTTCTTGACTTTAGGATTTAATGAATCCCAAGGATCCTTAAGAATCTAAAGGAAAATGAAATGTTTATTCATTAAGTAGACATATATTGAGTGCCTCCTACCATCTAAGCTATGTGCTAGGTGCTACTGAACTTTTACCCAGTTAACAACAACCAAAATTTATTTTTAACTACTTAAAAAACCTTGCCGAATTAATGTGTTCTTTCCTTCTCCCTCTTCTGTAAAGCTTTGCTTGATATAATCACACAACACCTCTTTTATAATTATTTCATGTATTCAACAAATATTTGTTGAGCATCTATTTTGGATCGAGCAATGTGTTATGCGCTGTACAGTAGCAAACAAGAGAGCCAGCATCTCTGCCTTTACAGAACATACAGTTTAGTCTTGGGCCAATAAAGAAGGTTATGTTGGAAAATTATTAAAGTTAATTATTCTTAAGAATTACTTCTGTTTTTTTATATTTAGGCATCCTCCTCATTACAAAAGTTTTCCTTGGCCAGAGTGTTCAGGCCCATGAAAAAGAATCCATCAGTCAATCCAACTATCCAATGGTTAATTCAGTGTTCATTCCTCGGAAATATTTACTAAGTATGTCTATCATAAAGATTAATGTGGTTTTATCTCTCTGAATGAAAAATGTTTGTGTTTAATACGGATACTCACAATTTTATTTCTACTTAACAAAGTTTGTAGAATTTTCTACAAAAATCTGTTACTAGCCACTAATAATTTTTATATTCCCTACATCAAAGACATTTATATATGGGTGTGGGTAGATAATCTGGCAAATTTTAATGTAATTATGTATTTGTGTGTGTGTGTGTGTGTGTGTGTGTGTGTGTGTTCATTTTCAAAGAATTAAAAAAGCACCCGACTTTTAACAAGAGTTTTAGAGAAATACGTTTGTCAAAATTGCATGGCCACACATTGAATAGAAAAGTGAAAAAGTATGAAAAGGAAAAGGATATGAATAAAATTAAGCACTACTAGTCTATGTAGTGAAAGGATTTATATAATTAAAAAGTATTTATATAATTAAAAAGCTGGAGTGGAAAGGATGAAAGAAAAAATCCTCAATAATATAACTGTCGCAACTTACTGAGTTTGTTATTTATTTAAAAATGAAAGAAAAAATCTTCAATAATATAACTGTTGCAACTTATTGAGTTTGTTAATTATTAAACTATGTAAGAATGAAAAAGTATGTTTCAATTTGAGAAAATGTGTTTGCTTTGCTTGTTTTTGCTTTTACTCTAGATTCTGTCATGGGACAAAGAAACTGTGATTGCAGTGTTCGGCAGTGCAAGTGGTTTGTCTTTGATCATGACCTTGTTTTGCCGGAATATGTTGTTGAATTTGAGTATATTACAATGGTATGAATTGTTACATATTCTTAAAGACTAATTCTAATTCCTTAAATGGGAACAAAGTAGTAATTTGAAGTCGAATAATGCTATGTCAAGTTTATATTATGTGCATGTGTGTATAATTGTTATTTTGTGAATAACTTAATTTTCAAAACAAGTCAACTAATATTTTTTAGGCAAATAATCAAATGATTAATATATGGCTGTACTCCCACTGGAAAAGATTCAGTCTACTTTGAAGATTCAAAATACATTGAAACTACATTGAAGAATAAACATGAAAATGTGCCCTCACTTTAACCTCACTGCCATTCTCTTTCACCAGGGAATCCACTGTTAACAGTTTTATGGGTTTGCTTTCAATCCTTTTTCTACACATTTACATATATAATAACAGATACCATTTGACATAGTAGAAACAAGGTCTAAGTATTCTGTGATTTTTTTGCCTTTAACAATATGTTTTGAACATATTTTCACTTTAGTACATATAGATGGGTATTTCATTATTTTGGTGGCTGCATATTATTCAGTAATACTAATTTATTCAACTATTCTCCTGTTGATATACTGTGTCCATATTTATTATTTAAAATAATATTTCAGTGAACATCATTGTAGATGTATCTTTATACAAATATGGAAGTTTCTCTACAGGATAGATTTGTAGAAAACTTGGGAGTCAAAGGATATATGCATCTTAAATTTTGTTAGATTTTGCCAAATTCTCTCCACAAAGACTTGACTGTTTTACAAATTTCCAAGTGTGTGTGACAGTGCATGTCTCATTACATTTGCCAACACAAGATGTTATCAGTCTCTTTTGGCCACTATGGTGGGCAAAAAACATTATATTTTATTCTTTCATATGCTTAAAATTATTTAGAGTTGTACGAACCAAATGTTATATCTTTTGACCATTTTCTATTAAACTCTGT
Organism: Homo sapiens; assembly: GCF_000001405.40. Classification (NCBI taxonomy): domain Eukaryota; kingdom Metazoa; phylum Chordata; class Mammalia; order Primates; family Hominidae; genus Homo; species Homo sapiens. The sequence continues at coordinate 59,979,065 of NC_000014.9, forward strand.
CTTTCTTGTATTAATTGGGAAAATCCTTACATACATTCTGGATTTTAGTACTTTATCTTAGCCCAGGCATGGTGGCTCATGCCTGCAATCCCAGGAGTTCAAGGTGAGAGGATTGCTTGAGCCCAGGAGTTTGAGACCAGCCTGGGCAACATAGTGAGATCTTGTCTCTACAAAAAACTTTAAAAATTTAAAAAATTAAAAATCATTTATCTTATATATGTTGCAAATATTTTCTGTCACTTGCCTTTTAATTTTAATTGTAAGAAAAACTCGGCCAGGTGCGGTGGCTCACGCCTGTAATCCCAGCACTTTGGGAGGCCAAGGCAGGCGGATCATGAGGTCAGGGGATCGAGACCATCCTGGCTAACCATCCCCGTCTCTACTAAAAATACAAAACATTAGCCGGCCGTGGTGGCGGGCGCCTGTAGTCCCAGCTACTCGGGAGGCTGAGGCAGGAGAATGGCGTGAACCCGGGAGGCAGAGCTTGTAGTGAGTAGAGATCGCGCCACGGCATTCCAGCCTGGGCGACAGAGCGAGACTCCGTCTCAAAAAAAAATAAAGAAAGAAAAGAAAAACTCATCATTTTGTTCATGTCCTTTGTAGGGACATGGATGAAATTGGAAATCATCATTCTCAGTAAACTATCGCAAGGACAAAAAACCAAACACCGCATGTTCTCACTCATAGGTGGGAATTGAACAATGAGAACACATGGACACAGGCAGGGGAACATCACACTCTGGGGACTGTTGTGGGGTGGGGGGAGGGGGAAGGGATAGCATTAGGAGATATACCTAATGCTAAATGACGAGTTAATGGGTGCAGCACACCAGCATGGCACATGTATACATATGTAACTAACCTGCACATTGTGCACATGTACCCTAATACTTAAAGTATAATAATAATAAAATTAAAAAAAAGAAAAACTCATCATTTTAATTTGTAATTCACAAGTTAATTTTTAAGAGGTCAGCTCTCTCTCTCAATCTTATCCTGTATGGATTCTGAATTTTATGTCTTATGTCAAAAAGCCTGTAATAAATATTCTTTATTTTCTTACAATACTTATATAACTTGTTTTAAAGCCTTTAGCTTTTTTAATCCATCTAGAAATTGTTTTATGGTGTGTGAGGTAGAAAGGTGGTCAATTTTTTTAAATGAATAAATACTTAGGCATTATCTTTTCTGCTCTATTTCAAAATACAACCTTTATTGTTAAAATTATTTGCATATATGAGGAATCTGTCTATATGAATCTATTCTGTTCCATTGAACTCTTTCATCTAATTTTGGATCACTATCATATTTGTTTTGGTTATTACAAACTTCATATATCTTGATGTGTGATAGGGCAAATCCCCTTCCTCTGTCCCCACTCATCTTTTTAAACTTTTTTTGACTATTCTTAAACAGTATCTTTTTCCAAATAAAATTTAGAATAGCTTGTCAAGCTCTATTTTAATATCCTATTAAAATATGATTGAAATTATATTGAATTTAAAACTTAATTTGGTGTGAACTGACTACTTTGCTGTATTGGACTTCTTGTTCTAGGAACATGATAATCTGTCTACTCCATTTACTCAGGTCCTCTCTTACAGTTTTCTTTATATAGGTCTCCAACATTTCTTGTTTAGTTCTGGACATTTATATTTTATATTGCTATAATGAATGGGATTATATTAGTCAAGTATGCCTTTAGCAAAAGATACAGAAACCCAGACAAACAGTAAACAGATAGAAGTTCATTTAACTCACATAACAACTCAAGAGATGGGCAATACCTGGCAGTTGTGACCATTCAATGATGTCAGCAAAGACCTTGGTTCCATCATCCTCCTGCTTGCCGCTTTATGAGCTCTTTTGATGTGATGATTCAATTCTTTCTTCTCTTCTGGAAAGTTTGCTTCTCTTAGTTTCTTGGTTATTTCTTCTCTTCCATTCTCTATTAGGCCCTCTGGAATACCCTGATTAGTTAAATATCGGGTGTTCCAAATTGATCCTTCATGCCTTTTAATTTTTTCTCTTCTATTTTATACTCTATTTTTAAATTATTTGTTTTGAAATATTTTCTCAATCTTAGCTTCCACATTGCTAATTTGATCTGCTACCATATCCACTTGGTTCTCAGGGTATTTACTAAATTTTTATTTTAATAATTGTTTTTATTTTAGCTTTGAAGTGTGTGTCCTTTTCTTTTCCATAGCAGCTTATTCTTTTATCATAGGTACTTTATTGTCCTAGATTTTTAAAAATTCTCTGATGAAGTATTCTGGTTTTTTCTAGAGCCAGTTCTGTTTGTTCATGTGGCTCTTGCTCATTCATCCACAATTCTTACCGTAATTACTGAATTACCTGATAATTAAGGTAACTAATTGCTCTTTGTTCAAGTTTCTCTGGATCTGATTTTAAAAGTGTTTATCTCCTGCATATTTTTTAGCCAGAGGTTACATTTCTGATCCTATTTACCTGTCAGTTCAGTCCTTTCTGATTCATGTGTCACAATTTCTAGGCTTTTGTAGGTACCCTCTTCACTGTTATGAAATATTTTAAAATTATCTTCTGCCAGTTTTAAGAAATGTTCAGTGGGTGGGAATAGATACACCATGCATAGCCTACAATTTTAATCTGCTCTCATAGATGTCCTAATGTGATTCTGATAATCACAGATATGACTGTATAACTAAAAATGTCAACTCATCTTTTCTACATAGCTTGTTTGTTTTTCAAAATGATAAATACAGCAACTGATTTTGCAATGTTTTTAATACATTTTTTAGGTCAAGGCACCCTCTTTATTTTCTGTATTCAACAATGTTATTCTAGAAGAAAGCAAAAAAAACCCAGAAGTATCAGTATTTTCCAAGGATTTGAAATTTGATGATGAAGTTATAAAAATGGAGCCCAGAATCAAGGCCCGACCAAAACTGATTAGTTTGGATGATAAAACAATACTTTCCCTTGCAAAGACTAGCGTTTACAGTCATATTGTGGTGAGTATTGTGAGAAATACAGCTTTGAGACAGGAATCTTGAATTTGGAATCAGAATCTAGCATATGAAGTCAAAAGATACTAAACTGCCTGTCTGATGATGCCAGGTACAATGCTACCTAAAGCGTCCATTTCTCTTTTTCTACTTGGATTAAATCAGTGCTCTCTAGTAGTAATATAATGTGAACCACATATGTAATTTTTACTTCTCTAGTAGCTATGTTTTTAAAAGCTTTTTTAAAAAGTAAAATTAATTTTAATAATACATTTTATTTAACTGAAATATCTTAGTTTGTTTTCTATTTCTATAACAAAATACCACAGACTGAGTAATTTATGAAGAGAATACGTTTATTTAGCTCATCGTTCTGGAGGCTGGGACATCCAAGAGCATGGTGCCTGCATCTGGTGAGGGCCTTGCAGTGTCATAAAATGGCAGTGGGCATCACATGGCAAGAAGGCAAGAGCAAGAGAGCCAGAGAGAGCTGATTTTATAACAAATTTACTCCCAAGATAATAGACCCACTCCTCTGAAAGTGACATTAATCCATTCATGAAGGCAGAGGGAGTAAGTTTCCAACACATGAACTTTTGGGGGACACATTGAAACTATAGCACCTGCATATCTAAACTATTATCATGTTAACATGGAACCAGTATGAATATTCATTAATAAGGTAATTTCATCCTAACTCTTAATTCTGAAGTATATTTTACACTCTGAGCACATTAAGACTAGTCACATTTCAAGTGCTCAATAGCCATTTGAGGTGGCCTTCCAATTAGCAAGGGATTTTATTCCTGAATAACCAATCAGCTCTCTTCAATAAGATAAAGGCAGATAAGTTTTAAATAAGCTTCTAGAATTAATCAACATAGAATATGGGATCTTTACAAAATTAATCAATGGAAATCAGGTTACTTATTAAAGTGACTTACTTTATGCCGAGACAATTCTACTGAGATATTAGGCCTACTTCTATGTCTGACTTTTAGATGTGTTCATTTCAGATCTGCTGCTACCACTCTATCCAAACTACTATAGTTTCTGACCTAGACTATTACCCCAGCCTTCCAACCAGACTCTCTGTACTCTACTATTGCAATATTGCACAACTCTAGAAGGCAAAATTCACATTATATTCTCTTTAGTGTGCCCTTTGGGTGTTATTCATTATATAACTGAATAGAACTCAATACAAGATAAGGGGAGTAGGATGCCTCTAGAGTTATGCAACAGAGGCCCTGTCCTGTGTCTGTAAATGTGCAGCATAATAAGAGCAATCTTCTGGCTGACAGTACTGAGAAATTATTATTTCTGCACTATAATATCTAGATTTACTATTTTAGTAAGAAATTAGTTTACCTGAGTCAAAAACATCAATTTAGTGGAGCAAATATATATGTGAACACATGTAGGAAGCTCAGAGTTACTGGGAGAGATTTATAGAAAGAGGTGAGCTTTGAGTGGATTTTGAAGGACATGAGAAATTTAGTTGTTTACATCTTCCAGAGAGAGAAAATATTCTTACTGTAGAAACATGCTTTTGAAAGATCCAGATGTCTTCAGGGAACACTGAAAAATTTAGTATGCCTAGAATATAGTGTTACAATGGTGGAGGGTAAAGATGTAGGTTGGAATTCAAGAAAGACACAGGAAGCCAGGGCTGGAAGAGTATGAGGTTGTAGCCAAATTAGGATGGATTTTGGAAGCCAAAATTTAAAAGTTTATATTCTTCTGTTTAAGGAACAGACTCCCTTTAAAGACCCTAACTTTGACAGCTTGTGCATGGAATTAACTGAAATCAGACTGGTGGTATGGAAATTCAGTAGAAAACTATTGCACTATCCAAAGGAAAAATCCATTCATTTCTTCACTGGATAACCAGAAAACCAGCTGCACCGTTACATCACCACTACCACTGCCTAAGTCTGCTAAGGCACTGATAGTGGTGATATAACGGTGTGGCCTGTTTGAGAAACAGTTCTACAATCAAATGTATAAAGAAAAGAGGGAAAGCAGGTGATCAACAGTATGTTAGATAGTGAAGCTCTTTATCAGACACATAGGGAAGATGAAATCAGTTGTGGACATGTTAAATGTGAGGTTTCTGTAGAATATATCATGGATGATACCCATATGTGACTTGTAAAATCACTAGTCTGCATAAATTGGCCCTTAACAATTTTAGCTAATTTTGACAGCTATTAGAAATTTAATTGTTTCTCCCTTCTAGGAATTTTGTTATGTCCACAATATAAGGCATAAGATGGTGGTGGTGAATGAAGATAGCTGGGAGATAGATACTTGATACTGTAGTCAGTTGCATTAATACATTGTCTTGTGCCCTTGTTTATTTTGCAAGCTATACATAAATACAGTCTTTACTTGATACCACTCATAATGGTATAAAGACAGAAAAACATATAGGCATCAGGATCTCTCCTTTAGTATAAATGTGTAATAATATTTGTTTTTATATAGCCTAGAATGAAATGGACAAGAAAAGTCTGGGCCAAATTCTGATGTAGGTGTTGTCTTAAACAATCTCCCACCTCCTCCTTTGACCTTCTGTCCTCCTACTTCAGCACCCTCAGCTTTTCTTCTTTGGTTCGGTGCCCTCATACATTTTCCTGCCATCTCTCTTGTGTGAGGTACCCTACCTGATACCCCAAATCTTTAGGGTCTCCATTGTTCACTGGTTAGCCTTAGAAACAGATCTACCCTAATAAGTATCTTAACACATGTATTTATTTTCTAAAAAGAATTTCACGCCAATTGCTGACAAACTTAGACCAAGTAAGAAATCATATTAATCAAGAACCAGGTCTAGTGATACTATTACAAATTATTTATCTTTTAACATCATAGATTAGATTTTTTTTCTTATTGACTGTTTCTTAATGCTATTTAAAATAACTGCTTTCTTATTTTGTAGTATATTGGCTCAAATAATTGTTCTAAACATTTTACATATCCACACTTCAGTTTGATGTAGAATGTAACCTGTATTATTTTTTAATGTATATTTTATTTTGCTTCAGAGTCTGAATCTACATGGAAACAGCTTGAGTAAATTGAGAGATCTCTCCAAGTTAACAGGACTTCGAAAACTAAACATTAGCTTTAATGAATTTACCTGTTTAGATGATGTATACCACTTGGTAAGAATTGTTCCTTTGAATCTAAAAAAGTGAAACTCATAGAAGCAGAAGTAGAATGGTGGTTATCAGGGCCTAAGGGCTAGGGGAAATGGGGAGATATTGGTCAAAGGGTATAAACTTTCAGTTATAAATTAGACAAGTTCTAGGTATCTGATGCACAGCAAGTGTGGTGATGGATGTGTTAATTTGATTGTGGTAATCATTACACAATTATATCAAATCATTACATTGTACACCTTGAACATATTCAAATTTATTCTGCCAATTTAATATTTTTTAAAAACTGTGCTGACTCTGGGCACACTGCCCAGGAGTTAGGCCTGCTCTCAAAGGAACAGCTATAAAATAAAAAGAAAAAACTTTGGTGCAGAAAAAAGATCATGAAGTCAGAGGACAAATGATAAATTGGAATAAGCATTTGAAAAAAGAGCTGTCCTTTTGAAAACATTAATGTAAAATAAAATAATTAATGGATAAATTATTTTTGTAATTACGGCTTCATATCTACCATTTACAAGATTATACAGCCTAAATCAGCCTAAATACATATACTGTATTATGTTACTTTCTCTAAAACAGGTCTTAGGTTGAACTTTTGTTAGCAGACCAAATCCGTACCAGTGGTCATATCTCATTTCTATCTACTTTAAAATGAATATATTAAAATAACTTCTCAAATTTGCTTTTAAAATGTACTTTGGTGTAATTTCCATTTTTTTCTACTCTTGTTTTCCCACTCTTCTTTCTTTCTTTCTCATGAATCCCTATTTCTTTTTCATTTTGTAGTTTACCACTTCACATCTTAAGATGGTCAGTTCCTCCCATCTGCTCATCCAGGTTATTATTTCTTTCTTTCTGTCTTGTCCTTTGACCTGAATATCACATGCATAGATCTTGTTGAATTTGTGTTTGCCTTCTTGTATATCATAGGACAATACAGGAATGCACATGTACACATAGGCATGGATATTGTCTGGCTTTTATTTTGTTATACATCATATAACAAAAATAATTACATATGTGGTTCCAGAACTGCAACCCAGCATCTCCTGTTTACATGGGTTCCAGGTCACTCACTTATCTCTTCAGAATATATCATCATTTTCAGCTCTTATTCATTCTTTATTCCAGCTCCTTGCTACTATATCAAAGCCTTTACATTATTTCTTCTACCATTGTAATGGGAGCTGTTTCTTTTACTTATTGGCATTAGGTTTAGATTTAGTGTTAAACTCACTTCCTTTTTCTTTTGGTAGGCCCAAGCCCTTTTAAGTAAGTAGAATCCCTGAGAGTCTGGATTCAGTATGCAACTGAGGGAAAAAGGTATTTTAGAAGAGGTCTCAGGACTGTATGTAGATTGTTGGTATTTTTATTTTTTTCTATTTATTTGCCAGCACTTCCAAAATTACGACAGTCATTATAATTTTGCTTAGGCACAGATTTAAAGAGTAAACTCATTCAAGACACTTAGATAGAGAGTGAGCTTAGCCAGCTGCCCAGCATTTATTTTGCCATGTGGTGGTGGTGTTCAACTTTAATACAAAAATTATTTTCATTATCATAGCCTCACAGTCTACTTGTTAAATGACTATAACCTTAGTCATTTTACAGATAAGGGAACTGGGTAAGTTTTATGCCAAAGTGGTATTTTCAAATTTTAGGATGAGTAAAGGTGGCTAGCTATAGACCTTTCAAATGTCAAGTCTCTAAAAATGACTCTAAGGATATTAGAGGTGGCCAGAGAGAGGAGAAACTCTACATGGATGTCTATGTGTATTTTTTCATCTTTTTATTATAAAATAAAACACAGATACAGAGAATTACATGCTATATATATGGCTTAGTACATTGTTGTAAGGTGAAAATGCTTGTAATCAGCACCCAGATCAAGAAAGAAAATTTTGCCACCTAGGGCAAAAGCCTCTTCTATGTGCCCCATGCCTTCCTCTCTCCACAAGAAATCATTATCCTAACCTCTGCAGTAATCGTCTTCCTGGATTTTTTCCTGATAGTTCTGTCAACCAAATGTACATCCCTAGCACAATAGTTTGGTTTTGCCATTTTTAAAAAATGTAACTGCGTTTCTTTTGTTGCTTTTGGCAACCAGTTACATTATTTGTAACAACTTGTTGTCATTACAGAGGAAGTTTATATGCATTGTATAAAAACAGAAAATGTAGGCCAACAACAAAACATTCTCACCACCCAGAGATCAACCTTAACTTCTTTGTACTCTGTCTTTTAAATCTCTTTTAATTGATAGATTTCCCTTCCATTTCCCATAGTTTATCTCTAGAAATACTTGAGCCATTCGACCCAAAGAGTTTCCAGCAGCCTGGGATTTGCTTACTTAAGATACATCGCTATATGCCTCCCATCTTCTATATTTCCTGCAAATTGGCAAGTGGATCCACAGATAGGATCAGACCCAGGTTCCATTTTTCTGGCAAAACTAATGTTTGACAAGACTGTAGGAGACACGTGATATCTTATTGTCTCACTTGTGTGATGCCAAAAGCCATTATTACTTAATGCAGTTGGGGATTACAAAATGGTGATATTCTTATTCTATCATTATTTCATTTATTATTTGGAATACTTTTACAAAGAGACATTTCTCATTATCTATTATTTTATTTCCCAGTGGTAGCATTCACATAGAAAGTACAGAATAGATGCTTATCCACCAGTTTTCAAGATAATGAATTTGTTCCCTATCATTTCCCAAAGTGAGCAACTCTTGTTTTAATAACAGTATGAATGCAGGGACTTAACAATATTTGATTATATTCAATCCATTGTAATTTTTATCATGGTTGAAGCTCAGATTGTCTCATCTTTAACCAGTGGGAGCTTTTCAAAGTTAACTTCTTTTGCCTTGACCCTAATGGCCTTTGATAGCTTATTTGACATTGGTATAAAAAGATGTTCCATACACATCTTATATATTTTCTGTTGCAGACACAGTATCAGCCATGTCTTCAAGAAACCTTAGTTTCTTTTAGAGAGAAGTGGTCCTTCAGAAACACAATCCAGTTGGTCATAATTTCTAGGTATTAGAAATTATGACTGACTGGAAACTGGACTGAACTTGTTGGAAGGGATATGAATATATGTGTGCATGTGTGTTGCATGCGTGCACGCATGCGTGTGTATAAATAACCTTATGAATTTTTTATACTTCCAATTCAGGTTCAAGACCACAAAGCTTTCAACTTCTTCTCTATTACTTACATATATATACTTTTCTCATACCAAGAATCCTGATTCTTAAGGATACAAGATGATAGAATATTTAATAATTACTCATTGTTTTATCTACTGTTGTACACGCAACAGTGTCATAATGACAGTACTTATACTATTATCAATATCATTTACTGGAAAGATTTTCTAAAAATTTTGTGTATGTTCTTCCCATTCTTCCCCATTTTAAAAAATAATTAAAATAATTATACTATAACTATATTGTCACCGCATGTAGCCTTATGCTCTGTACACTCTCCCTTTTAATTCATTGGTAATTGTATATTTACTTCTCATCACCAGTCTTTATTTTGGTATCTTTCTAAACATTTTGATTGTCTGAAATATATCCTATTATAGATCATAGGAATAATATCCCTTCAGTTACTGAATGTTAATAACAGTTTAGCTATGTCCTTTATACTTGAAAGGTGGTTTTGCAAGATATAAAATCTTTGGCTCACAATTTATTTTTCTGGGGCATCTTAAATGTTACTTCATTTTCTTCTATCACAAAGTATTGTTGTAGAAAGTCTGATGAGAATGTATGATTTTTTTACCCTTTATAAGTCACAAGCTTTTCTTCCTTCTAGATGGCCAAATAACTTTTTTAGTTTTCTTTAAAGTCTAATAAGTTTACTAGCATTTGTCTTGGTGTTGGTTGTTCTGGGTTGTTTTTTTCAGATTCACAGTATGATCTTCCAATATGTAGTTTAAAATCTTTTTTTCTTTCAGGAAAGATGTTTTAAATTTGAATTTTTTAATCAATTTTTCTGTTTCCTTGCTGTTGTCTTCTTCTTCAGGGACTCCCATTATCCATATGTGAAATCTTCTTTATCATCAGTATTTGTCACTTTCTCTTGAATCCTTTTTGTCTCTTCATTCATTTCTTATCTTAAATTTTTTTCACTTTTTCATCTTGTATTTCTCTTAAAAGTGTTATCTATTTTTTATTCACTCTTGGATATGACTAATTTAGTGTTTATTTCTTAAATTATTTTATTATTTCATTTCATTGTTTCTGGGTCCTTTCACTCCACGTTTTAAAACACTTTTTTCGTTTTTGTAATTCAGATTTATATTGTTATTTTATGTCTCATATCATTCTTAACATCTTTTAGTTTGTTTTAAAACGGTAGGTTAATAGTCATGATATGTTTCTTGAGCATATTTTTCTGGTGTACTTTTTTGCTACCAGTAATATTAACCTCTGTCTTCCCCCTCTCCACACTCCCACCATAGCTTTGTCTTGAATTTGACCTCAGTACTTTTCTCTGCTCATTTGTAAATGAAATTAGTTTTTCTTAACTTTTAAAATGAGGTAAGGTTCAGGAAAGTTTTTCTAACTTCACAGATCTTCCTCTTCTGTTGTTTATATGTACTGTTTAAAATTTGTAATGCTTACTCTGAGATTTTTTTGGCTCTATTCCAATCCTCCACTTTAGTCTAGACCTTCCTTTTTTTTTTTTTTTTTGAGACGGAATTTCACTTTTGTGGCCCAGGCTGAAGTGCAGTGGCGCAATCTCGGCTCACCGCAACATCCACCTCCTGGATTCAAGTAATTCTCCTGCCTTGGCCTCCCGACTAGATGGGATTACAGGTGCACACCACCACACCCAGCTAACTTTGTATTTTTAGCAGAGATGAGGTTTCTCCGTGTTGGTCAGGCTGGTCTTGAACTCCCGACTTCAGGTGATCTGCCCGCCTCGACCTCCCAAAGTGCTGGGATTACAGGCATGAGCCGCTGTGCCCAGCCTAGATCTTCTTTTTTATTCACCTCTCGTGTCCTTATCCTGTTTCATTTTGAGTTTAGCCCCAACAGTTTCTTCTATGAGAAGGATTCTGTCTTGAAGAGAGTCCTAGTGGAATAGTTTTTAGATTCACAGGGGCTCGACTGCTCCAGGGACTGCTTTCTTCAGACCTTTCTTTTTTCTTTTTCTTTTTTCATTTTTAGACAGGGTCTCACTCTGTCACCCAGGCTGGAATGCAATGGCATAATCATAGAGTACACTGCAGCCTCAACTTCCTGGGCTCAAGTGATCCCCTTGCCTCAGCCTCCTGGGTAGCTGGAACTACAGGTGCATGCCACCACACCCTGCTAATTAAAAAAAAAAACAATTTTGTAGAGATGGGGTTTCACTATGGTGCCTAGGCTGGTCTCAAACTCCTGGTCTCAGGCAGTTCTCCTGCCTCAGCCTCCCAAAGTGCTGGGATTACAGGAGCCACTGTACCAGGCCCCTTCAGACCTTTTTACTGTGGATCCCATGAACTCATCTGGTATTGAAGAGAACAAAACTCCTCCCTATTTCAATTGCTGTAAATTGGTCTCCACACATTCCGGTGAATATTTGTTGACTGTTCTGGGGCTCTCCTGTTTTCAGGTCCATCAGATGCTGCCCTGACACTTCCTTCTTCTCCCACATGAATACCATGCAGGTCTTGTGTTGATGGTGGTTTATCTCTACCAACTTCTTTTGGAGCCTATAGAGCAACCTTGTCATGTAGTTTTGTTGTAAACATTGTCCATGAAAATTTGGTTTTATCTATTTGCTCTGTTTTTATGTGTGGATTCACAGCATTTGAAAACTTCTGTTGCCTCTGCCTCTATATTCTCTAATACTTGGTTTTATATGCATGTGTACTATTATGTTTATTCCAGTATTGTAAAAAGTTATGATCTAATTGAATCACTCACTTATAATTCCTATCTTTTAAGTTTTTAAATTTGCTTTGGGATACTCATCTTTACTGTCATTTTCCTTAAGTGTGTACTAAAATGGACAATTTCTATGCCCTTCTTGCATGCTTCTCATATAAATGAGGTAAGTTGGTTCTACTAAGTTGTAGAAAGTAAATGTATCGGGGCAGAGCCAAGATGGCCACATAGGAATACCTCCAGTCTACAGCTCCCAGCATGAGCGATGCAGAAGATGGGTGATTTCTGCATTTTCAGCTGAGGTACTGGGTTCATCTCACTGGGGAGTGTCGGAAAGTGGGTGCAGAACAGTGGGTGCAGCACACCGAGCGTGAGCCGAAGCATGGTGAGGCATTGCCTCACCCAGGAAGTGCAAGGGGTCAGGGAATTCCCTTTCCTAGTCAAAGAAAGGGGTGACAGACGGCACCTGGAAAATCGAGTCACTCCCACCCTAATATTGCACTTTTCCAATGGTCTTGGCAAACAGCACACCAGGAGATTATATCCCGCGCATAGCTCGGAGGGTCCTACGCCCATGGAGCCTCACTCATTGCTAGCCAAGCAGTCTGAGATCAAACTGCAAGGCAGCAGCAAGGCTGGGGGAGGGGTGCCCGCCATTGCCCAGGCTTCAGTAGGTAAAGCAGCCCAGAAGCTCGAACTGCGTGGAGCCCACCACAGCTCAAGGAGGCCTGCCTGCCTCTGTAGACTCCACCTCTGGGGGCAGGGCATTGCCAAACAAAAGGCAGCAGAATCCTCTGCAGACGTAAATGTCCCTGTCTGACAGCTTTGAAGAGAGTAGTGGTTCTCCCAGCACGCAGCTGGAGATCTGAGAACAGACAGACTGCCTCCTCAAGTGGGTCCCTGACCCCCGAGGAGCCTAACTGGGAGGCACCCCCCAGTAAGGGCAGACTGACACCTCACATGGCCGGGTACTCCTCTGAGACAAAACTTCCAGAGGAATAATCAGGTAGCAACATTTGCTGTTCACCAATATCCACTGTTATGCAGCCTCCACTGCTGATACCCAGGCAAACAGGGTCTGGAGTGGACCTCCAGCAAATTCCAACAGACCTGCAGCTGAGGGTCCTGACTGTTAGAAGGAAAACTAACAAACAGAAAGGACATCCACACCAAAACCCCATCTGTACGTCACCATCATCAAAGACCAAAGGTAGATAAACCCACAAAGATGGGGAAAAAACAGAGCAGAAAAACTGGGAACTCTAAAAATCAGAGCGCCTCTTCTCGTCCAAAGGAACGCAGCTCCTCACCAGCGATGGAACAAAGCTGGACGGAGAATGACTTTGATGAGTTGAGAGAAGGCTTCAGACGATCAAACTACTCAGAGCTAAAGGAGGAAGTTCGAACCAATGGCAAAGAAGTTAAAAACCTTGAAAAAAAATTAGACGAATGGCTAACTAGAATAACCAATGCAGAGAAGTCCTTAAAGGACCTGATGGAGCTGAAAACCAAGGCACAAGAGCTACGTGACAAATACACAAGCTTAGTAGCCAATTCGATCAACTGGAAGAAAGGGTACCAGTGATGGAAAATCAAATGAATGAAATGAAGCGAGAAGAGAAGTTTAGAGAAAAAAGAATAAAAAGAAATGAACAAAGCCTCCAAGAAATATGGGACTATGTGAAAAGACCAAATTACGTCTGATTGGTGTACCCGAAAGTGACAGGGAGAATGGAACCAAGTTGGAAAACACTCTGCAGGATATTATCCAGAAGAACTTCCCCAATCTAGCAAGGTAGGCCAACATTCAAATTCAGGAAATACAGAGAACGCCACAAAGATACTCCTCAAGAAGAGCAACTCCAAGACACATAATTGTCAGATTCACCAAAGTTGAAATGAAGGAAAAAATGTTAAGGGCAGCCAGAGAGAAAGGTCGGGTTACCCACAAAGGGAAAGTCCATCAGACTAACAGCTGATCTCTCGGCAGAAACTCTACAAGCCAGAAGAGGACAGTGGGGACCAATATTCAACATTCTTAAAGAAAAGAATTTTCAACCCAGAATTTCATATCCAGCCAAACTAAGCTTCATAAGTGAAGGAGAAATAAAATACCTTACAGACAAGTAAATGCTGAGAGATTCTGTCACCACCAGGCCTGCCCTACAAGAGCTCCTGAAGGAAGCACTAAACATGGAAAGGAACAACCGGTACCAGCCACTGCAAAAACATAACAAAATTGTAAAGACCATCGAGGCTAGGAAGAAACTGCATCAACTAACGAGCAAAATAACCAGCTAACATCATAATGACAGGATCAAATTCACACATAACAATATTAAACTTAAATGTAAATGGGCTAAATGCTCCAATTAAAAGACACAGACTGGCAAATTGGATAAAGAATCAAGACCCATCAGTGTGCTGTATTCAGGAAACCCATCTCACGTGCAGAGACACACATAGGCTCAAAATAAAGGGAGGGAGGAAGATCTACCAAGCAAATGGAAAACAAAAAAAGGCAGGGGTTGCAATCCTAGTCTTTGATAAAACAGACTTTAAACCAGCAAAGATCAAAAGAGACAAAGAAGGCCATTACAGAATGGTAAAGGGATCAATTCAACAAGAAGAGCTAACTATCCTAAATATATATGCACCCAATGCAGGAGCACCCAGATTCATAAAGCAAGTCCTTAGTGACCTACAAAGAGACTTAGACTCCCACACAATAATAATGGGAGACTTTAACACCCCACTGTCAACATTAGACAGATCAACAAGACAGAAAGTTAACAAGGATATCCAGGAATTGAACTCAGCTCTGCACCAAGCGGACCTAATAGACATCTACAGAACTCTCCACCCCAAATCAACAGAATATACATTCTTCTCAGCACCACACTGCACTTATTCCACAATTGACCACATAGTTGGAAGTAAAGCACTCCTCAGCAAATGTAAAAGAACAGAAATTATAACAAACTGTCTCTCAGAACACAGTGCAATCAAACTAGAACTCAGGATTAAGAAACAAATTTACAAGAAAAAAAAACCCCATCAAAAAGCGGGCAAAGGATATGAACAGACACTTCTCAAAAGAAGACATTTATGCAACCAAAAGACACAGGAAAAAATGCTCATCATCACTGGCCATCAGAGAAATGCAAATCAAAACCACAATGAGATACCATCTCACACCAGTTAGAATGGCGATCATTAAAAAGTCAGGAAACAACAGGTGCTGGAGAGGATATGGAGAAATAGGAACACTTTTACACTGTTGGTGGGACTGTAAACTAGTTCAACCATTGTGGAAGTCAGTGTGGTGATTCCTCAGGGATCTAGAACTAGAAATACCATTTGACCCAGCCATCCCATTACTGGGTATATACCCAAAGGATTACAAATCATGCTGCTATAAAGACACATGCACACATATGTTTATTGCAGCACTATTCACAATAGCAAAGACTTGGAACCAACCCAAATGTCCAACAATCATAGACTGGATTAAGAAAATGTGGCAAATATACACCATGGAATACTATGTGGCCATAAAAAATGATGAGTTCATGTCCTTTGTAGGGACATGGATGAAGCTGGAAACCATCATTCTCAGCAAACTATCGCAAAGACAAAAAACCAAATACCTCATGTCCTCACTCACAAGTGGGAATTGAACAATGAAAACACATGGACACAGGAAGGGGAACATCACACACCGGGGCCTGTTGTGGGGTGGGGGGAAGGGGGAGGGATAGCATTTGGAGATATACCTAATGTTAAATGAGTTACTGGGTGCAGCACACCAACATGGCACATGTATACATATGTAACAAACCTGCACGTTGCGCACATGTACCCTAAAACTGAAAGTATAATAAAAAAAAAAGAAAATAAATGTATCGTTGTTACAGTGTTCATCATTCCTGGCCTTGCCTGTGTATCAGTGTACTTAAACTAAGGCTTTCTTTATGCAGTGGAAGGACTGGGATTCATAAGTCATAGAAAATAAATACATCATATAGTTGTATGGAATTTTTCAAAAATCTAAACAAGATATCCACATAAGGCAAATTGAAATGTAATAAGCTGCATGTCTGTCATTCACTATCAGGAAAAGAGAATATCTGGGAGAAGGAAATAGAGATGTTTTCTCTGAAAATAGCTCCACCATAATTAGTGTTGACTAGGGAAAGACAAAGATAAATGGCTATTTGCAACCTCGATCTAGATAACAATTACAATTCTAATTTTTTATTGAAATAATACTGAATATCTTATCTTTCTGAATGAGAAATCTGTTGTTAAGTTGTTCCTGATGTCTAGAGATAGCTAAGCTACATTTAGAGAATAAACCAGTATCCCAAGAAAATTTAAGAGGTGTTTTGAGTTTTAATCTTTGTAAGTTGTACTGTACTGTACTGTAACTTGAGAGATTTTTAAACTGAATCAAAAGAAATATTAAAACAAAATGCTATTGCAAAACTGAAATACTGTTTCATGACTATTTAATGAGTTCCTGGAATCTGTTTTATATCCTGAAGATAACAGAAATAAAGATTCCCCCCCTGTTTTCAAGGGGTGGAAGAAGACAGGTTTTTTTTTTGTTATATTTTATTTTATTTTGTTTTTGAGACGGAATGTTGCTCTATAGCCAGGCTGCAGTGCAGTGGCATGATCTTGGCTCACTGCAACCTCCGCCTCCCGGGTTCAAGCGATTCTTCTGCCTCAGCCTCCGGAGTATCTGGGACTACAGGTATGCGCCACGATGCCCAGCTAATTTTTGTATTTTTCGTAGAGATGGGGTTTCACCATGTTGGCCAGATGGTCTCAATTTCTTGACCTCGTGATCCACCCGCCTCAGCCTCCCAAAGTGCTGGGATTACAGGCGTGAGCCACCGGGCCCGGGCAGAAGACAGTTATATTTTTATGATGTGTGGTTCCCAAATGCTGGTCTACAGGCAGGTGCCACAATGTGGGACAAGTTTTCACCAGCTTATGATGAAAATTGGGAACAGAAGGGCCATATAGTAAATTCTTATAAAGCCTAATTCACTTTACTTAAAGGTGTTTTTTTTTTCTAAAGTTATGGCCTTAATAGTTTTTTACTGCCAAATATCCTTTCGTTCAAGAAATGATGATAGGAAGTGATAGTTTTTGTTTTGTTTTGCTAATGCTTGCTTCTGATAATAAAAAGTCAGTAACTCTGTTCATTTTCAGAAATTTTTTTAGGTTTTAATTCAACTCTTGAAACCTGAACCACTATAAGAAGTTCTATCCCAACAATAAGAATTATACCTTATAAAGGAATGACTAATTCCATTCTGGATTAAAAGAGTTGTTTGAATTAAGTTGTAGAGAAATCAAACATAACAAATTAAAGTCTTAGAGATTTTTTACAAACAAGTAAGATGAAGATATGAATAGATAAATAGCCAAAGACAAGAAAGGCAATAAACAAAAAAAGAATTTAAAAATGACCAGTATAAACACATAGAAAAATGTTCAACTTCACCAGTAATAATGTAAATTAAAATAAGGCAGGTGGATCAGTGAGTATTTGAGAAAATGGGTATTCTCATTGTCTACTGTTGGAAGAAAATGTTGGTACAAACTTCCTTGAAATCTACTTGGCAGTATTTATCGAGAGTCTTAACAATACAGAAAGTCTAAGAACCAGTGATCCTGTTTCCAAAAACCTGTTCTGAAAAATATTTTGGAGCTGCAATTAGAGAATAATTCTCACGGATGTTTGTTGCTGTGTTGCCAACAGTTAGAAACATAAAGATCTATAGTAAAATGTTTTTAAAAATTATGATCACATAGTCAAATATCATGCAGTCATAAAAAATCATCTTTAAGAAGATCTAATAATGTGAAAAAATGTTAAAAGGATACAAAATTATATATGTTTTACATAAGAAAAAATATGTGCATATAATAAAAAACAATGCTTTCAGTGGTTCTTTCTGAGCAATAGGATTATATATGTTTTCTATTTTTTCTTTTCATTTATTTGCTATATTTTCCAAATTTCCAACAAGGAACATGTGTTACTTTTATGATTTAAGAAAATTATTATTTAAAAGTATGCACTTTTTAAAAAGAAAATTATTAGTATTAAGTTAACAGGTTTAGTTTCTAACTCTGAAGATGAACCTTTTTAAAGCAGGCTATGGGGCTCAACAGTATAAACAAGAAGCCTATATATTAAAAAGTACATTTTGTTTGTTGGGGATAAATTATCTTGACAGTTTCTTTATGTCTTCTCTCCTATGAAAACAGACATTGCCACTCGGTGTTACAAGGGTAAAATATGAATTGAAAGAGAATTACTAAAACATAATACCTGTAGCTCTTTAGACAAATGCATATGTTGATACCATCATTGCAACATAACTACTGTTTATGTGTCCTGTGAGGATTACCAGGAAGTGTGTAAAGTATGTAAAGAACCACAGAGAAACTATTTTGTAAATACAAATTATGATTCTCTTAGCATCACTTTTATTTATATGTGTTGCAGTATAACCTTGAATATTTGGATGCAAGCCATAACCATGTGATAACCCTTGAGGGATTTAGAGGTCTGATGAAACTGAAGCACTTAGACTTGAGCTGGAATCAACTGAAAAAATCTGGCAATGAAATAAATATGTTATGCAAACACACCACAAGCCTTCTCACTCTTGATATTCAACATAATCCATGGCAAAAGGTATGCCACAGACATGTTACTAAAAAGCAAACATTTTTATTTTCAGAGCCATTTCCCTACTAACTTTACTATTTAGTAATAGCCAGAGATAGGCAAAGTATCTTCGTTTTTCTAGACTTCCTTCCTTGAAGTCATTCATAAATTGGATTTAATGTACTGATCAAATGAATCAGATGTTACTATAAGAAAAGACTATAATTTCAAAACAGATTTTTTGTAACCTCTAATAGATTGAGAACATTATTGCTTTTAGTCATTGATGTCATTGCCATTTGCAAACCTCCAGATATTTTATATAGTTCAGTGTGCCAGAACTCTATTTTAATGAGTCATAGGAACCAAGAATAATATAATACAGTGAGAGGGGCACACTATTAAGGAAGAAACATAATTTGATTTATAATATATCCTAATCTGTGGTTGAACAACATGTTTTACAATTTTATTTTGCATTTTGCATTATTCACTACTTGTTTTCTGTTTTAAGTCCAGAAATCATCTCCCCTCATAAACTTGCATTATAAAGTCTTATGTTCTCTTATAAAAAGGAAATCTGAACATTATTTTTTCTCATTACAAAAATATGTAGATTAATGCTAGGTAATTTCCATATTCCATGACTATATTTAAGTATATCTTCAAGTATTTAAAATAAGTCCCAAGATTATAAAGTCAAGAATCTTCCTTTCTCTGCCTTTAAAAGATGTATATCAGGCTGTGTTCAGCCTTTAAAAAGGAAACTAAGCACAGTAGGTTCTATTAAATTGACCATATTACTAAGTTTATATTATTGTATTTCTTCTTTTTTGCTCAGTAAAAGTGAAGAATATTTTTCTTTTGCCAAAGCATATTTCCTGGATGATCACAGTACAGCTATCTCTCTGTTGCCAAATTGGATTGTCAAGGGCTAAAGATCCATATTGAATCACACATGGAGATGACTAGCTTACTGCTGATCTAGATAAACAGGAGTCACTACAGTTGTTCTTTTAACACTTTTCACCGCAGTCACTTTTCAATAGCTTATGGGATTTCCCTTCCTCATCAGAGTAGAATCATCAACCTTCAAACAAACAGATTAATTATTCAACATAATTTCAACTATTATTTAAATAATTAAGCTTTTTTTAGGTATATGTAATGAACAAGGAAATGTATGATTTTGAATTATATGGAAAGACATGAAAACAGTCATTTTCATGCCATAACATATTTAACAGTTTATAAAAAATTTTTTTTTTGTTTTTCCCAAGCCAGCCACATTGAGGCTGAGTGTTATTGGCAGATTAAAGACTCTTACCCATTTAAATGGAGTCTTCATTTCTGAAGAAGAAGCAACAGCAGCTATGAAATTTATTGCAGGAACAAGGATTACTCAGGTTGGATTTTACTGTTTACTATTCATTGTGCTATTTAGAACATACAGATAATATTTTGCATACTCTTTTTCTGTCATTAAGATTTTATAGTCCCTCTTAGCCTATTAATAAAAAATTAATATAGAGCAATCATACCACTTGGTATTTTTTCTGTTTAAATGTATCTCATTTAAATACCAAATCGTTGTATGGATTCTCTTGACTATCCATGAACACTACACCAAAAATACCTCTAGGGTAACTGCTTTTTTACCAGTCACCTGAACTCACCAGAGCCCTTTCTAGAGCCTACATGAAAATAAGCAACTGTCTGAGGATAAGGTAAGCTTAGAGGCCTTCAGAAAGCATTAGTGAATTATCTATCTACTTAATATTAACATTATATTTGTTTGGCTGAAAGGAACAAAATCCATTAACATGGAAGGAGGGGAAATACCTTTGTTATCCATATTAAGAATGCTGTACTTTAGCCAAAGTAGCTTCAACATCCTAAATATATCTACTCTAGTTTTCTAGTTGTTTACTTTTTGTGGAGTATCTGAATATTAATTCCTTAGGCAATATAATGTTTAGTTTTGGATCTATTCAAAATTTTGAAAAGAAATTTTTTATTGATAAAAAATAATAATAACACTCCTAAAGAAGAGCTGGGAATTTACCCTAAGAAAAGAACTAAAAATAGAACTACCATTCCACTCAGCAATCCCATTTCTGGGGCTATAACCAAAAGAAAATTAATTGTTCTACTAAAAAGACACATGCATTAATATGTTCATTGCAGCACTATTCACAATAGCGAAATCACAGAATCAACCTAGGTGCCCATCAGTGGTGGACTGGATAAAGAAAACATGGTAAATATACACCATGGAATGCTACACAGCCATAAAAAAGAATGAAATCATGTACTTCACAGCAACATGGATGCAGCTGGAGACCATTATCCTAAGTGAATTAACACAGAAACATAAAACCGAATACCACAAGTTCTTACTTATAAGCGGGAGCTAAACATTGGGTACACATGGACATAAAGATGGGGACAATACACATTGGAGAATACGACAGGGAGGAGGGAGATGGGCAGAGCTGAAAAATTACCTATTAGGTACTATGCCCACTACCTGAATGATGGGTTCAATCCTACCCCAAACCTCAACATTACGAAATGTCTCCTTGTAACAAACCTGCACATGTACCCCCTGAATCTAAAATGAAATTAAGAAAATTAGTTTTTTAAAAAGAAATCAAATCCTGCTAAAATCCTTTAAGACAATGTGGTATTGGCACAGAGCTAGACAAATAGACCAATGGAACAGAATAACAACCTAATATAGACGGTGGAAACTTTATAAATAACAGAGCTGCCTTTGTAGATCAGGGAGATTATTCAATAAAAGGCATTAAGGAGTTTATTGTAAAAGGCAAAACCAAAAATTTTTTTGAAGAAAATATGAAAGATTATCATTATGACCTTGAATTTGTGAATAATTTAGTAGGCAAGAAACAAAGAGCATAAACCATAAATAATTGGACATGTCTACATTAAAATTAATATATCTTTTTTCAAAGAAAGTGAAAAGACAAGCTACATACTGGGAAAAGAAATTTGCGACACAACTGTCAAAAGATATTCTTTATATATCCAGAATATATAAGGAAAAAGACAACCAGCCGAACAGAAATATGTGCCGAAGATCTGAACATACACTTCACTGGAGAGGAAATCAGAACAGCCAATTAACTTAGGAAAAGATACTCCACCATATTAGCATTCAAGAAAATGAACATTAAAAACACAATGACCTACCAATTTTTGCCAGTTTTATAGATGAGCAAAAACTTTAAAGTCTGACAATACCAAGTTGTTGCAAGAATATGAAGTAAAAGTGTAATTTTTCTGAAGTGGTACAACCACTCTGGAAAACAATTTGACATTATTCAGTAAAGCTGATGTATATTTGTGTGTGTGTGTGTGTGTGTGTATTCTACAACCCAGCAATTTTACTTTACTTAGGTGCATATACTCTAAAGAAACTCTTGCATGTATGTACCAGGAAACATGCACAAGAATATTCATGATGACAGTGTTTATAATAGCAAAAACTGAATCAACCCCAATGTTCATTGACAGGAGAGTCATTAAGGGAATACTATACATAGGACATATGAATGAACTACAGCTACATAGAGAAGCTTAGATGAATCTGATGAATATGATATTGAACAAAAAAGGCAAGTCATAAAGAATACATACATATTCAATTTACATGAATTTCAAATATGTGCAAAACTAAATGATATATTGTTTATGGACACAGACATAGGACTATAAAGAAAGCAAGGAATGGTGGACAAAACATTTGAGATAATGATCACTTCTAAAGAAAAGGAAAGAAAAGGGCTTAGGATCGGGCCCACAGGGTGCTTGTAATCTATTCATAATATTCTAGCTCTTAAACTGGTTTCATGGGTGGATTCTATGTGTGTTCATATTATAGTAATCATTTTACAGTCTTATAAATATTATCTTGTAATGGTTCCACATTTGCTAAAACAAGAAACAATGTAATTAAAATGTATCTAGATATTGAAAACAATTTAAGGCAAAGGAAATGTTACATTTTATAATTATTTATTGGGCCACTCATCTTCCCTGGAAACAATAATTTTAACTATATATCAACTAACCTCTGTATACTGTTTCCTTTTTTCACTGTATTTTTTAAATTTTATTAGTTATCTCTCTTACGGCATTCTAGTACTAAAGAGGAGAGACCACGGATACTTAGTATATGGCCTTCTGCCAAAATTCTGACGCAGGTTTCAAAGTTAGGACCTCATTTACATCTGAGTGGAAACTGCTACTTGAAGGTAAAGGCTAATTCTATTAAACCTAATATAAAGCTTAATTTAAATCTATTTTTAAGTCAGTGTTGGTCTGTGTATCATAAAGAGGGCACAGATAGGTAAGGGACAGAAAGCTGGAAGAGATTAATTAAAATAGGGAAGAAACACTTAAGATCTACCCTCTTGGCAAATTTCAAGTATACAATACCGTATCGTTAACTTTAGTCATTAACTTTAGTCGTTAAAGTTATCGTTAACTTTGATGTTGTACATTAGGGTCTCTAGAAAGTATTCGTCTTGCATAACTGAAACCTTGTACCTCTTGACCAACATCTGCCCACTTCCCATTGCCCCTAGCCCCTGGCAACCACTATTCTACTCTCTCCTATGAGTTTGACTATTTTAGAGTTCATATATAATTGAGATTATACAGTTTTTAATTTACAATGTATGCTTATATCAAGTTATACATCTTTAATATATGCAATTTTAAATTGTCAATTACACTTCAACAGAGTTGGAAAAAATAAAAATAAGAAAGACATTGTTATTATTAGTAAAAAGTAATACATTTGTCATATTCCAAAAAATAAAAAACAGGGAGGTCAAGTCATGAATGGCTACGTCAGATGGGCTGGGCCTTGACTGCGTTCGCCACAGAATTGGAAATTTAAGATAAAGGTGCACTAAAACTTAAGGACAAATTTAAAGGGCCATTCTAATTCCGTATTCTGATAACATGTCAGAATAGGCAAGATTCTGATAACATGTCAGAATAGGAAAGCAAACTTTAAAGGCTCAGAGCCAGAGATCAAGCCAAAATTCAGACAGCAAGAGTCAGGTATCCTGACAAGGGAGTAGGGGAGCTGGTCAGAATTCAGCCAAGGATAAGGGAAAAGGTTATAGAACACTTGCAGCTTCTTGCTACATTAGGTGTCCTTATACCTCTTGCCAAACATAGAAACTGGGCTAAGTGAAGCTGCTCCCAGAAAATGGGAGACATTACTGGCATTACTTTTATTACAAGATATATATAGATATTGAGCTGCAAATGAAGGCCCAGTGACAGCTTTGGCTGACCCACAGGCAGTTCTGGAGTTAGTGGAGTTAGAATGGCCCTTTAAATTTGTCCTAAGTTGGGCTGAGATGGTCAGGCCTTTATAGGCTTCCATCACTGGCTGAGGGCCAACCTGGGAAGGAGAGTGACCTTGGCAGCTGTCTACAGCAAGGCAGTCCCTGCAGGGACTGACAGCTGAAGACTCTGCCAGAAGCACTCCCAGCAGCTGGGACAAGTCCATTACTGTAATGGGACTCTAGCACATCGCAGTGTCCTTAATACCATATAAGTCCTTCTTGGAGTTATAATCTCGTCAAATTTTACTTTTCTGTAAACTGACAGCTTCACAATATCTTTAGCTCCTGAAGGAATTCTTTTGATATCTATTTATCACATTTGAATTATTTCATTAGCTTTTTAAAATGTTATTAACATTGACTGAATTTATAAGATTTAGAAATAACATACAATGTAAATTATTCTACAGATAACTGCCTTAAATTTAGATGGACAACATCTTTTTGAAATCACAAATTTAGAAAAATTGGAAAATTTGAAATGGGCATCATTCAGCAATAATAATCTCACTAAAATGGAGGGTCTGGAATCCTGTATTAACTTGGAAGAGCTCACATTAGATGGAAACTGCATCTCAAAGATAGAAGGTAAGGTACTTAAGAACTTTGAAGTCTCAAAATATGGGATGTCTAAACAACAAAGCAAAAAATAACCCTGGGAACAGAGTTTCTGAAGAGGAAGATCTCTAGGAAAGTTCCAAGTTTTTGTGGCAGGGTATTCTAAATACCTGTGTGAGGTAATGCAATTATTAGTTAGCTAGATTGGACCATTCTACAATGTATATATATACTTCAAAACATCATGTTGTACAAGATAAATGGATACAATATTATCTGTCAAATTAAAAAATAAAAGATAAATAAAAAATTAAAACGAGTTCATACCTATTAGTGGAATTCGTGACTATTTTACTTTATATAATGAGCCCGAGCAAGCTTTCACCTCCTGTGCCTTCTCTCCCCTCTCCTCTGTGCTAGTTTATAATCTGTTACCAAACATTAGCACATACCAACTAGTTAGTCATTAATGTCTGTAAAGTTGAGTAAACAAATGAATGAGGTATGCTTTTGAAAAAGATAAAGCAGACTAGTTCTGTTTTGAAAATATAAAATTGAGGTTATATTTGGAAATTTGAATACTTTAACAAGAAATGAAAATTATACTCACTAGAGGTTGAAAATAAAATATACTATATGTAACATTTTCCATGGATCCACATACAAGTCCAATTAAGCAGCTTTAGTAATATCTTAATAATAATGATACCAATATAATATATTTTATTTGACTGTTTAAAGTTCAGTATTAAAACATATTTTTCTGAACCAGAGAGAATAAAAAAGACTTTTCCTCCCTTTCCCCTTCCAAGCTTCTTAGATTCTTCACTTCATTTGGATTTATGCTTATCTACAGCTAAAAATCATGAGTTTAGAGAACATGTCCTAGAATATATACTACTAAGTCAAGTATTTTCTGACTCCTCCCCAGCTTTATTTTATTCTTACCTTCATTAGAAAGAAATTGAAAGAAGCTTTCCATGACTTGCTACCAACTTTCTCTTATTCTCCCTCTCCATCTACTCAAAAGAGTAACTAACTCCTAGAAATTAAAAAATATGTCCACAAGTGTGCACTATTTGATTGAAAAGAGAAATATGTATATGTGTGTATACACACACACACACACACACACACTTATCTGAATAAAGAATATTTCTGTATGTGCATTTTGGTAACATGGTTGTGTTTGTCAAGGAGGGAAGGTAAGAATTAGAAATCACGGCTGGGAAACAGAATTTACATTTTATTCATTTTTGAATTGGATTATTTTTATCATGTGTATATACTGCATTTTTCATAAAATAGAAGATTTGATTTCACAAAATTATATATATAAAAGCAAGTATTAAATATATTTAAGAAAGCATACATAACATTTGTGACATATTTCATTTTAATGGCTGTTAACAATATGTTTCTAAAACTTTCTTGATCATGAGAATCACTTAGGACACTTATTGAAGATACAGATTCACAGGCCTCTCTTCTGTAGATTTCAGTAGAGTAAACCTAGGGGTAGCTCAGGCACCTGTGTCTTGACCTATCACTAGTCTCCCATTCCCATACAACTGGATATTAGTTTTGCTTTGTACATACAATTAAAAACCCTATTTCCTTTTCATTTCCTTCCATAAACCTATTAAACAGAAGAATCTTCCAATCTATATTTTTCTTACACCTATATTTTGGAGAAGATAGCTACCCCTCTAAACTTTAACAGGAATTTCTCCTTTTTCTTCAGACATGGGTAGGTTCCATATCCATTTAATGATTTTTGCTTTGATGGCTTTGATCCTATCTTGCCCTGGATTGATTCACCTTCAACATTGTACAGTCCCACAATAGGAACTGATGTGAAAGGGGAGCACAGATAATTATTTGATACTTTCCAAACATTATTCCATTTAATTTCATAACTCCTTGGAAGTAAATTTTAGTATGCCCGTTTTATGGATGAGGAAATTAAGGCTCAGAGGTTACACAATTTATGTATCGCCACAAACCTAGTAGTGATATATTTGAAGCCAACTAGGATTCCGAAGTTCTTGTCTTTCAACTGCACTGTCCTGGCTATACTTATAAAGTGCTTGCAGTACATAATGTATGCAGGAGTTAGACTGGTTCCATTTTCCAAACTTCCATCTTAGAGTACTTTTAGGCATAAGCAAGTAAAAGTAGGCTAGATTGTTCATTTTAATACAAACGATGCACTTTCCAGAATGTGGTTCCTTACCCTTAATATTTAAAAATGAGGGCTGGTGATTATTTTGAGCTTTGTGTAGAGCTTTTTGTTTTCAAAATGATGAAAATCTTAATTAATTACATCATTTTAAGGTTATTTGAAAGAGAAATTCAATATTTTCATGTAATGCCTTTCCTTAACTCCTAAGAAGAAGGAATCTACTTAGAAATCCAAAATTTGAATTTAATGTTTGAGATGGGGCTTATACACAAGATTATATTCTTCCAAAACAAAGGCTTAAAGCAATGATGGTTAGTATTACAGAATCTTTAAAGCCATTTGAACCTAGCTATCTAATTACAATAAAATGACCAGCCACTTATTTTTTAAATTAAACCTTTAGTGTTATCTGAATCTTTTCTTGAATTTGCTTATTTTTCTAGGTATTTCCAAGATGACTAAATTAACTCGCCTCAGCATAAATAATAATCTTCTCACTGGTTGGGAAGAGCATACCTTTGATAACATGCTTCATCTTCACTCGCTTTCTCTTGAGAACAACAGAATCACTTCATTGAGTGGTTTACAAAAATCTTTTACTCTTGTTGAGTTATACATAAGCAATAACTATATTGCTGTCAATCAGGAGATGCACAATTTAAAGGTAATCATCTGGGTAGTAATTTTTTTGTTTTTTAACATGTATTGTTTCTTTATATTATGAAAGTAATGCATGTTTATTGCACAGAATTTGGAAAATATAAAGAAAATAAAAATAAGAATAACAAGTTTATTAAAATGTATTTGCATTCAATGTTGTATACATACAAAAATATATCTGTGTATACATAATGTCCCCATTTGCTATCCTTCTGGGGTAACTTTTTTTAAATACTCAAGTATGATAAACCAAACCTATTCCTTAGCATTCTCCTGTTCTCAGTACAATTCGTGATGATCTTTCACTGTTCTCTTACCAGTGGCTCAAACTTGGTCGCCTTTGCTCAGATTTGCTTTTGTTAATTCCCCCAAAAAACCACTAATTTAAGGCTGTTGTGTAATAGGATTTACTAAAGGTTTGAACAAAACAGAGGGTTTCTATAGCACAGAACAGGAATTTACTTCAAATGTCATGTGTGACTTCATTGTTTCTAAAGCTCAGTGGCCATTTTCTAACACTATGGGTCTTACACTGGCCTGTCCTTTTGCTGATACAATATTACTAGGACTTTATCTCCTACCAAAAACTTGTGTCCATTTCCTGTCTTTTCTTAGTTCAGACTTCTCCCCATTCCGTTCCCCCAGTATAATTACTACTTCTAGAGCTAGGGAGGCAACCTAATCAACAACACCAGCAACACAATAAGCCATTTCACATTATGATGCACAGTAGTTTTACTCCCTCTTGTTTTCAGTAGTTTTACTCCCTCTTGTTTTCACCTCTCCCCTCCATACCTGCCAAGACCCTTCCTTCACAACAAAGGCATATCAAAGTGTCTTGTCTAATAAAACAGCACATTTCCCTTAGGATGAATTCCACTACCCTCTCAGAAAGTAGAAGCACTTCAGTTTCATCACTTTTCAAATAGCAGTGTCTTTTATTCCTGTTATATCTATATAGACACATACATCCATTTATTAAGCCATTATTCCATAAACAAAGTATATTTGTCTTAAACATAGTGAAGTTCCCTCTAAGCCCTTACCATTAATAGATAATACATTTGGCACTAGTATCCTAAAAGGGATTCTGATTATATAACATAGACCATTGAAATACTGCACAAAATATACCTAAGTGGTCTGAAAGGGTAACCCTTGCACTTAAAAGTGCACTGAGGCTGGGCGTGGTGGCTTATGTCTATAATTTCAGCACTTTGGGAGGCCATGGTGGGAGAATCACTTGAGCCTAGGAGTTTGAGGCTGCAATGAGCTATGATCAGACCACTGCACTCCAGCCTGAGCAACAGCACGAGACCATGTCTTTAAAAAAAAAAAAAAAAAAAAAAGTATACTTAAAGGCACTGAAATCCCATGGAATGATAGATAATTCCAATATTAAAATTTGAGGATGGCTAACCTCTTACTAGAGTGCTTTAAATATACATATAGATGAATATATGTATTTTATTACCTAGGGTTTATGCAACTTGGTCATTCTAGACATGTGTGGGAACATCATTATATGGAATCAAGAAAACTACCGGTTGTTTGTAATATTTCATCTTCCAGAACTGAAAGCTTTGGATGGGATACCAATTGTAAGTTGATTTATGACTCACAACATTTGGTCTAAGCTGCATAGTCACATATTTATAGGACATAGTCATTTTGAACATTGCTTTATCACTAGCATTATAGCCAAATTTACTATACTTATTAAATCTAGGTCTCCAAAGCTTATTTTAGATCTGGGTTTTTTAATTTTGTCATCTGGTCAATTCTTAATTGTCTGAATTGTGGTGGAAAGGGAGGGCTGTGCTGCTTACAATAGAACCCACAGAATTCAGTGCCTAAAAGGTAAAGAACACAATTTTATGGGACAGGATAGAAAATTATGCACTGGGGATTTAGCATCCTCCTAAGCCTAAAAGCAGCTTTCTATTTTCAGTGCAAATATAGTTGCTAATATTAATAATTAAGAAAAATATATTTGAACCAACATGTGGTATGTCAACATTACTAAGTAAGCTGTAAAGAAAAATAGACACAGACCCTAGGACTGAATGTGAAAGCAACATTTGGATACTGGATTCTATAACAAGCAAATTCATAGGGCTCCTGTTTTCCACATAGCAGGGTAAATGCATGACAAATGTGTAAAGAGTAAAAGGTTTATGGTGTAATGTTGCCTAGCTCCTGTCAGAAAAGAAAACACATCAAATTTTCTAGAAAATTGAAAGATAGTTCATGATCATTTAGTATTCTGAGGTACTCCAAGAAGATTACTAATCCTAGCCCTTCTGTTTTCTGGCCCATCCTCAGAATGGGTCACTAAAACTTTCTCACTCCAACACATACAAATTCTCTAGAACCTTGTATACTGTGACTTATTTATTTGTTAGCTTTCACTGAAAAATGTTTTTTAAAATAGTCCTATGAGACCAGTACTGCATTTACTCTAAAGATGTTGTTGAGGATCTTATCTGTCCTATCTCTCTGTGCCTTCATTTGAAGGGCCACATGAAAAAGCACTTATAGAAATAAATGTAGAAAAAACATTTACCGCTAAGGAAAAGTTATGTTCTGCTCACTGACAATGAGTGTATTAGTCTGAACTCTGCTACTAATAAAGACATACCCAAGACTGGGCAATTTATAAAGGAAAGAGGTTTAATGGACTCACAGTTCCACATGGCTGGGGAGGCCTCACAATCATAGTGGAAGACAAAGGAAGCGTAAAGTCATGTCTTACATGGCAGCAGGCAAGAGAGCATGTGCAAAGGAACTCCCCTTTATAAAACCATCAGATCTCATGAGACTTATTCACTATCGCGAGAACAGCGTAAGAAAAACCCATCCCCATGATTCAATTACCTGCCACTGGGTCCCTCCCATGACGTGGGGATTATTACAATTCAAGGTGAGATTTGGGTGTGGACACAGAGCCAAACCATATCATTCCAACCCTGGCCCTTCCCAAATCTCATGTCCTCACATTTCAAAACCAATCATGCCTTCCCAATGGTCCCCCAACTCAGTTCAGCATTAGTTCAAAATTCCACAGTCCAAAGTGTGAGCTGAGACAAGTCAAGTCCCTTCTGCCTATGAGCCTGTAAAATCAAAAGCAAGTTAGTTACTTCCTAGAGACAATGGGGGTACAGGCATTGGGTAAATACACCCATTCCAAATGGGAGAAATGGGCCAAAACAAAGGGGCTACAGGCCGCATGCAAGCCCAAAATCCAGTGAGGCAGCAAAATCTTAAAGCTCTGAAATGATCTCCTTTGACTCCATGTCTCACATCCAGGTCATGCTAATGCAAGAGGCGGGCTCCCACAGCCTTAGGCAGCTCCACTCCTGTGGCTTTGCTGGATACAGCCTCCCTCCTGGCTGCTTTCACAGGCTGGCATTGAGTGTCTGTGGCTTTTCCAGGTGCACGGTGCAAGCTGTGGGTGGATCTACCATTCTGGGGTCTGAAAGACAGTGGTCCCCCCCTCACAGCTCCAATAGGCAGTGCCCCAGTGGGGACTCTGTGTGGGGGCTCCAACCCCACATTTCTTTTTGGCACTGCCCTAGCAGAGGGCAGCAGGCTTCTGCCTGGACATCTAGGCGTTTCCATACACCCACTGAAATCTAGGTGGAGGTTCCCAAACCTCAATTCTTGACTTCTGTGTACCCACAGGACCAACACCATGTCAAAGCTGCCAAGTCTTGGGGCTTGCACCCTCTGAAGCCACAGCTTGAGCTATACATTGGCCCCTTTTAGCCATGACTGGAGTGACTGGGACACAGGGTACCAAGTCCCTAGGCTGCATAAAGTATGGGGGCCCTGGACCACTCCAGGAAACCGTTTTTCCCTCCTAGGCCTCCAGGCCTGTGATGGGAGTGGCTGCTGTGAAGGTCTCTGACATGCCCTGGAGACGTTTTCCCCATTCTCTTGGCGATTTGCATTTGGCACCTCGTTACTTATGCAAATTTCTGCAGCCAGCTTGAATTTCTTCCCAGAAAATGGGTTTTTCTTTTCTACTGCATCATCAGGCTGCAAATTTTTCAGACTTTTTTGCTTTGCTTCCTCTTGAACACTTTGCCACTTACAAATTTTTCACCAGATACCCTAAATCATCTCTCTCAAGTTCAAAGTTTCATAGATCTCTAGGGCAGGGGAAAATGCCACCAATCTCTTTGCATAGCAAGAGTGATCTTTACTCCAGTTCCCAACA
This sequence comes from Homo sapiens, assembly GCF_000001405.40. Lineage (NCBI taxonomy): Eukaryota > Metazoa > Chordata > Mammalia > Primates > Hominidae > Homo > Homo sapiens. Next base: position 60,010,836 of record NC_000014.9, read on the forward strand.
AGTTCCTTGTCTCCATCTGAGACCACCTCAGCCTGGACCTTATTGTCTATATCACTATCAGCATTTTGGTCAAAGCCATTCAACAAGTCTCTAGGAAGTTACAAACTTTCCCATTTTTCCTATTTTCTTCTAAGCCCTCCAAACTGTTCCAACCTCTGCCTGTTACCCAGTTCCAAAGTCACTTCCACATTTTTGGGTATCTTTACAGCAGCACATTACTCTACCAATACCAATTTACTGCATTAGTCTGTTCTCATGCTGCCAATAAAGACATACATGAGACTGTGTAATTTATAAAGGAAAGAAGTTTAATGGACTCACAGTTCCACATGGCTGGGGAGGCCTCACAATCATGGCAGATGAAGGAAGAGCAAAAGCAGGTCTTACATGGTGGCAGGCAAGACAGCATGTGCACGGGAACTCCCCTTTATAAAACCATCAGATCTCATGAGACTTATTCACTATCACAAGAACAGCACAGGAAAAACCCACCCCCATGATTCACTTACCTCCCACTGGGTCCCTCCCACAACACAAGTGGATTATTACAATTCAAGATGAGACTTTGGTGGGGACACAGAGCCAATCCATATCAATGAGTATTATTTAATTATATTCCTTTTCACTTTGCCTAAAAGCTCAGGACCAAATTTATGATTCAATAATATAAACCCTATAGGATCTTACAGTCTTTTTGTCACTAATCCTAGTGAGCGTGATTTTCACTATGTATGGTTTGCATTTTACTATTTGATTATATGTGTTTCCTGTAAGCTGCCACAAATTATTTGTGGAATAAGGCAGAATATAAATGTATGAATTAATAATTGGACATGAAGACTAGACTGAAGAATTTAGATTTTAAATGCAAGGTAATGGGAATGCATTGGATTTGAAGGGCAAAGGAAAGGAAGAATAAAGGATTTCTACAAGGCTTGAGTCTATGCCAATAAAAGACACCATAACAGAATATGAATATAGGAAGAAAAGCAATTTGGGGGTGTAAGATGATTAGTATTAGACATTAGTTTTATATGACAGAAGATCATCTGACTGGAGATGTCAAGCAGGCAGCTGAAATCACAGGATTAAATATGCATATGAAAATTTACTTTACATATGTTTGGACTTGGAAGTAATTTGAAGAGAGTTAACAGTTAAGACCAAAAGCATATGCAATATTGTCTAAGGAAAGAGAGTAGAGAAAGTAAAGAAATCAAAGTGAGGCTCTAATACTTTCATTTATTAAACATATGTAGAAAAAGAAGTCATGAAAAGTGGGTGCAGAGGTAGGTAGTACAGTAATATATAATGCTAGAGTGTCTGAGATATAAATAAACTTTGGAAATGGCATAGTTCAAATCCTTTATTTTATGTATGAACACAAGGAACTCTAGAGAAGTTACATGACTTCTTTCAAGTTATGTGACTCTTTAATGGTAAATCATGGGCACCTGAGCCTCATTCTCTGTCCAACACTCTCTAGACATATAATTACATTGTCTTCTTTGGAGTGGGAGTAGAAACCAAGGGAGGGCATAGACTAGGAAGACCCAAAGAACAATTTGGGTAGTTGTGTTTTCATTTTATCTTTTGTTCCTATGTACTTTTATTTGTAAAAGATTATTTTTTGCATTAAGGATACATATTCTCAATTTAGATATGAAGTTTTAACAGATTAGAAAAAAAGAAGGGAGTTTGAGTAAAAGTAGATCAAATGACTTACCAGTTTAATTTAGATCAAGTTCAAACCATTTGTCTGAAATAGATTGTCAAACAATAGCCATTGGGCCAAATGTGACCTGCCACCTATTTTAGTAAATAAAACTTTATTGGAACACATCCATGCCTGTTTGTTTATATATAATCTGTGACTGCTTTCACACTGCAGTGGCAAAATTAAATAGCAACAGAGAAGCTATTGTTCCCAAAGGCTAAAATACTGACTGACTCTTTACAGGAAAACTGTAGAAAACATTTGTCAGCCCCTGATTTAGGAGGACATTAATCATATGTTGCTTGTATAATTATGAAAAACACAAAAGCAATGGTATTTCTAAGGCTTAATATGTTTTTATTTTTTATTTATTTTTTGTACAATTTTATTTATTTATTTATTTTTTTAATTTTATTATTATTATACTTTAAGTTTTAGGGTACATGTGCACAATGTGCAGGTTCGTTACATATGTATACATGTGCCATGTTGGTATGCTGCACCCATTAACTCGTCATTTAGCATTAGGTATATCTCCTAATGCTATCCCTCCCCCCTCCCCCAAGGCTTAATATGTTTTTAAAACTTATTTTGAGATTTTATTATTGAGGATTCAACAAGAGAAGCAGAACTAGTAAGATAGATATACATATAGAGATATCTATGTCTATATATAGAAATATAGATATCAAGGAATATTTAATAATTGAGGGGACTGCCTAAACAAGTCTGACATCCATAGGACAGGCCATCAGGAAGGGAAGATTATGGACAGGCTGGGACTCACAGGGATAGATGAAAGCTGCTGTCCATGAGTAGATTTTCTTCAGGAAAATTCTTTATTTCAGGAAACTTACCTCTGCTTTTAAAGCCTTGCAATTGTTTGAATCAGGCCCATCCAGATTATTCAAGATTATCTCCTTATTGCAAGTCAACTTGCTAGGAGCTTTAATTATGTCTACAAAATTCTTTCACAGCAATACCTACATCATTGGCTAAAATAACTGGGGACTCTAGCTTCAAATATTTTGCAGCTCTGTTGTTGGTGCATACACGTTTAGGACTGTTATGTCTTCTTGGTGGACTGACCGTTTTATCAGTAGGTAATGTTCTGTCTGACTCTGGTAATTTCCTTTGCTTCAAAGTTTACTTTATCTGAGATTAATGAAGCCACTCCTGCTTTCTCTTGATTAATGTTTAGGATATCTTTTTCCATTCTTTTACTTTCAACCTGCATATATTATTATATTCGAAGTGAGTTTCTTGTTGACAACATACAGTTGGATCATGTTCTTTTACCTTTTAGCTAATTTTTATCTTTTAATTGATGAACGAAGACCATTTATATTTACTATAGCCAACTGACCTGTTAGGGCTTATGTCTGCCATTTTGTTTTCTTGTTTTATATTTGTTTCCTTTGTTTATCTTTCTTCTGTTTTCTTTTTTGTGCCTTCCTGTGAGCTTCCTGAACACATTTTGAAATTCTATTTTTATTTATCCATAGTGTTTTTTAGTGTATCTCTTCATATAGTTTTTTTTAGTGGTTGTTCTATTACAATGCATATACATAACTTACTATAGTCTGTTAGTGTTGACATTTTACCAGTTTGAGTAAAGTGTAGAAATGTTACTTTCCTTCCAGTCTATTTCTTCTCTCCTGTTAATATTTGACTTAAATATTTTCACCATATACATTGAGAACCAATGAGACAATATTATAGTTTTTTCACATCAACTAATCAAAGATAATTTAGAAAAATCAAGAAAAGAAGGGAAGTTTATTAATACTCTTTCCATTGTGCTTTCCTCTTTCCTGGCATTCCAAGATTCCTTTTTTTTTTCTTTCCATTTCAAAAACTTTCTTTAGTCATTTCTTAGGGTAGTTCTGCTGGTAACAGTTTGCTTAGTTTTCCTTCCTATGAGAATGTCTTGCTTTCTCTTTTTATTTCTGAATGATATTTTCTCTGGATATAGAATTCTGGGTTGATGTTTCTCTTTCACCACTTGAAAATGTCGTGCCACATTCCCTGGTTTCCATAGTTTCTGATTAGAAATCTGCTGTCACTTACATTGTTTTTCCTTTATAGGTAAGATTTAATTCCTCTGTCACTGTTTTCATGCCTTTTTTCTCTGTCATTAGTTTTTAGAAATTTGATTCTGATTATTATTATGTGTCCTTGCATGGATTTGGGTTTTTTTTCCTGTCTGAGGTTTGCTTAGCTTCTTACTTAGTTTCTTAGTTTATGTCTTTTGCCAGATTTGGAAGATTTTTGGTTATAACTTCTTCAAATACTTTTTCAGCCCCACATTATTTCTCTTCTTTTTCTATGAATCCAGTGATACTAATATTAAATCTTTTTTATGGTTCCACAAATACAGGATATGCCCATCTTGGTAAAGTGAGGCTCATTTATTTATGGGTCTATTTTCTCTCTTTTGTTCATACTGGGTAATGTCTATTGTTCTGTCTTCAAGTTCAGTTATTCTTTTCTCTTTTCTTTCCACTCTGCTATTGAGTCCCTATCCATTGCATTTATTTGTTTACAGTATTTTTCAATTCTAAAATTTTCATTTCATTCTTCATATCTTCTATTGCTTTGCTATCACTTATTTCTTTGCTAAGGGTTTCTGTTTTTTTCATTTGTTTCAAGTATGTCCATAATTGCTTGTTGAGCATTTTTCCTTTGACTGCTTTGAAATGCAATTAAAAAATATTTGTGTCATTTCAAAGTTGGCATCCGTTGATCGTCTTTTCACATTCAAGTTGAGATGTTCTTGGTTCTTGGCATAACATACTTTTTATTTTATTCTGGACATTTGGGGTATTATGTGGGTCTTATTTAAATCTATTTTAGCAAGCCTCCCTTGGCACTATACCAGTGAGAAGACGAGGAACAACTTTGTTGCTGTCAGGTGGGAGATAGAAGTTCAAATTCCTCCATTTGGCTTCTGTTGACAACCTGGAGGTGTGTTCTTCATTAACTGCTAGGCTAGAGTTGGAGTTCATGCTCCCCACCAGGCCTCCATTGATTTACTCTGGCTGGGAAGGAAGGAACTCCTTGTTACTATTACCCAGAACCCTTCACTGATTCATCCTGGCTGGGAGAGACAAGAATACCTAATTGATGCTCCACAGATAACTCATTATTACTGGGTGGAAGTGGGAATCCAAACTCCCCATGTTATCTACAATAACACTTGCATGCAGGGAGTGGGGACATGTGTTACTGCTGAGGAGGGATGAAATACAGGTTCCCACTCAGCAGGTGGATGATGAAGAAGTGCCTTGTTACAGATGAGCACTGGTGAAAGTCTAAGCAGCCCATTCTGCTTTTACTTGTGGGCATGAAGTTGGGGGCCACAGTTTATTCTGTAGGATTTAGCAGGAGTAGGCTTGTTATCGTCTAAAGTTTTCTGCTGTGCTAGGCTTCCCCTTTCCCGATCCTTTGATTAGAGAGAGCAGGCTTTTTGTGGACTTTGTCTTGTTATTTCCTTACTGTCATTTCTGGGTTTCTAGCTTCTCTAACACCCAGTAGAGATTATGAGGCAAAAAGAAAATCCAGGGTGTCATTCCTCAGGTCCTGAGGTACCTACCTGGTCTGCCTTCTTCTCCACATCTTTCAGTATTCTTATGTTTGGTTTTAATTTCTTTAATTAAAAAAAATTTTTAGAGACAGGATCTCACTCTGTCACCCAGACTGGAATCCAGTGGCATGATCATAGCTCACTGCAGCCTCTGAACTGTGCTCAAGACATCCTCTGGCCTCAGCCTCCCACATAGCTACAACTAGAGGCATGTGCCACTGTGCTTGACTAATTCTTTTTTGTTTTTTGTAGAGACAGGGTCTCACTTTGTTGCCCAGCCTCATCTTGAACTCCTGGACTCAAGCAATCCTCCCACCTTGGCCTCCCAGTGTGCTGGGATTATAGGCATTAGCCACCTTGCCCTGCCTATGTTTGTTTCATATATAATGCACAGGATTTAGCTCTACTTAGTAGGAGGAATCTGGAAAAATGAGTCCACTGAATTTTTACCTAAAACCAGAGAACTATGTAATTTAGTCATCTGTAAGACAGGACATCATTTTCTAAATATCTTCATATAGGAACCATCAGAGACTGACAGTGCAAAAGATTTGTTTGGTGGTAGACTTACTTCTGACATGATTGCAGAACGACAAGGACATTCCAACTTCAAACAAATGCAAGAACTAAATTGGACTTCATCATCTATTAGGTACAATCATTTTATTATATGCCTTTTTACATTATAATTACATTATGTAATTATTATCATTTTTCTGAAGCTTACATTTATACAACTTACCTAAATATAATCAATAATTCATAAAATTATCTACTGTACTGAAAAGATTCATGCTAAGTAATGAGCATTTTTTGAGATGGGGTCTCAAAAAATGGCTCACTGCAGCTTCAACCTTGCAGGCTCAATCGATCCTCCGACTATAGGCACGCACCACCAAGCATGGCTAATTTTCTTTGTATTTTTTGTGGAGACAGCATTTATGCCATGTTGCCAGGCTGGTCTCCAATCATGGGCTCAAGTGGTTCACCTGCCTCAGTCTCCCAAAGTGTTGGGATTTCAGGTGTGAGCCACTGTGCCCAGCCTAAAATTAAAAATTCCTTTGTATGGCATAAAAGACTCTTTATTATCTGTCCATTATTATCTCTTGTAGTCCTTTTCTTTACTGCCCATGATACTTCATACTTCAGAAATTCTGAAATATTCTAGTTACTGAATCTCAATCATAAGATGTTCTTTCATATTTGTTTCTCCCTTTGTTTTTCCTGTTGCACTGCCTAGAACTCTTTTCTGCTAATTTGCTCGACAAATACCTATAACTCCTCCAAATATCATCTCAAGATGTTTCTCCTCCATGCTGTCATCCTTGACTTTTTAAAATAGATTTTATTTCCCTGAAATGCCATTACATTGGTATGATAGAGATGCTAACTCTATCACAGCAATTCTCCTCTTTATTTTTATTTTTCTGGCTCCCACTTCTTGGGGGCTGAAACATTTCTTTCATCTTTCTTGTAGCCTTTCCAAACACATCCGCTGCACTTAGGAAATACTAATGGAAATATGTTGACTGAATGAATGACTTATTAGTGGGTAAAAGTATGTCATAATTGTAACTTCAAGTTTAGGATTTATTTAGAGAACTGGTTAGGGAAAGGGATGTAGTTTTATGCTCTTCTCTGTCATGGCTCAAATGAAGATATAGCTATAGACTGGGAATCAAGCATTCTGTTTAATTACCAAAATGTTCACACAGGGTGGAATGCCATAAAAGTTTCCAGAAGATACCACAGAAACTCTATTTTCAAAGACCTTACCTGCTTTTCCTTTCCTTTCCTATCCCTAACCACTTCCTGGTATTTCAGAAATGACCTACTTCAATATATATCATCTGAAGTTTATAACCTGAAAAGCTTATGATTTACAATATCAACTTCACTATGATTTCATAAACATATATGTGAATTTATAAAGAAAGTGGAAATGTCTCTTTTATAAGTTTCTTCTATAATAGTGCTATGTTTATATGGTAATAGATGTGTTTTTTTTGAAAGCAACCAAATTCTATGTCACTTTCTTGCATATGTACCCAACAAAAATGTATATTCAGCCGATCATTTAACCAATTCATTTTACATTAAAGTAATTATTTTTATACTTGTCAGGTGAGACTTTTTAAATGTCTTTGGTGGCTGTATGTGAAGGAACTCACCTTTTCCTATATTTTCCTGTCCTATTAAAATAATAGCTGTATTTACTTTGTCTAAATTCAGAACAGTGGATTTGATTCCAGTCGACCAATTTAGAAATGTGTGTAATGTGAATCTACAGAACAATCATCTTACCTCATTCAGTGGATTAATCTATCTACCTAATGTGAAGGTAAGTCATTCACAAATTTTTCTTTCTTTCAAGGTTTCCAATGCAAATTATTCTTTGCTTTGGATTAAATGGTATTTCCATGTTATTAAAGTAGATAAATTATTCCTAAATTTTCTTTGGGTTTTTTTTTGTTTTTTACTAAGCAAGAAAAAACTATTACCTTCCAAAGTGATTTTGGTTTGACCTCAGTTTTATGTGATTGTCACATATTTAGTAAATTTTCCTCTGTAGTCAGAGATGGGATTGAAGGCAGATATGGAAAGAAGCTTCAAGGTTCTTTAAACGGCCTTATTGCCTCCGTTATTATTTACTTGACTCAGGCATCTACTAAGGCCTTTTAAACATAGGTAAATAGCTGTCTTTTCGACTAAAAATTATTTCATCCTTGTCAGGTTTGGAGAAATCAGGAGAACAGATTGAGAAAGTTGAGGAGTTTTCTAGGGTCTCCATGTGAAGTACTGTAATTTCCCAGAATGTCAGATTAAAAACACATTGAAAACTAAATCTAGATTATTTAGGATATAAACATTTGTTGTTTTAGCACTAATATATTATTAAATTATGTGGTATATTCCAAGTTTTATCCATACAATTTTTAATAATTTCTAGGATTTCTGATTAATAAGATATTCTTTCTGTAGGTCTTATGCCTTAACTATAATCATATTGAATCAATCATGCCCAGACTAAAGCCTCAGACTCACTTAACCAGTAGACAACTACTGTACCAGAAAGTGCCTTCAAGTGGCTATGGACAGCAAGGAATTTCAAAAACAAACAGGTAGTATTCTTTATTTTTATGATTATAACTAATTTTGGCTGGGAATTTTAAAAGCAGTTAATCACATTAATGATAGCAGTAACACATTCCAGTACATAAAATTTAGCTTATTGTAATACCTATTTTATTTAATAGCTACATGCCAAAAATAAACTTCATAATAAAAAGGTACTCAAAATATTTCTCTCATTGTTTATTCTCTGCCTTCTCCATTTCAAACCTATATTGTGAATAAAGGGAAAAAACCAAAAAACAAACAAACAAAAGGCCTTGTACTGCATGTTTAATGACCTTGGGTTTCTTTTTTAAAAATTGAGGTACAATTCACATACCATAAAACTCACCCTGTATGTACAATTTAGCAATTTTTAGTTTCTTCATCATAAACATTTTTATCAACTCACAAAGGAACCCTATACACAGTAGCATGGACGTGGGCTTTTTTTTCAGCATTTGTTTTGCTTTTATTTCTAAATTATTTATCTGGTCACTTAATGACTCAGCACCAATGGAATAGATACTTTATGCAAAAAATGACAACAAACCTTCTACCTCCTTACACATTTTTGACAGAACATATATATACATCATATATAATACATATCATATATATGATATATATATTTTATAACGTGTATCTCCAAATCAGAATGCTTTCATTCCAGTTTTCCCAATAAAGAACATTCCTTGTGCTTTTTATTACCTCTATCGAAGTATAATTTCCTTGCAACAAAATTCACCAATGTAAGTGTAAAGTTTAATGAATTTTGACAAATGTATTCAATCATAAAACCTCTACCACAATCAAAATACAAAGTATTCCCATTCCAGAAACTTCCTTTGTAATCTCTCCCCCGACACCCTGGCACCTGGCAACAACCACTGATCTGCTCTCTCGCTATAATTTTGCCTTTTTCCAGAATTTCATATAATTGGAATTATGTAGTAAGTAGTTTTTGTGCCTGGCTCCTTTTACTTAGCATAATGCTTTTGAGAGTCATTCATTTTGTTCCAAGTGTCAGTAATTTATTTCATTTTATTGCCGAATAGTATTCTATTATATGTATTATATGACAAGTTATTTATGCATTTATCATTGATGAACATTTTGGTTGTTCCTAATTTTAGGCTATTACGATTAAAGCTACTATGAACATTTCATTTATATACATACTTTTTTGGATCCTATTCATATTTGATTTTTCTAATAGTTTTATTGAAGTGGCAGTTAATGTATCATGTTTACTTATATTAAGTGTATAATTCAATAATTTTACTAAATTTATAGAGTTGTATAATCATGACTGCAATACAATTTTATAACATTTTCCATCTCACCAAAAAGATCCTTCATGTCCATTTACAGTCAACTTCCTTTCCCACCTCTAGTCCCAAACAACCTCTAATCTGTTTTCTAGAATTGTATTTTCTAGACATTGCATATAAATGGAACTATAAAATAGACGGTCTTTTGCCTCTGGCTTCTTACACTCAGCATGATGTTTTCAAGGTTCATTCACATTATGGCATGTGTTAGTAGTTCCCTCCTTTTTATTGCTGAATATATTGGCCATTTCACTGTATGGATATGACTGTATGGATATGTTACATAATGTTTATTCATCAGTTGATGGAAATTTGGATTGTTTCTATTTTTTGGCTGGTTTGACTAACACTGCTTTAAACATTTGTGTACAAATATTTGCATGCACTCATATTTTCATTATGTTTATTTTGGGTAGATACCTATGAGTGGAATGGTTGGGTCATACAGTAACTTAACATTTAGCTATTTAAGAAACCGCTAAACTGTTTTCCAAAATGGTTGCACCATTTTTCATTATCACCAGTAGCATGTGAAGATTTTAATTCCTGCACATCTTTGCCAATGCTTGTTATTGCCCATCTTTTATAGTATAGCCATTCTAATACATTTGAAGTGGTATCTCATTGTGGTTTTAATTTGCATTTTCCTAATGACGAATAGTGTTGAGCAGTGTTTCATATGCTTATTAATCCTTCATATATCTTCTTTGGTAAAATCTCTATTCGAATCTGAAACCTAATAAACCTAATTGTTTAATTAGGTTGCTTGGCTTTTCATTATTAAGTGTCTTTATACTGGGGGTAAGCCCTTTATTAAAAAATGATTTACAGATATTGTCTCTCAATCTGTGGCCTCTCTTTTCATTTTCTTAAATGATGTCTTTGAAGAAATTTTAATTTTGATAAAGTCTAATTTACCATCTTTTCTCTTACAGATTGCAATTTAGGTGTTATATGTAATAATTCTTTGCCTAACCTAAGGTCACAAAGATGTTCTCTTGTTTTCTTTAAAAAGTTTTATGTTTTCACTCTTACATCGAGTCCTATGGTCTATTTTGAGTTAATGTTTGTGTATGTTGTGAGGTAGGAGTGAGGTCTAAATCTATTTTTGTATGTGGATATTCAGTTGTCTGAGCACCATTTCCTTAGAACACTCTCCTTTCCTCTATTGAATTGTTTTGGCACCTTTGCTAAAAATCAGTTAAGCATAAATGTAAGAGTTTATTTATGTACTCAGTTCTGTTCCATTGATCTGTATGTCTGTCCTTTTGTGCCAGTACTAGACTGGTTTGATTACTGTGGTTTTATAAAAAATTTTAAAATCAGTGATTTAAGCTCTCCAACTTTGTTCTTTTAAAAGATTGTTTTGAATATTCTAGATTCTTTGCATTTCTTTATAAATTTTAGGATAAGATGTTTATTCGCAGTGAGTGGGGGGGATGTCTTCTGGGCTTTTGATAGAGATTGTATTAAATGAATCTATTGATCAATTTGGGAGAATTGCCATTTTAGTAATATGGAATCTTCTAATCCATACACATAGAATATTTCTCTATTTATTTAGATCTTTGTTAATTTCTCTCAGTAATGTTTTGTAGTTCTCTGTGTACAGATTTTCCACTTTTTATTAAATTTATGCTGAAGTATTTTATTCTTTTTTATACTTTGTGAAAAGAATTTTTGCTTAATTTCATTTTCAGATTATTTATTGCTGGTAGGTAGAAAATTCAGTTGATTTTTGTACATTAATCTTTTATCCTGTGACCTTGCTAAACTCCTTTATTGCTTCAAGTAGTTTTTTGGTGGATCTTTTAGGATTTTCTAAATACAGGATCATGTCATCTGAAAATAAAGACAGTTTTATTTACTCCTTTCCAATCTGGATGCATTTTTTTCTTGCCTGATTGCATTTTCTAATGCTTTTCATTGTAACACCTTATGTACTTCTTTATTCTAGACCATTCTTTTTAAAGAATAAGTATTATTATATAAAATATAAACAGACTGTATTAAGCTTAATTCTGATATATTAATAAATTTATATTTTCTTAACTTCAGTTTATAGTAAACACATACTGAACTGTCTTTTTATAATATAGCTGGTTTGAAGTTAAGTTTATGGCCTCAAACTTACCTATGTGTTTCAGAGATATAATGAGCAGTGAAAATTTGCCTCCAATAATGCACAGTTTAGAAGTTCTTCATTTGGGCTACAATGGAATTTGTAATTTGATCCAGCTACAACTTAACAGACTAAGAAATTTAAAATTCCTCTTTCTACAGGGTGAGTAGAAACACTGTTACTGTATAAGTCTTTATTTTTAAAAACTGATTTTATCATCATTCTGTTTTGATAAGCAAATATAAGCATCAGTATTTACTCAAACATTCATAGACAAAAATATTTTAATAATCACAAATTGATTTTTCTTGGTTACTTACATTTTTTAGAAACCATTTTTAAAGGTCAATGCAGTATTCTGAGAATATATATAGTATTACATCATAATTTACTTGTATATCGTATTCAACTTAAAAAACAATAAAAAAAACAGTGGATAATTCACAAGTATTTATTAAACCCAGAATTGTGGTAAGTACTATGAAAGATATGGAAGTACTATGTTATTATAATTATGTATCATTGAAATCCTTGATCTAAGTAGCTTAAGATCTATCTGTGGAGATGTACTGGGCCAAAGATGAAGTTCAGACTATGTATTACTAACTTAAGTGCAATAGAAGTTCAGAGAGAAGAGAAATTAAAAGATTAGCTCGTCGGCATGTATAGAACTCTTTAAAGGAGTGATAGAATCTAGATTGAAGGTGAGCATTACTGAGTGCTTTGCAAGCAGGGGGAGGAGGAAAAGAGTCACAGGACATGACTGTGGTGTCTATGGGCCAAGACTTGAAAAGGGAACAACCTGATGAGAACAAAGAATATGCACTTTTCTAAGAGTTATAAATCCTCTAAACATGATTAATTTGATAAATAATCCTCATTTCAATATATGAGATCATTTTATTTAGTTTTTGTTTAAATAAGCCTCATTACTTTACAGTAATTTTTTTATTATACTTCAAGTTCTGGGATACATGTGCAGAATGTGCAGGTTTGTTACATAGGTATACATGTGCCATGGTGGTTTGCTGCACCCAACAACCCATCATCTACATTAGGTATTTCTCCTAATGCTTTCCCTTCCCTTGTCCCCCTACTCCCTGACAGGCCCCAGTGTGTGATGTTCCCCTCCCTGTGTCCATGTGCTCTCACTGTTCAACTCCCACTTATGAGTGAGAACATGCAGTGTTTGGTTTTCTGTTCCTGTGTTAGTTTGCTGAGAATGATGGTTTCCAGCTCATCCATGTCGCCACAAAGGACATGAACTCATTCTTTTTTATGGCTGCATAGTATTCCATGGTGTATATGTGCCACATTTTCTTTATCCAGTCTAACATGGATGGGCATTTAGGTTGGTTCCAAGTCTTTGCTATTGTGAATAGTGCTGCAATAAACATATGTGTGCATGTGTCTCTATAGCAGAATGATTTATAATCCTTTGGGTATATACCCAGTAATGGGGTTGCTGGGTCAAACGGTATTTCTGGTTCTAGATCCTTGAGGAATTGCCACACTGTCTTCCACAATGTTTGAACTAATTTACACTCCCACCAACAATTAGTAATTTTTAAATTTTGTGGAATAGTGAAAAATTGAGGTTGAAAATATAGAGCCAGGACCAAAGTAGGGAAAGCCAAGCAGAGAAATTTGTACAGGATGTAGTCAACAATAGATAGGAGCTTGAAACTTTTAGAGAAGTAGCGTGAGAAAAACACAGGGCTTGGGACATTAGTCTAACAATAATTTTTAATGGCATAGGAGAAAGGCAGGTATATCCATCAGTGGGACATGTGGGGAGACATCGAGGTAGTTGATCTGAGTATGGTAACTTCTCAAAGACAGGCCTTTCTAGACCATATTTTTAAAAATTTGAATGCATCTATCAAAAGCACTTGTGATTTGGATCAAGAACCTGGAGACCTGGCCTTAAAAACAAGAAATTCAGCACAATGACAGATCTTTTTTTAAAAAAATAATTATTTTAGATTCAAGGGGTACATGTGTATGTTTGTTAACATGGTATTATGTACTAGTGGGAATTGGGCTGCTAGTGTACCCATTGCCCAAATAATGAATATAGTATCCAATAGGTAATTTTTCAACCCTCACCCCCCTCCCATTCTCCCCCTTTTTGCGGTGTACTTATTGTTGGAGCGTACTTACTGTGTACTTATTGCTTAGCTCCCACGTGTAGGTAAGAACATGCAGTATTTGATTTTCTGTTTCTGAGTTAGCTCACTGAGGATAATGGCCTCCAGCTCCATCCAGGCTGTGGTAGAGGGCATGATTTCATTCTTTTTTATGGCTGTGACAGATTGATTTTTGTTTTTGTGTTTTTTTCGGTTGGTTTTTTGTTTTTGGTTTTTTTTTTATTTTTTATTTTATTATTTATTATTTTTTGAGAAAGGGTCTCTCTGTATCACCCAGGCTGGAGTGCATTGGCACAATCATAGCTCACTGCAGCCTCAACCTCCGGAGCCCAAGTAATCCTCCCACCTCAGCTTCCTGAGTAGCTGGGACTATAGGCTTGTGCCACCATGCCTGGCTAATTTTTTAATTTTTCTATCTTTTTTTTTTGATAAGGGGTCTCAATTTGTTACCCAGGCTGGTCTCAGACTCCTGGCCTTAAGAGATCCTTTCACCTCAGCCTCCCAAAATGGTGGGATTACAGGCGTGAGCCACCACTCCCTGCCCAGATATTTTAAAAGATACACTGACATACAAAAAAGCAGACCACCTAACCCTGTAAGGTCTATTTCAATCTAATAATGTAATGGAGGAGTATGTTCTGATGCCATGGCGAGCATGGCAAATTAGAGTAGGGCAGCCTTATTCAGGAAGTGAGGCAGTTTACTCTGACAATAACAGCTGCCATTTATGGAGTCACTAGGCAAGGTGTTTGTCTACATAGATTGTCATATTTAATCTTCACAGCAACTCTACATGGTAAGGATTGTTACATATATTTTACAAAAAAAAAAAAAAAGAAAGTGACATTCAGTGTGGTTTAATAATTTGCCAAGTTTGCACCAGTGTGTGTTATGGTACAAAGTCAAACCTAGATCTATCTACCTCCAAAGCACATGCAGTTTCTATCCAGCTTGAATGGTATAATAAGGGCATAGACTAGAGTGCTGGCAGTGGGAGTGGTAAGAGGTGAATCCAAAAGGCAGTTTAAAAGGAATAAATATTAGGACTTAGTGGCTAATTAGATGTAAAATAAAGAGAAAAACTGTCCCAGATGTTTTTATAATTTCATTGGGAGATTGGGCAAGAGGAGGTACTAAAGCTAAAGTCATTGGGAAATGTTGCTCATTTGGGAGTAGAGAAAGATCAGCTTGTGTTATAACAATTTTGATGCACTAAAAATAGAAACTTTTTCTAGCAATAGTACTGGACCACAAGTCAGGACTAGAGATACATTATTTTAGAATGATCACAATGGAAGTGACAGGAGAAGTCAAAAATGTATGTGCTTACTTAAAAGTAAGCACACAGAAAGATGAATGAAAGGCTGAGAAGAGCTTTGAAGACATTCTACCCCTTTCTCTATATCCTTGTCAGCATTTATGATTGCCTGTCTTTTGGATAAAAGCCATTTTTACTGGGGTGAGATGATATCTCATTTGTATTTCCCTTATGATTAGTAATGCTGAGCATTTTTCCATATACCTGTTGACCATTTGTATTTCTTCTTTTGAGAAATGTCTATGCAGACCTTTTTCCTGTTGAGTTGTTTGGGCTCCTTATATATTCTGGTTATTAATCCCTTGTCATATGGGTAGTTTACAAATACTTTCTCCCATTCTGTAAGCTATCTCTTCACTTCGTTGATTGTTTCCTTTGCTGTTCAGGAGCTTTTTAGCTTGATGCAGTCCCATTTGTCCATTTTTGCTTTGGTTGCCTGTGCTTTTGAGGTATTACACAAGAAATCTTTGTCAAGTCCATTTTGATTTTATTTTTGTATATGATGAGAGATAGGGGTCAAGTTTCATTTCTTCTGCATATGGATATCCAGTTTTCCACCCACCATTTATTGAAGAGACTGTCTTTTCCCCAATGTGTGTTCTTAGCACCTTTGTTAAAAATGAGTTGACTGTAAATGTGTGGATTTATTTCTGAGTTCTCTATTCTGTTCCCTTGGTCTATGTGTCTGTCTTTATGCCAGTTCTTAAGAGGACACTAGCCATATTAAATTAATGCTCATCCCAATGACCTCATTTAACCTTAATTATCTTTTTAAAGACACTTTCTCCAAATACAGTCACATTTTGAGGTACTGGAGGTTAGGATTTTCACATATGAATTGGAGGGGGACACAATTCAGCACATAATAATCAAGGAGAATGAATATTGACTGAAATGTAGTATGGCATACTAGAAAGATAATTGAGCTTAAAATGTAAAAGGTCTAAGTTAGGCCTGATACTGCCATTTTTATGTCTTTGAGAAAGCCACTTAATTTCTCTGACCCTCAATTTTCTGATTAGAAAAAAGAGATAAAATATTTCCCCTGTAGTATTTTGAGACTCTAATAGAAAATACTGTACATATAAAAGCATTTTGTAAATTGGAGAGTCTTCATATAAGTTATCATTAATATTTATATAGCTATTGATAGCTACAATAGAGAGAAATCATAGGTTTATAAATAAGGTTTAGAGTTTTGAAGAATTAAATGAACTTTGATGTGTTTAATATGATTGCAGTGCAAAAATATGAGAAAGAACAGCATAATTAATGTGTATTCTTCTAACATAATACAACAAATTAGTCTATTTTAAGAAATAATTAAATATACTATTGTAATATCTATTAGAGTACTAATATACTCAGGAAGCGTATCTTCTGCAGCAGTCTTCTATATCTACTTTTGTCAATACCGACTATTTTAACACTTAATTACCAAACAGACATATTAGATCAATTCAGTACATTCTGTACATCACATCCTGATCTTTCAAATTCACAAATGAGAAATTTTAGCAAATATTATTTTATGATGATGCTACCTTCCTGTAAATTACATTTCAATTTCTCTTTGGAAATAAGTTTCTTGAATCCTTTACTTCTTTTGACAAATCATCTGATTAAAAAATATTTAAATGTAAGTAGATATCCTTTACTTCAGGAAGTTTGGGCTCACTTGATATATCATGACTTATCTCTTTTTAGGTAATGAAATCAGCCAAGTTGAAGGGCTTGACAACTTAGTAGTCCTTCAAGAATTGGTAGTGGACCATAACCGCATCCGATCATTTAATGACAGTGCTTTTGCCAAACCAAGTTCTTTATTGGCACTTCACTTGGAGGAAAACAGACTACGAGAACTGGGCAAATTACAATCTTTGGTAAAACTAGAGAAACTCTTCCTAGGATATAATAAAATCCAGGTAACATTATTATTTTTTTATTATGGGATTTACAAGCTTTAGTTTCTCTGAGTTCTGAGCATAAAGCTTCCAAACACATCAATGAAAATGTTGCTAGTATATTATTTATCACCTATATACCATCTATATTTCAAGTCATAGAAATAGTCTGTGATGCAGAAATATCCACCCTACTTCTAGACTTCAGAACTGGACAAAGCAACATGCACAAGCTCATTAACAAAGATTAGTTCTACGTGTTCTAAGGCTCTTCTCATCAGTCCTCTCTGAGAGTTCTCATTTGTTCCTTGACTGCTCTTGGTCCAAGTTGTTTCTGAATCTCGATTCCGGACTTCCTTTGGCCCCTTAAACTTGTCATATGTACTTGTTCTACCCGGCATTTGAATCAACTCCTGATAATGGACTTTGACTTGGCTTAATATTTTATCTCTCCCCACTCAAGGCTTCCTTAGATAGGATCCTGGCTTAGTTTTACCTGCTTAGAATTTAACCTGTTACTTTTAGGTCACTGCCCCAACTGAACTGCTCAGACTCTCTCCTGAGATAGCATACAGATAAGAGTTGAAGACATAACCTTATACAGCCCTCACATTTCTCTTAGCATTTCTGTGGTGGTCTGTTAGCTCTCCTTTTACCAACTTTTCTACTTCTGCCAATACCTCTAAGATAGCCTCAAAGACAGACTGAACTCTGGACTACCCGCCAAGGGCAGAGACCAAGTCTATCTTGTCCACATTTCTATCAGTATATAGCATAGTACCCGGTACATAATAGGTACTCCATAAATGTTTGTTTGTGGCTCTGTTTGCTATAGAGTTCAGGAAGCCTTTTCTGGGGGAGATTTTTTTAAAGCCCTGGACAAGGTTAGAAGGAAATCATGAGCCATGCTCCTTTCTACAAAGCAATTAGGGAATGTACATACAGATAAAAATAGTATACAACTAATTTATACAGATTCAAACATTCATCTGAGAAAAGCCTGCCAAAACTGGGGATGATTCTTCCTAAGATTTATCCAGAAGAAATCTAAATTAGGAAAATTGCCCTTCTATGGAGATCTTTCCAGTGACAGCAACTGAACTGCAAAAAAGACTGTCAAATCAGACTTAACAGTCATCACAGATCTTACCTGGTATCAAGCTTTATAAATAATTTCAATGACACACAGGGCCCAGGACATGCCTAGTGCCTTCTCAGGCCCTTCCTTCCCACATCACACACGCCATCGAGCTTAGAATAAAATGTGAGGTCTTCAAGTGAGATTCCATGAGGTGATCTTATATAGTAGGGGAGTGTTTCATTTATGAAACATCTCCATTTTAAACTTGAAATTACGTGACATTTTATAGGGATCCATGCCTTATAATTCTATAGATTCTAGGTTTATTTATTACAGGCAGTCCTTAATCAAGAAGATCTGCTAAGAGAATATCATAAATGAGGACCTTCTTCCTAGCAAGTATCATTGCTTTATTTGACAGGATGTCCAGTTACCAGATTAGACCTGGTAATCTGCTTTTCCACAAGAGTGTCCCTGCCCCACCTCTCTACTCCTCTATCCCTCTTAAGCAAATGAATGGATAGAGATCAGCTGGTATAACAACCATACTTAGTCAAGCTTATTTATTTTCAAAATCTAATATAGCTAAATGACAAATTATATATCATGAGAGATTCTACATATCATTGAATGAAGAAGTGAGCATTATTGATTATTTAATGACCAGCTCTTCTTTGTTTTTATCCTTGAAATGGTATTTTCCATTGAATTTAGATTGATCATTTTGCCATTAAGCTTATTCTAACCATTAATATTATAGTACCTTAATGTGACCATACATTTAGCTGAGAAAAAAAAATGAACTCAGAGGAATAGGAAGGTTATGTTGGAAATTCTGTTGAATTCTACTGAAAACATATTGTCTTCAAACTTCTGAACTCTCACTTCAAATTTGATTTTTGAGAGAGATTCTATCTGTAGATTCATACCAACATGGGCAGGCTGATACCAGCATTAATTTCAACAAAGGGACAATCAGATTGCAAACTTTGGGTTGATAAAGATTGATAGATGGGAGAAAGCCTAGAAAAATTAACAAAGGAACAATATTTCAAGTGAAGGTATATGCAGCCCCTCATTGACCTACTTTAACATCCTTCAGAAGCTATATCCTTGATAAAATATAATACATACCCTTGATTCTGGTGTGATGTTTTTTACTTAGCCATCATGTCCAATAATGTAGATTTAGCTAATTGTTGTCTATCGTCTTGCTTCTAAAGGAAGAATCACAGAAACACAATTGAAAGATTCATTATTTAATTCACCTTGATAGTCCTGTTTGATCCCTGTGTGTAAATGATTCCCCTACCTGGCATCCAGCTACTCTGTCTACTTTTAAACATATAATTAATCACCTGAAGCTGAAAATAACCCCAAGAATAGTCTATTGCTATTTCCTGTCCTCAGCAAAGGCCCCAATCCAGGCACAATTATTATTATAACTGCTTTAGGTACTTATGCTGACATTGCAACAACCATTGGTATCCTGGTTAATGCTTAACAGTTGGCTCTCCAAGAGGAAAAAAATCCCTAATTAGTAACATTTGCCAATTTCTGTGGTATAATTTCTTCTGTCATAGCCAATTTCAGGCTAACACACCATCTCACAAAATTCCTAAAAATTTACCAATTGACTTTTTGTGAGCCAGTAGCAGCACACTACTGTAAAAAAAAATGCTGCATATTAAAAATGGGAAGCCATCAGCCCTTTCCCCACAATTATGGACATATTAGTTTCCCTGATGTCTCTTTAAAAGTTTATGCCATCATTATCTTCTACAGATTTAATAGTCTATTTCCCATATTAACATTTTCTGTGAAAAACAGACATTTTGATTAGGAATATTTCACTAGTGACTACTGTTGTGTTCGGTTTAATTTGAGAAAATAATGTAAGACTTTTCGCATGTCCATGATTACTGATCAGGCTTTGGTTCCACAGATAGAAACTGCTTGTGGGTAAAAATGCACAATATCTCTATAGATTTACAGATTTTTCAAAGCCCTCATTTATGATACTTCCAAAATTAAAATAGTAAAGATCAGTCATTTTAAAAATCAAATTCACTTCCACATGATCTAAAATAGGTCTAAATATTTTTACAGTTACTAGAAGAATTTGCTATATGTCCACTTGTAATTCCACAAAGGAATACAGGCATGTCAATAACTTTGTTGTGTTATATGAACTAGCAACAACCTTAGGCTGAGCTTGTTGGCTAAAGTTTGTCAGAAATAGCATTTTAGAAATAATTTTGCAAAAACTAAAATGTATTTGCAAACTTTCACCAATGTTAAATGGAAGCTAATAAATAATGCTATGCAATAGAGAAGGCAAATTATTTAACATGAGAAATAGTTTTTCAGCTATATATATTCCCAGCAAGTACATCAAGACGCAATCCACTCAATATTACACATTCCTTTATGGTTAAGGCTGTGTTTAATTATGTACCTTTAAAATTTTTAGATTTGATTCACCTTTTCCATACTTTCTGGTCAATGTGCTGGAGGAATTAACCAAATATAATATGAGTCCTAGAATAAATCATAATTCTGAGAAAAAAATTTGATCTTTTCTTGCAAGTGCTGCTATATAGCCAATTTTCCATGTTAGGCTGTTATCTTTGCCAGTCATGTATTTGAAATCTACAGTACACAGCTCTGCCTTTATTCAAGAATACAGAATACTGTCACTCAAGCTCACTTCAGAGAATTCAATCATGAGCTAGCTGCAAACTAACACTTACATATAATTACTTCAAATTAGTCTATATTTTAAGATGTTGAGTCTAACCAAATAATAACTTACTGATTAACTTTTGAATAGGATATCACAGAACTGGAAAAACTTGACGTTATCTCTACTCTCAGGGAGCTTACAGTGTATGGCAATCCAGTGAGTATGTTACCATTCTAATTTATTAGTTAATTTACTGGTAGTTTTATAAAATTTATTTTTATATGGTATTAGAAAGGGATTTAGTTTTATGCTTCTGTATGCATAGCCAGTCATCCCAGCCCAAATTTATTGACTTCTTCCAACTAATTACAGTGCAAACTGTTATTGTCATGTATAAATAAGAAGGTCTGTTTCAGGTTTCAACATTGTATTCCTTGGCCTATTTTTCTATCCCTGTGCCAATATTATATAGTGTTAATTAATTGATGTTTTGTAGTAAGCCTTGATGTCTGGTAGAATAAGCACCTTTAATTCTTCCTCTTTCACCTCCTTCTCTTTCTCATTATTTCTTTCTCTTTCTTCACTGCCTTGGCTATTCTTGGCCCTTTACACTTTTCTATAAATTTTAGGAACTAACTCCTCAAGTTACATGAGAATCTTGTTGATATTTTAATTGGAATGACATTCAATTTATAAATTAGTTTGGGGAGACATTTGCAACCTTTCCTGTTGGAATCTTTGAGGGAACCCAATAAGTAGCACCCTTGTTCACCCAATTTCTAAACAGATTGAGAAATATGACAATGGAGAGGCAAAAATATCAGCTTAGCTTAGTGAGAAGTCAAAGGAGCATGTTATCAGATCTCAGAAATAGTCAATCATGATCACCCAGATATAGAAAATACTACACTGAGCTTTTTCCGCACAGGAGGAGAGCTTCTCTTGGAGAGCAAAACACATTCTTCCAGAACACTTTCTTCCCAAGAAGGGAGTTAAATCACTCCACTTCCCCTAGTAGAGAGGAAGTGAAGGGGTTGAGAAAACCCAGGAGGGCCACATCATAGAGCTACTTCCACCAAGAAGGAAATAGCAATAAACAGTATCCCCTAATATTTATAGTATTCAACCTTCGCATTCATAAACATATATATCACTCCATTTATTTCATGTCTTTGAATAAATATTTGTAATTTTCTCCATAAAGATTTTAATCATCTTTGGTTAGATTTATTGTTGTTTTAATTGCTTTTTAAAATAGTGTCTTTTTTATATTTTCCTAATTGTTTGTTGCTGGAGTGTATACATTCTGATTTTTGTATATTGCTTTTCATCTAGGAATCTTGCTGAACCCTCTTTTTAATTCTAATGGTTTGTAAATTTTTTTGGATTTTCTGTATAGATTATTATCTGCAAATTTGACTATCATTTCTTTCCAATTCTCATATTTTTAATTTCCTTTGCTTCTCTTAGTGTGCTATCTAGGACCCCTAGTACAGTGTTGAATTAGAAGTACTTATAGTAAGTTACTAATTTCAAAAGAATGCTTTAAAGTTGTCACTACTTAATATGATGTTTTCAGTAGGTTATGGGAAGATAACCTATAAAAGTTTAGGGAAATTCCTTTCTAGTTCCAGTTTCCTACCGGTTTTGTCTTGAATGGGCATTGCCTTTTCAGTAATTGGTAATATAGTTTTTCTCTTTAATCTGTTAATATGGTAAATTACGTTAATAGACTAGTGTTAAACCATCTTGAAATTCCTGGGATGAATACTTCTTGGTCATGTTTTATATTTTATTGGATTCAATTTGCTAATATTTTATGTAGCATATCTGTATCCATGGAAATAAGTAAAATTATCCTATAATTTTATCTTCTTTTAGTATTCTTTTCAACTCTCTCAAAGTTTTACTTGCTTCATAAAATAATTTGGGAGCATTCCCTCTTTCTCCAATCTATGGAGTTTTGATACTCAATGTCTCATATTCTTCTGGAAGGATAATTAAACCTTATCTCTAGAACTCTGGGCTTAATATTTTTTGAGGTTATATTTTAAACTACTTAAATTCTTTAATGGCTATAAAGCTAGTCACGTTTGTATTTCTTAAAAAGTTATTCTGAGAAGTTGTATTATCTAGAAAATTGGCCTTTTTATGTAATTTTTTCTTTCTTTTTTTTTTTTTTTTTTTTTTTGAGACAGAGTCTCTCTCTGTCACCCAAGATGGAGTGCAGTGGCACAATCTCAGCTCACTGCAGCCTCTGCCTCCTGGGTTCAAGCAATTCTTCCTCAGCCTCCCGAGTAGCTGAGACTACAGACGCGTGCCTCCATGCCTGGCTAATTTTTTGTATTTTTAGTAGAGACAGAGTTTCACCATGTTGGCCAGCATGGTCTTAATCTCCTGACCTCATGATCCACCTGCCTCGGCCTCCCAAAGTGCTGGGATTACAGGAGTGAGCCACCGTGCTCAGCCTGTAAATTTTTAATGTATTGCTGTCATAGTACTTTCATGAATTGTTTTTCATTTATTTTTAAAAATTTGTATTGATGTAAAACATACATATACAATTTACCATCTTTACATTTTTAAATGTCCAGTTTAGTGGAAATAAATATATTTATATTCTTTATTATTCCTTTCATTCCCATCTCTCATCCCCGCTCCCCGTCCCAGACTCTGGTAACCACCAATCTAGTCTTTGTCTTCATGAGATCCACTTTTTTAGCTCCCACATATGAGTGAGGACATGTGATATTTGTCTTTCTGTGCCTGGCTTATTTTACTTAACATAATGGTTTCCAATTCCATCCATATTGCTGCAAATAACAGGATTTCATTCTTTTTATGGCTGAATAATGTTCCATTGTGTAGCTATACTATATTTTCTTTATCCATTCATCCGCTGATGGGCACTTAGGTTGATTCCATATTTTGGCTATTATGAATAATGCTGCAATAAACATAGGAGTGCAGGTATCTCTTTGATGTATTGATTTCCTTCCTTTTAGATACATACCCAGTAGTGGAATGGCTGGATCACATGGAAGTTCTATTGTTAGTTTTTTAAGGAACCTCCATACTGTTTACCATAATGGTAATTTACATTCCCACCAACAGTGTACACAGGTTCCCCTTTCTCCACATCCTTACCAGCATCTGTTATTGCCTGTATTTTTGATATAAGCCATTTTAACTGGGGTAAAATGATACCACATTGTGGTTTGGTTTGCATTTCTCTGATTATTAGTGACTTTGAGCATTTTTTTTTTTTTGTAAACCTGTTGGCCATTTGTATGTCTTCTTTTGATAAATGTCTTTTCAGATCTTTTAACAGTTTTAAAATTTGATTATTTATTTATTTTTTGCTGTTAAGTTGTTTGAGCTCTTATGTGTTCTGATTACTAATCCCTTGTCAGATGGATTGATTGCAAATATTTTCTCCCATTCTGTGGGTTGTAGCTTTACTTTGTTGATTATTTACTTTGCTGTACGGAAGCTTTTCAGCTTGATGTAATCCCATTTATCCATTTTTGCTTTGGTTGCCTGTGCTTTTGATGTCTTACACAATATTTGCCCAAATCAATGTCTTGGAGGATTTCACCAATGCTTTCTTCTAGTAGTTTCATAGTTTCA
This sequence comes from Homo sapiens, assembly GCF_000001405.40. NCBI lineage: Eukaryota > Metazoa > Chordata > Mammalia > Primates > Hominidae > Homo > Homo sapiens. Next base: position 60,035,478 of record NC_000014.9, read on the forward strand.
GGTCTTAGATTCAAGTCTTCAATCCATTTTTATTTTGTATATAGTGAGAGACAGAAGTCAATTTTCATTCTCATATACAGAGTTATCCACTTTTCCCAGAACTATTTATTAACAAGGCTGTCATTTTCTTATTGTAAGTTCTTGGTGCTTTTGTCAAAGATGAATTGACTGTAAATGCATGGATTTATATCTGGGTTATCTATTCTGTCACATTGGTCTATGTGTCTGTTTTTAATGCCAGCTCCATGGCGTTTTGGTTACTATAGCTTTGTAATAAAATTTGAAGTCACATTGTGTGATGTCTCCAGCTTTGTTCTTTTTGCTCAGGATTGCTTTGGCTATTCGGGAACATTTTAGGATTTGTTTTTTTATTTCTGTGAAGAATGTTTTAGGTATATTGATAGGGATTGCACTGAATATGTAAATTGCTCTGGGTAGTATTGTCATTTTTTTTAACAACAGATATTTATTTCTCACAATTCTGAGGCTGAAAGTACAAGATCAAAATGCCAACTGATTCAGTTCCTGGTGAGGACCATCTTCCTGGCTTGCAGATAGTTGTCTTACTGTATCCTAACATGGCTCTGGTGGGAAGGGTTGGATGTGAAGAGGGCACAAAAACTCCTGGTCTCTTCTATACTCCTCTATAAGGGTACTGGTCCCATCACAAGGACCCCATCCTGATGACCTCATCTAAACATAATCACCTCCCAAGACCCCAACTCCTAATAATACCATTACATTAGGGGTTAGGGCTTTAATATATGAATTTTGGGGGCACATCAGCATTCAGTCCATAGCAACATTTAATCCTTAGCCTCAACTCAGGGTTCACCTATTGTTCTCATAATGTCTGCTATAGCAAAAGGATTCAGCCAGGATCATGCATTGCTAAGAGGCATTAGTGGTCATGTCCCTTTAGCTCTTCCAGTCTAGAAGATTCCTCCTCCAGACTGAGGAATCTTCCAGACCAGAGAAGCCAAAGGGCATGATGATTCCTTCACATTGATGACTTTGACTCTTCTGAAGATTACGGACCAGTTAATTTGTAGAATGTCCTTCAAGTTGGGTTCATCTGGTGACATCTTATGAATAGACTCAGGTTGTGCATTTTGGGGAGGTATATTGCAAAGCTGGATGTTGCATTCTCCATGTATCTGTCACACAATTTTAATTTGTCCTATTCACTGTGATCACTTGATTAAAGTGGTGTTTGCCAGATTTTTCTGTTGTAAAGTTACTCTTTGCCTCTTTTTTTTTTTGCCTTCTGTGGCTTCATGTACTTTATTATTATTTTTATATATATACTTTAAGTTCTAGGGTACATGTGCACAACGTGCAAGTTTGTTACATATGTATACATGCGCCATGTTGGTGTGCTGCACCCGTTAACTTGTCATTTACATTAGGTATATCTCCTAATGCTATCCCTCCCCACTCCCCCAACCCCACGACAGGCCCTGGTGTGGGATGTTCCCTACCCTGTGTCCAAGTGTTTTCATTGCTCAATTCCCACCTATGAGTGAGAACATGTGGTGTTTGGTTTTCTGTCCTTGCGATAGTTTGCTCAGAATGATGGTTTCCAGCTCCATCCATGTCCCTACAAAGGACATGAACTCATCCTTTTTTATGGCTGCATAGTATTCCATGGTGTATATGTGCCACATTTTCTTAATCCAGTCTATCAATGATGGACATTCGGGTTGGTTCCAAGTCTTTGCTATTGTGAATAGTGCCACAATAAACATATGTGTGCATGTGTCTTTATAACAGCTTGGTTTATAATCCTTTGGGTATATGTCCAGTAATGGGATGGCTGGGTCAAACGGTATTTCTAGTTCTAGATCCTTGAGGAATTGCCACACTGTCTTCCACAATGGTTGAACTAGTTTACAGTCCCACCAACAGGGTAAAAGCGTTCCTATTTCTCCATATCCTCTCCAGCACCTGTTGTTTCCTGACTTTTTAATGATCGCCATTCTAACTGGTGTGAGATGGTATCTCATTGTGGTTTTGATTTGCATTTCTCTGATGGCCAGTGATAATGAGCATTTTTTCATGTGTCTGTTGGCTGCATAAATGTCTTCTTTTGAGAAGTGTCTGTTCATATCCTTTGCCCACTTTTTGATGGGGTTCTTTGATTTTTTCTTGAAAATTTGTTTAGGTTCTTTGTAGATTCTGGATATTAGCCCTTTGTCCGATAGGTAGATTGTAAAAATTTCCTCCCATTCTGCAGGTTGCCTGTTCACTCTGATGGTAGTTTCTTTCGCTGTGCAGAAGCTCTTTACTTTCATTAGATCCCATTTGTCAATTTTGGCTTTTGTTGCCATTGCTGTTGGTGTTTTAGTCATGAAGTCCTTGTCCATGTCTATGTCCTGAATGGTATTGTCTAGGTTTTCTTCTAGGGTTTTTATGGTTTTAGGTCTAAATTTAAGTCTTTAATCTATCTTGAATTAATTTTTGTATAAGATGTAAGGAAGGGATCCAGTTTCAGCTTTCTCCATATGGCCAGCCAGTTTTCCCAGCACCATTTATTAAATAGGGAATCCTTTCCCCATTGCTTGTTTTTGTCTGGTTTATCAAAGATCAGATGGTTGTAGATGTGTGGTATTGTTTCCAGGGGCTCTATTCTGTTCCATTGGTCTATATCTCTGTTTTGGTACCAGTACTATGCTGTTTTGGTTACTGTAGCCTTGTAGTATAGTTTGAAGTCAGGTAGCGTGATGCCTCCAGCTTTGTTCTTTTGGCTTAGGATTGACTTGGCAATGCGGGCTCTTTTTTGGTTCCATATGAACTTTAAAGTAGTTTTTTCCAATTCTGTGAAGAAAGTCGTTGGTAGCTTGATGGGGATGGCATTGAATCTATAAATTACATTGGGCAGTATGGCCATTTTCACAATATTGATTCTTCCTATCCATGAGCATGGAATGTTCTTCCATTTGTTTGTGTCCTCTTTTATTTCTTTTAGCAGTGGTTTGTAGTTCTCCTTGAAGAGGGCCTTCACATCCCTTGTAAGTTAGATTCCTAGGTATTTTATTTTCTCTGAAGCAATTGTGAATGGGGGTTCACTCACAATTTGGCTCTCTGTTTATCTGTTATTGGTGTATAGGAATGTTTGTAATTTTTGCACATTGATTTTGTATCCTGCGACTTTGCTGAAGTTGCTTATCAGCTTACGGAGATTTGGGGATGAGACAATGGGGTTTTCCAAATATACAATCATGTCATCTGCAAACCGGGACAATTTGACTTCCTCTTTTCCTAACTGAATACGCTTTATTTCTTTCTCTTGCCTGATTGCCCTGGCCAGAACTTCCAACACTATGTTGAATAGGAGTGGTGAGAGAGGGCATCCCTATCTTGTGCCAGTTTTCAAAGGGAATGCTTCCAGATTTTGCCCATTCAGTATGATATTGGCTGTGGGTCTGTCATAAATAGCTCTTATTATTTTGAGATACGTCCCATCAGTACCTAGTTTATTGACAGTTTTTAGCATGAAGGGCTGAATTTTGTCGAAGGCCTTCTATGCATCTATTGAGATAATCATGTAGTTTTTGTCCTTGGTTCTGTTTATATGATGGATTACATTTATTGATTTACGAATGTTGAACCAGACTTGCATCCCAGTGATGAAGCCGACTTAATCGTGGTGGATAAGCTTTTTGATGTGCTGCTGGATTCGGTTTGCCAGTATTTTATTGAGGATTTTTGCATCAATGTTCATCAGGGATATTGGTCTAAAATTCTCTTTTTTGTTGTGTCTCTGCCAGGCTTTCGTATCGGGATGATGCTGGCCTCATAAAATGAGTTAGGGAGGATTCCCTCTTTTTCTATTGATTGGAATAGTTTCAGAAGGAATGGTACCAGCTCCTCTTTGTACCTCTGGTAGAATTTGGCTGCGAATCCTTCTGGTCTTGGACTTTTTTTGGTTGGTAGGCTATTAATTATTGCCTCAATTTCAGACCCTTTTATTGGTCTATTCAGGGATTCAACTTCTTCCTGGTTTAGTCTTGGGAGGGTGTGTGTGTCCAGGAATTTATCCATTTCTTCTAGATTTTCTAGTTTATTTGCATAGAGGTGTTTATAGTATTCTCTGACAGTAGTTTGTATTTCTGTGGGATCGGTGGTGATATCCTGTTTATCATTTTTTATTGAGTCTATTTGATTCTTCTCTCTTTTCTTCTTTATTAGTCTTGCTAGTGGCCTATCAGTTTTGTTGATCTTTTGAAAAAACAGCTCCTGGATTCATTGATTTTTTTGAAGGGTTTTTTGTGTCTCTATCTCCTTCATTTCTGCTCTTATCTTAGTTATTTCTTGCCTTCTGCTAGCTTTTGAACGTGTTTGCTCTTGCTTCTCTCGTTCTTTTAATTGTGATGTTAGGGTGTCTATTTTAGATGTTTCCTGCTTTCTCCTGTGTACATTTAGTGCTATAAATTTCCTTCTACACACTGCTTTAAATGTGTCCCAGAGATTCTGGTATGTTGTGCCTTTGTTCTCATTGGTTTCAAAGAACATCTTTATTTCTGCCTCCATTTTGTTATGTACCCAGTAGTCATTCAGGAGCAGGTTGTTCAGTTTCCATGTAGTTGAGCGGTTTTGAGTGAGTTTCTGAATCCTGAGTTCTAGTTTGATTGCACTGTGGTCTGAGAGACAGTTATAATTTCTGTTCTTTTATATTTGCTGAGGAGTGCTTTACTTCCAACTATGTGGTACATTTTGGAATAAATGCGGTGTGGTGCTGAGAAGAATGTACATTTTGTTGATTTGCAGTGGAGAGTTCTGTAGATGTCTATTAGGTCCACTTGGTGCAGAGCTGAGTTCAATTCCTGGATATCCTTGTTAACTTTCTGTCTCGTTGATCTGTCTAATGTTGACAGTGGGGTGTTAAAGTCTCCCATTATTATTGTGTAGGAGTCTCAGTCTCTTTGTACATCTCTAAGGACTTGCTTTATGAATCTGGGTGCTCCTGTATTGGGTGCATATATATGTAGGATAGTTAGCTCTTCTTGTTGAATTGATCCCTTTACCATTATATAATGGCCTTCTTTGTCTATTCTGATCTTTGTTGGTTTAAAGTCTTGTTTTATCAGACTAGGATTGCAACCCCTGCATTTTTTTGTTTTCCATTTCCTTGGTAGATCTTCCTCCATCCCTTTATTTTGAGCCTATGTGTGTCTCTGCCTGTGAGATGGGTCTCCTGAATACAGCACACCAATGGGTCTTAACTCTTTATCCAATTTGCCAGTCTGTGTCTTTTAATTGGAGCATTTAGCCCATTTATATTTAAGGTTAATATTGTTGTGTGTGAATTTGATCCTGTCATTATGATGTTAGCTGGTTATTTTGCTCATCAGTTGATGCTGTTTCTTCCTAGTATTGATGGTCTTTACAATTTGGCATGTTTTTGCAGTGGCTGGTACCAGTTGTTCCTTTCCATGTTTAGTGCTTCCTTCAGGAGGTCTTGTAAGGCAGGCCTGGTGGTGACAAAATCTCTCAGCATTTGTTTGTCTGAAAGGATTTTATTTCTCCTTCACTTATGAAGCTTAGTTTGGCTGGATATGAAATTCTGGGTTGAAAATTGTTTTCTTTAAGAATGTTGAATATTGGTCCCCACTCTCTTCTGGCTCGTACAGTTTCTGCTGAGAGATCCACTTTTAGTCTGATGGGCTTCCCTTTGTGGGTAACCCGACCTTTCTCTCTCACTACCCTTAACATTTTTTCCTTCATTTCAACTTTGGTGAATCTGACAATTATGTGTCTTTGAGTTGCTCTTCTTGAGGAGTATCTTCGTGGCATTCTCTGTATTTCCTGAATTTTAATGTTTGCCTGCCTCGCTAGGTTGGGGAAGTTCTCCTGGATAATATCCTGAAGAGCATTTTCCAACTTGGTTCCATTCTCCCCGTCACTTTCAGGTACACCAATCACACGTAGATATGGTCTTTTCACATAGTCCCATATTTTTTGGAGGCTTTATGCATTTTTTACTCTAAACTTCTCACTTCATTTCATTCGTTTGATGTTCAATCACTGATACCCTTTCTTCCACTTGATCAAATCAGCTACTGAAGCTTGTGCATATGTCACGCAGTTCTCCTGCCATGGTTTTCAGCTCCATCAGGTCATTTAAGGACTTCTCTATACTTTTATTCTAGTTAGCCATTCGTCTAATCCTTTTTCAAGGTTTTTAGCTTATTTGTGATGTGTTCGAACACCCTCTTTTAGCTCGGATAAGTTTATTATTACTGATCATCTGAAGCATTCTTCTCTCAACTTGTCAAAGTCATTCTCCATCCAGCTTTGTTCTGTTGCTGGCGAGGAGCTGCATTCCTTTGGAGGAGAAGAGGCACTCAGATTTTTAGAATTTTCAGCTTTTCTGCTCTGTTTTTTCCCCATCTTTGTGGTTTTATCTACCTTTGGTCTTTGATTATGGTGATGTACAGATGGGGTTTTGGTATGGATGTCCTTTCTGTTTGTTAGTTTTCTTTCTAACGGTCAGGACCCTCAGCTGCAGGTCTGTTGGAGTTTGCTGGAGGTCCACTCCAGACCCTGTTTGCCTGGGTATCACCAGCGGAGGCTGCAGAACAGCAAAGATTGCAGAACGGCAAATGTTGCTGCTTGATCCTTCCTCTGGAACCTTCGTCTCAGAGGGGCACCCAGCTGTATGAGGTGTCAGTCAGCCCCTACTGGGACGTGCCTCCCAGTTAGGCTACTTGGGGGTCAGGGACCCACTTGAGGAGGCAGTCTGTCCGTTCTCAGATCTCAAACTCCATGCTGGGAGAAGCACTACTCTCTTCAAAGCTGTCAGATAGGGACGTTTAAGTCTGCAGAAGTTTCTGCTGCCTGTTGTTCAGCTATGCCCTGCCCCCAGAGGTGGAGTCTACAGAGGCAGGCAGGCCTCCTTGAGCTGTGGTGGGCTCCACTGAGTTCGAGCTTCCCAGCTTCTTTGTTTACCTATTCAAGCCTCAGCAATGGCGGATGCCCCTCCCCTAGCCTCGCTGCTGCCTTGCAGTTCGATCTCAGACTGCTGTGCTGGCAGTGAGTGAGGCTCCGTGGGCATGGGATCCTCCAAGCCATGCGCGGGATATAATCTCCTGTTGTGCCGTTTGCTAAGACCATTGGAAAAGCACAGTATTAGGCTGAGAGTGTCCCGATTTTCCAGGTACTGCCTGTCATGGCTTCCCTTGGCTAGGAAAGGGAATTTCCCCACCCTTTGCACTTCCCGGGTGAGGCAATGCCCTGTCCTGCTTTGGCTCATGCTCCGTGGGCTGCACCTATTGTCCGACAAGCCCCAGTGAGATGAACACAGTACCTCAGTTGGAAATGCAGAAATCACCCATCTTCGGTGTCGCTCACACTGGGAGCTGTAGACTGGAGCTGTTCCTATTAGGCCATCTTGGAACCTCCCATGTATTGTCATTTTAACAATATTAATTATTCCAATCCATGAGCATAGAATAAATTTCCTTTTTTCTGTGTGTCTTTTTCTATTTCTTTCATCAGAGGTTTATAGTTTTCCTTGCATAGATCTTTCACTTCTTTGGTTAGATTGATTCCTAGGTATTTTATACTTTTTGTAGCTATTGTAACAGGATTGCCTTCTTGATTTCTTTTTCAAATTGTTTGCTGTTGACATATATAAATGCTATTGATTTTTGTATGTTGACTTTGTATTCTGCAACTTAACTGAATTCATTTATTAGCTCTTAACAGTTTTTTGGGGAAACTTTGGGTTTTTCTAAGCATAGGATCACAGTGTCTGCAAACAAGGCTTATTTTGCTCCTACCTTTTCAATTTGGATGCCCTTTCTTTCTTTCTCTTGTCTAATTGCTCCAGACATTACTTCCACTACTATATTGAAAAACAGCAGTAAAAGTGGGCATTCTTGTCTTGTTCCAGTCTTTAAAGCAAAGGCCTTCAATTTTTCCCTATTCATTATGCTGCTAGTCATAGGTTTGTCACAGTTGGCCTTTATTATCTTGAGGTATGTTCCTTCTATACCCATTTTGATGAGTTTTCATTAAGGATACTGAATTTTATCAAATGCCTTTTTGGCATCTATTGAAATAATCATATGGTTTTTGTTCTTGATTCTGTTAATATTGTATAACATGTTTATTGATCTGCATATGTTGAGCCATCCTTGCATCCCTGAGATGAATCCCACCTGATAATGGTGAATGATCTTTTTAATGTGTTGTTACATTTAGTTTGTTAGTATTTTGTTGAAGATTTTTGCATCTATATTCATCAGTGAGCGTAGCCTGTAGTTTTCTTTTCCTTTTTTTTTTTTTTTTTTTTTTGCCTTGCTTTGTTTTGGTATCAGGGTAATAATGCTGGCCTTGTAGAATGAGTTTGGAAGTATTCCTTCCTCTTCAATTTTTTTAAAGGGTTTAAGTAGTTGGTATTAGTTCTTTTTTAATGTTTGGTAGAATTCAGCAGTGAATTCATCAGGTACTGGGCTTTTCTTTTATGGGACATGTTTTTTACAGCTTCTATTTCATTACTTGTTATTGGGTTTGTTGAGGTTTTCTATTTCTTCATGATTCAATCTTTGTAGGTTGTATGCATTCGAGAAGACATTATCCATGTCTTCTAGGTTTTCCAATTTATTAGAGTATAGTTCATAATAGTCTCAATAATTCTTTGTATTTCTGAGGTCTCAGTTATTACATCTTCTTTTTCATTTTTGATTTCATTTTTTAGGTCTTCTCTTTTTCTTTCTTAGCCCAGCTAAAGGTTTGTCAATTTTGTTTATATTTTGAAAAAGCAACTTTTTGTTTTGTTGATCTTCTGTTTTTTAGTCTGAATTTCATTTATTTCTGCTCTGATATTTATTATTTCTTTCCTTCTACTAATTTAGGGCTTGGCTTGTTTTTACATTTCTTGTTGCTTAAGGCACATCATTAGGGTGTTTATTTTGAAGACTTTCAACTTTTTTGACATAGGCATTTATTGCAATAAACTTTCCTGTTGGTACTGCTTCTGCCATAATCCCATAGATTTTGGTATGGTTTATTTCCATTTTCATTTGTTTCAATAAATTTTTTAATTCCCTTCTTCATTGACCCACTGGTCATTCAGGATCATGTTGTTTAATTTCCATATGCTTGTGTATTTTCCAAGGTTCCTCTTGTTATTGATTTCTAGTTTTATTCCATTGTGATCCAAGAAGATACTTGATATTATTTGTTTTTCAGAATTTGTACAAACATGTTTTGTAGCCTAAGATATGGTCTATTATGGAAAATGTTCCATGTGCTGTTGAAAAGAATGTGTATTCTGAAGCAGTTGGGTGAAATGTTTATAAATGTCAGTTAGGCCTGTTAGATCTAGTGTATAGTTTAACTTTACTGTTTCTTTATTAACGTTCTGTCTGGATGATCTGTTCATGACTGCGAATGGGATATTAAAGTCCACTACTATTATTGTGTTGCAGTCTGTCTCTTTCTTTAGGTCTATTAATGTTTGTTTTATATATTTTGGAGCACTAGTGTTCAGTGCATAGATATTTATAATGGTTATATTGTCTTGCTGAATTGAAACCTTTGTCATTATATAATGCCTTTCCTTGTCTTTTTTTTTTTTTTTTTGAAGGTCTTTGATTTGTAGACTCTTTTATCTAATATAAGTATAGTTACTGCTGCTCTTTTATTTGAAGGGGCAGGGTGCTCTAGTTGCATGGAATATCTTTTTCCACCCCTTTCAGTCCATGTGTATCTTTATAGGTGAAATGAGTTTCTTGAAGGCAGCATATAGTTGGGTCTTCTTTCTTTCTTTTTTAAAAAAAAATTTCAACTTTTATTTTAAGTTCAGGAGTACATGTGCAGGATGTGCAGGTCTGTTACTTATGTAAACATATGCCATGGTAGTTTGCTGCACAGGTCACCCCATCACCTAGGTATTAAGCCAAGCATCTATTAGCTATTCTTCCTGATGGCCTCCCTCTCCGACTCCCACCCCTGACTGGCCCCAGGGTGGGTTGTTCCCACTATGTGTCCGTCTGTTTTTATCATTCAGCTTCTACATATAAATGAAAACATGTGGTGTTTGGTTTTCTGTTCCTGTGTTAGTTTTCTCAGGATAATGGCTTCCGGCTCTATCCATGTCCCTGCAAAGGACATGATCTCATTCCTTTTTATGACTGAATAGTATTCCATGGTTTAAATGTACCACATTTTCTTTATCCAGTTTATCACTGATGGGCATGTGGGTTGAGTCCATGTCTTTGCTACTGTGAATAGTGCTGCAGTAAACAAACGCGTTCATGTATCTTTCTAATAGAATGATTTATATTCCTTGGGGTATACATCCAGTAATGGGATTGCTGGGTCAAATGGTATTTCTGGTTCTACGTCTTTGAAGAATTGCCACACTGTCTTCCACAATGTTGGAACAAATTTACACACCCACCAAGAGTGTAAAAGCTTTTTTTTCTCTGCAATCTCACCAGCATGTCGTTTTTTGACTTTTTAGTAATTGCCATTCTAACTGGTGCAAGTTGGTATCTCAGCGTGATTTTGATTTGCATTTCTCTAATGATCAGTGATGTTGAGCTTTTTTTCATATGTTCATCAGCCTCATGTATGTCTGCTTTTGAGAAGTATCTGTTCATGTCCTTTGCCCACTTTTTAATAGGGTTGTTTGCTTTTTTCTTGTAAATTTGTTTAAGTTCCTTGTAGACTCTGAATATTAGACCTTGGTCAGATGGATAGATTGCAGAATTTTTCTCCCATTCTGTAGGTTGCCTGTGCACTCTGATGATAGTTTCTTTCGCCATGCAGAAGCTCCTTAGTTTAGTTAGATCCCATTTGCCAATTTTTGCTTTTGTTGCAATTGCTTTTGGCATATTTGTCACAAAATCATTGCCTGTGCCTATGTCCTGAATGGTATGGCCTAGATTATCTTCCAGGGTTTTTATAGTTTTGGATTTTACATTAAAGTTTTTAATCCATCTTTTGTTAACCTCTGTATAAGGTGTAAGGAAAGCATCCAGTGTCCATTTTCTGCATATGAGATAGCCAGTTCTCCAAGCACCATTTATTAAATAGGGAATCCTTTCCCCATTGCTTGTTTTTGTTGGGTTTGTCCAAGATCAGATGGTTGTAGGTGTGCGGTCTTATTTCTGAGTTCTCTATTCTATTCCATTGGTCTATGTGTCTGTTTTTGTACCACTACCGTGCTGTTTAGGTTAGTGTAGCCTTGTGGCATAGTTTGAGGTCAAGTAGCATGATGCCTTCAGCTTTGTTCTTTTTCCTTAGGATTGTCTTAACTGTTTGGGCTCTTTTTAAAAATAGTTTCCATTCTAAATCTGTGAAGAATGTCAATGGCAGTTTAATAGGAAGAACACTGCATCAATAAATTACTTTTGCTGATATGGCCATTTTCACAATATTGATTCTTCCTATCCATGAGCATGGAATGTTTTTCCATTTGTTTGTGTCCTCTCTGATTTCCCCGAGCAGTAGTTTGTAGTTCTCCTTGAAGAGGTCCTTCATATTCTTTGTTAGCTGTATTTCTAGGTACTTTATTCTTTTTGTAACAATTGTGATTGGGAGTTCCATTCATGATTTGACTCTCTGCTTGCCTGCTGTTGATGTATAGGAATGCTAGCTTTTTTGCACATTGATTTTGTATCCTGAGACTTTGCTGAAGTTGCTTATCAACTTAAGAAGCTTTTGGGATGAGATTATCAGGTTTTCTAGACACAGGATCATGTCATCTGCAAACAAACATAGTCGGAATTCCTCTCTTCCTATCTGAATACTATTTCTTTCTTTCTTTTGCCTGATTGTCCTGGCCAGAACTTCCAATACTATGTTGGATAGGTGTGGTGAGAGACTGAAGGAGGATAGAGACATGACAACTTGTCTTATGCCAGTTTTCAAGGGAAATGCTTGAAAGACCCATCAGTATGCTGTCTTTAAGAGATCCATCTCACATGCAAAGACACACATAGGCTCAAAACAAAGGGATGAAGGATAATTTACCAAGCAGATGAAAAACAGAAAAAAGCAAAGGTCACAATCCTAGCTTCTGACAAAACAGACTTTAAACCAACAAAGATTAAAAAATGACAAGAGCATTACATAATGGTAAATGTTTCAATTCAACAAGAGCTAACTATCCTAAATATATAGTCACACCATAAAGGAGCACCCAGATTCATAGCAGTTCTTAGAGACCTATAAAGAGACTTAGACTCCCACACAATAATAGTGGAAGATTTTAACACTCCACTGACAGTATTAGACAGATCATTGAGACAGAAAATTAACAAAGACATTCAGTACCTGAACTCAGCTCTGGATCAAGTGGATCTGATAGATATCTACAGAACTCTCTACCCCCCAGCAACAAAATATACATTCTCATTGCCTCATGGCACTTACTCAAAAATTAATCACATAATCGGAAGTCAAACACTCCTCAGCAAACGCAAAAGGACTGAAATCATAACAAACAGTCTCTCAAATCACAATACAATCAAATTAGAATTTAAGATTAAGAAATTCACTCAAAACCACACAACTACATGGAAATTGAGCAACCTGCTCCTGAATGACTGCTGGGTAAATAATAAAAGTAAGGCAGAACTCAAGAAGTTCTTTGAAACTAATGAGAACAAAGAGACAATGTATCAGAATCTCTGAGGGCAGATAAAGGCAGTGTTAAGAGGGGAATTTATAGCACTAAATGCCCACATCAAAAAGTTAGATCTCAAGTTAACAACCTAACATCACAACCAAAAGAACTAGAAACCAAGAGCAAACAGACACCAAAGCTAGCAGAAGACAAGAAATAACTGAGATCAGAGCAGAACTGAAGGAGGAAAGAGACATGAAAATCCCTTCAAAAAATCAACAACTCCAGGACGTGGTTTTTTGAAAAAATTAATAAAATAGATAGACTGCTAACTAGACTAGTAAAGAAGAAAAGAGAGAAGAATCAGATAAATACAATCTAAAATTGTAAGGGGAATATCACCACTGACCCCACAAAAATACAAACAACCATCAGAGAATACTATAAACACCTCTATGCACATGAACTAGAAAATCTAGAAGAAATGGATAAATTCCTGGATAGGTACACCCTCCCAAGACTGAACTAGGAAGAAATTGAATCCCTGAATAGGCCAATAATGAGTCCTGAAATTGAGATAGTAATAAATAGCCTAACAACCAAAAAAAAGCCCAGGACCAGACAAATTTACAGCTTAATTCCAGAGGTACAAGGAAGAACTGGTACCATTTCTACTGAAATTATTCCAAAAAATTGAAAAGGAGGGTCTCCACCCTAACTCATTTTATGAGGCCAGCATCATTTTGATACCAAAACCTGGCAGAGATACAACAAAAAATGAAAACTTCAGGCCACTATCTCTGATGACTGTTGAGGCAAAAATCCTCAATGCTGGCAAATCAAATCCAGCAGCATATCAAAAGGCTTATCCACCATGATCAAGTTGGCTTCATCCCTGTGATGCAAGGTTGGTTCAACACGTGCAAATCAATAAATGTGGCTCATCACATGCAAAGAACTAAAGACAAAAATCACATAATTATTTCAATAGATGTAGAACAGGCCTTTGATAAAGTTCAACATCTCTTCATGTTAAAAATTCTCAATAAACTAGTTATTGAAGGAATATACCTCAAAATAATAAGAGCCATATATTACAATCTCCCAACCAATATCATACTGATATTGGGGTCTTGGTTCTTTATCCAGCTTGCCATTCTGTGTCTTTTAATTGGGACATCTAGACCATTTGCGTTTAAGGTTAGTATTGTTATGTGTGAATTTGATTCTGTCATCATGATGCTGGCTGGTTATTTTGCAGACTTGTTTATGTAGTTACTTCATAGTGTCACTGGTCTGTGTACTTCAGTGTGTTTTTGTAGTGGCTGCTAATGGTTTTTCCTTTCCATATTTAGTGCTTTCTTCAGGACCTGTTGCAAGGCAGGCCTGGTGGTGACAAATTCCCTCTGCATTTGTTTGTCTGAAAAGGATCTCATTTCTCCTTCACTTGTGAAACTTAGTTTGGCCAGATATGAAATTCTAGGTTGGAAATTCTTTTAAGAATGTTGAACATTGGCCCCCAGTCTCTTCTGGTTTTTAGGATTTCTGCTGAAAGGTATGCTGTTAGTCTGATGGGCTTCCCTTTGTAGGTGACTTGGTCTTTTTCCCTGGCTGCTCTTAACATTTTTTCTTTCATTTTGACCTTGGAGAATCTGACGATTATGTATGTGTCTTGGGGTTGATCTTTTTATGGAGTATCTTACTGGGGTTCTCTGAATTTCCTAAATTTGAATGTTAGCCTGTCTTGCTAGGTTGGGGAAGTTCTCCTAGATAATATCCTGAAGTATATTTTCTAACTTGGTGTCAGTCTCCCCATCTCTTTCAGGTACCCCAATCAGTCATAGGTTCGATCTTTTTATATAATCCCATATTTCTGGGAGGTTTTGTTCATGCCTTTTTGTTCTTTTTTCTCTAATCTTTTCTATCTGTCATTTTATTTTATTTTATTTTATTTGAGACAGAGTCTCACTCTGTCACCTAGGCTGGAGTGCAGTGGCACAATCTCGGCTCACTGCAACCTCCACCTCCTGGGTTCAAGTGATTCTCCTGCCTCAGCCTCCTGAGTAGCTAAGATTACAGGCACACACCACCACGCCCAGCTAATTTTTGTATTTTTAGTAGAGACAGGTTTCACCATGTTGGCCAGGCTGGTCTCAAACTCCTGACCTCCGGTGATCCACCCTTCTTGGCCTCCCAAAGTGCTGAGATTGCATGCATGAGCCACCATGCCCGGCCCTGTCTTATTTCAGAAAGATAGCCTTCAACCTCTGAGATCCTTTCACTGCCTGGTCTATTCTGCTATTGATATTTATGATTGCATTGTAAAGTTCTCATGTTGTGTTTTTCAGCTGTATCAGGTCAGTTACGTTTCTCTCTAAACTGACTATTCTGATTATCAGCTCCTGTATTGTTTTATTATGTTTCTTAGCTTCTTTGCATTGGGTTACAACATGCTCCTTTAGCTCAGCGAAGTTCGTTATTACCCACCTTCTGAAGCCTACTTCTATCAATTCAGCCATCTCAGCCTCTGCCCTGTTCTGTGCCCTTGCTGGTTATTTGGTGTTGTGGTCATTTGTAGGAGAAGAGGCACTCTGGCTTTTTGTGTTTTCAATGTTTTTGCATTGATTTTTTTCTCATTTTTAGGGGCTTATCTACCTTCAATCTTTGAGATTGCTGAGCTTTGAGTGGGGCTTTTGTGGGGTCATTTTTGTTGATGTTCTTGTCTGTTTGTTTGTTCTTAACAATCAGGCCACTAATTATTAGCAACCATAGGGCTGCTGCAGTTTGCTGGGGGTCCACCGCAGACCCTAATTGCCTCCATTTTTCCCATACCTGGAGGTATATCCAGTGAAGGCTGCAAAGCAGCAAAGATGGCAGCCTGCTCCTTCCTCTGTAAGCTCCATCCCAGGGTGGTACTGACCTGTTGCTGGCCCAAATGCACCTGTAGGAGGTGTCTGGAGACCCCTGTTAAGAGTTCTCACCCAGTCAGGAGGAACAGGATCAAGGACACACTTACAGGAGTAGTCTGGCTGCTTTTGGTAGAGCCAGTGTGCTCCATTGGTGAGGGACTCTTCCTAGTCCGGACCTCCTGGACTCTCCAGAGCCAGCAGGCTGGAAAAGCTGAGTCAACCAAACAACAGAGACACTGTCTGCCTCTCCCCACAGGAGTTCCATCCCAGGGAGAGATCAGGGTTCAGTGCATATAAGACTGGCTGGAGTGACTCCAGGCCCCCCACAAGGGGGCCCCGCCCAGTGAGGAAGAATGGATCAGGGTGCCACTTAAAGAAGCAGTCTGAGCATGATCTTGCAAAGCAGGTGTGTTGCAGTTAGGGGGAACCCTCCTCGTCCAGACCACCTGGACTCTCTACAGATGGCAGGCTGGAACGCTGACTTGACTGAACCACAGAAATGGCTGCCACCCTTTCCCCCAAGAACTGCTTCTGGTTTCAGGCAGACTCATCCTTCCCCCAGGAACTGCCTCTGGTTTCAGGCAGACTCAGCCTATTGCCCTTGGCTGGCTGGAATTCTAAGCCAGTGGGTCTTAACTTATGAGGTGCCATGAAACTGAGGCCTGCAGACCGACACTGCTTGGCTCCCTGGATTCAACCCCCTTCCTAGGGGAATGTACAGACAGATCTACTGCCTTGCCAGAATCCCGGCGCTGGAGTATATAAAACTTCTGGGTCTCTGTGCCTGAGCAGCTACTCTGCCAAGACTCCACACTGCTCTGTGTATCAGACCCAAAGCCCTGGAGACATGGGCTCACAAGGGGATCTCCCAATTTGTGGGTTGCAAAGATTCATGGGAGAAGCGTGGTTTCCTGGGCACGATAGCACACTCACCGCTTCCCTTGGCTGGGGATGGGGGTTCATTTGGCTCTGTGCCACTCCCATGTGGGCTGTCACCCCACCCTGCTTTTCTTTGTTCCCCATGGATCCAGTTGATTGCCTAGTCAGTCCCAATGTGAGAACCTGGATATTTCAGCTGAAGGTGCTGAGTTCACTCACTGCTTTCACTCCTCTCTGGGAGTGCTGCAGACTGCAGCTGCTTCTAATCAGCCATCTTGGCCCACATTCAGGTCTTTTTTCTATATCCTTTCCACCACTGTATGCCTTTTAATTGGAACACTGAGACCATTTACATTCAGGGAGGGAAGAAGGGAAGAAGGAAGGAAGGAACTCTTAAGTAGGATACCTAGCTCATTAATTTTCAATTTCTTTTCAGAATCAGTCAATACATTTTAGGTTATAAACTGCTGCTTTAGCAACATCCTAAAATGCTGCAATTTGTATGTTATGTTTTTGCCCAAGGCAGCCCAGTAGAGACTCAGCATTCAATGATTTTTTTGGGGGATGGTTACATAGGCACACTCTTCCTATCATGTACCAAAATTCCAGACCCCAGAAGGAAATGAGGTGCAGCATAAATCATATTGTTCGTATTAGCAGTCTAGGCACAATAAACTCCTCTTACCAATTAAGGAATGGTGGGGACACTGAAAACACCAAATACCTAAAACCAGCAATAGCTATCCTTGCAAGCAGACCCTTTTGAAGTTAACAACCTCAAACCAACTTTGTTAAATCCCTCTCAAATTTTTAGAGTAGGTTGATACTATGAAGAGATGGATCATGTAGTTCAGTAGGTGTGTGTTGAATTAATTAGATAGTGCCTGTGGGAAAATATAAGTTTCAAAATAGTTACTTTTAAGTGAACTTCCATAATATAATCCTATTCATGAGTTTGGATTGCCTGTAGTTAGTGAACAATACTGTTACTTTAAAAGGAGGCTGAACCTCTAAATGGTAGTCATAGTCTTTATTTGGCATAATAGGAAATTGAGTAATTTTTCAAAAAGGTAGCTCATTATCTGTAGCATCTATTACTATAAGTTAGCTATTATTTGTCCTCTTTGTTGCCTATGCTAAATTTCCTTCTCTATACAGGTTAATCTTTGAAATAAAAGTTTTGTAGGAATAAATTGTTATTTTTAACTTTATTCAGATTTGTAGAAAAATGCTACATCGCCACATGCTTATATTTCGACTGCCTAACTTACAGATGTTAGATGGAAGTCCTGTGAATTCAGATGATAGGGCAAAAGCTGAATTTCACCTCGCTGAACTACAAGCAAAGAAAAACTCGGTAATAATTATATTATTTACAATTTTCCTTTTGAAGCACATTAATGGTTAGTAAATGAACATTATATCTTTTGATTTAAATGTTTAAACCTATGGCGTTTTTGATAAGGATGATCTTAGTATCTATTTAGTGATTACTATCAAAGGCAGCTGGATTTGGTGAATAGAGCATGCGTGCTCACACACACACACACACACACACACACACACACACACATATATATGTAAGTCAGGGAACATCCTTTTCTTAATAGCATACTTCATACTCTGACATAAGGAAAGTTATTTAATATTTGTATGCTCAATATGTCAGATGATGCTAGAACATAGGAAACTATAACATATCACTTTCATAAATAGAAACTAACAATAAAACTATTTCCCTTTAGGCACACAGAAAGGGAAGGAAGGAATTCTGAACTCAACTCTCTGGATTGTGTAGTTTATCTAAGAAAGGAGATGTGTGCCTCTATCTGTGTGTTTTGTTAGGATA
The DNA here is from genome assembly GCF_000001405.40 of Homo sapiens. Classification (NCBI taxonomy): domain Eukaryota; kingdom Metazoa; phylum Chordata; class Mammalia; order Primates; family Hominidae; genus Homo; species Homo sapiens. The sequence continues at coordinate 60,053,698 of NC_000014.9, forward strand.
ATTGGGCTTTTTACTCAGGAGCCCTAAAATGTATCTGATCATGGTAGGAAAGAGATTAAAAAGGGAAGAAATAATAAAAGCATGTCATTTGAAAATTCTGTCTTTGACCACCTAGTTTCTTCATGACCATCTTCTAAAGACTAAATTTAACACAGAAAATCTATGGTTTTTGAACAGAGAAGTAACATTATTAGAATGCTGTGGTTTGAGAAAAAAAGAGGCTGGAGGGAGAAGGGAAACCAGCTCAGAGGCTTTTAGAATAATCCAAGAGAGATGTTATGAAGACCTGGACCACGGTAGAGAATATAAATGAATCTTTGATGTAAGTGAAAACCAGAAACCAAGGACATTAGAGTCCATGAACAGAGGTGACTTTAAAAACATTAAACTGAATAGGAAAGAGATAGGACTACCATACATACTCTCCTAACAGGCTTTCACTGAACTCACCAGATTAATTCCGGTGACACTCCCAATTGCAGAACATACTCAACTTTTGATACTTGTAGGCTCCTCTCTAGTCCACTTCTCCCTTCAGCAGTACATTCATATACTTATTAAGAGCTAACTGTATGTCAGTTCTTGTTATTTTAAATAAACACAGGGACTCTAAGTGCAAATTTTAAATTATTATTTCTATTTGTCTATGAAAACCAAATGGAATACTTTGGAAAGTCTGGATAAAGGGCACTCTCTCTCTCCCCACCCCTTCCAACGCCCTCCCCCATAGGTTCAAATTAGATGTGGGAGAAAAAACTAAAATATGAAGAAAATGATAAAAATGCAGAGAAAACATGTAAGGAAATTATTTTTAAAAGCTAGACAGATTATTGTGTTCAGATTTTTTCCACATGCCTTTAAATTCTTGCTATTTTAAAGAAACCAAAACTGGAAATTGTAGGCAAAATAAGGGTATCATGTCTCCAAAAACAACCAAATAAATAATACCAATCAAGGGACCCTTGCCTACAGAGCAGCTTTGGTCCTTCATCAAAAGATTGATGAATGCATGTACTTTTAAATATTTTATTTTTTTAAGATGAATATCAATTAGACAATGATTCCCTTACTTTTTTTTTTTTTAGACGAAGTCTTGCTCTGCTGCCCAGGCTGGAATGCAGTGGTATAATCTTGGCTCACTGTAACCTCTGCCTCCTGGGTTCAGTTGATTCTCCTGCCTCAGCATCCCGAGTAGCTGGGACTACAGGCATGTGCCATCATACCAGGCTAATTTTTGTATTTTTAGTAGATGAGGTTTTGCCATGTTGGCCAAGCTAGTCGTGAACTCCTAACCTTAGGCAATCCACCCGCCTTGGCCTCCCAAAGTGCTGGGATTACAGGCTTGAGCCATTGCACCCGGCCCCCTTACTTTTTTATTAACTCTTTTAAAATTAATCTTGACATTTTTTGATTAACCAAAGGGCTTCTATTATAGGTCAAAGTAGCTACAAAGACTTGTGATTTTAAAAGTTTTACAATGTTTAAAAAAGATTATTTAGTTTAGGCAAAGGAAATTGATTCATTCATGGACTATATCTACAAATTTTTTTCTAAAAACTATGGTTTCCAAAAAGAAATTTAGCCATTGATCTATATGATGTAACAAAACAAGTGCATCATCTAATGTCATCTACTCAAATCTTTGTCACAGGCCCCAGTCTTTCAAAAGAGAGCAAATGGTCAAATAAAATTTAGTTCAGTGACTTAAGATGATTTCTTTCCTTTTCCCTTTTTTATATTCCCGAAGCAAGTCACTTCTTGAAAAATGTATGCCACCTGTATTAGTTTCATATTGCTGCTATAACAAATTACCACAAATTTAGTGGCTTAAAATAACACATATTGTCTTACAGTTTTGAAGGTCAGGAGTCTGAAAACCGGTATTAAAGGACTAAATCAAAAATACTGGCAGGGGCCAGGCTTGGCGGCTTATGCCTATAATCCCAGCACTCTGGGAAGCTGAGGCAGGTGGATCACTTGAGCCCACGAGTTGGAGTGCAGCCTGGGGAACATGGCAAAACCTTGTCTCTATTTAAAAAAAAAAAAAAACAAAAAAAACTAGCCAGGCATGATGGCACATGCCTGTAGTCTCAGCTACTCAGGAGGCTAAGGTGGGAGAATCTCTTGAGCCTGGGAGGTGGTGGCTGCCGTGAGCCAAGATCGTGCCAATGCACTCCAGCCTGGGTGACAAAGCAAGACCCTGTCTTGGAAAAAAAAAAAAAAAGTATTGGCAGGGCTGCATTTTTTCTGGAAGCTCTAGGAAAGGATTTATTCTTTGCCATTACCAGCTTCTAGAGGCCATCCGCATTCTTTGGCTCATGGCTCTCATCCAGTAATGCCATCACTTAGACCTCTGCTTCCATGATCACTTCCCCTTCTCTCTGACCTTCTGCCTCCTTCTACCTCGAAAATCCAGGATAATTTCACCATCTCAAAATCCTTAATCACACCTGCAAAGTACTTTGCCATGTAAGGCAAGGTATTCACAGGTTTTGGGAATTAGGATGTAGATATCTTTAGGGGAGGGGCATTATTCTTCCTGCCATACCACATATGTGAGAGCTCCAGTGAAAGACCTATGAAAATTACCATATTAAAATTCATAAATTCTGTTTTAAGGTAATGCAGGCTAAATTGAAAAGACATAAAGTAACCACTTAGAACTTTGAAGATCCCAATTTTCATATAAAATTCTTTAAACATTGGTTTAATTAAGCATTTAATTTGGCATAACTCAAAATTCAACCAATAATGAATACTTTACTAAAGGGTTTGTTTGTTGGCTATTCTTTTCTATTTATCATATAGTGAACTCAGATTTTCCCCTTACAGTACTATAATGTCATCTTGAGTTATTCTAGATACATATTCTTGCCATTTAAATCAGTGCTATACATAGGAATTTAACTGTCTTTCAACTTAGTTATTCCGTATGTAAATACTTTATTAAATATTATTTTTTATCTATATATGGTTAGTAAAATAAAGGGGGTATTTCAAATCTTTATTTTAGAGAAATTTTCTTTTAGATTCAACACCAATTATTTTCAGGACTAGAACAAAATCAAGCCATTATTTCTTTTAACTAGCTGTTCAGGAGACTCAAGTACAGAAAACTTCTGAAGTTTATCAGTCAAATGTGTTTGTCTTTGTCTTAGTTGCTACTGGCCTTTCTTTTTAACAGCAAATAAGGAGGAAATAAATGAAATCTAAAGTTCTTTTAAACCAAAACATTTTGGGGGTTTAGTTTCAGAAGGAAATTTGACAGCATTCCAGATTAGTGATGGGAAGAAACTCCCATAAAGGAATTCGTTAGGGAATTTAGGACTGAGCAGCTTTAGTAAAAGGACCAATACCTTAGCATTCATTATAAAGCAGCATTCTTGGTAACACTTACTGAAGTATGAGGTTAAATAGGTAATTTTAGATAAACAGAAAAGGCCTCCATCTCTAAATAAGCTGAATCATATGTTCAGAATTCACACATATAAACAAGGTCAGTCTTAACAACAGCAGAGAAGGCATAAATTTCTAGGGGAAGCAAGAGTCCCCTTCCTAAAATATTTTTCTCCTCTATTTGCTGATTCCTGAAATTCTTACAAAAGCCCCTTAATCCTCAGCAGGTGTAAAATGTAAATACTATTTAGAGAGTTTTACTACATTCACTAAAATTGATTATTATAAGATGCTTTTCTTAACTCCCATTTTATTTACTGTTTGTTCTGAAAACTAATTAACTGCAAGTCATCTGATTAGGTAATGTGAAGAATACAAAGATTTTGAGAAATAACTTTTACCTCCCAGAAATTCTATTCACACACAAAAAAAGAAAAAGCATTACAATGGGGAAGTTTTAATTCTCATTTTCTTATTTCCATACTTACCTTGTTGAGACCCTTTGGAAAGGGCGAGTTGCCATTAAGCACTAGATTCTAGTGATGGTACAATGCAGTCTGAAAAAAAAAAAAAAAAGAACACAAGGTTCTGAGGGAGGTTAACTCCCCAAAAAGCTCTGCTGATTTTACAGGTTTTACCTAGTACCAATTCTGAGTTTAGGCAAGCAGGTAGCTCCTGACTAAAAAGAATGTTGATTGTCTACTCAGACTTGTTATAAGGATTAAGCCTATTGATCTGAGTTTTGGAGATGAGATGTTATTAACTGTTTTATTTTATTATGTAGCTTATTCCTGTTACCCACTCTCCTATGGATGGCAGATCATTTGGCCAAGTGAAAACTCCTCCCATAGAGATAACAAATGTACTTCTGCCTAGTGGATTCAGCCATTACTTGGGATCTGACGTCACTTTAACTCCTGAAGTTGAAGGTATTTTGACAATTTCAGATAGAATGTAAAAGAATCACTTAATTTGAAATAAAAATATCACTTTAATTTCTAATAGTACTTAAAATTCCTTGTTTTTAACTTACATTTCCTAAAATTGCATGTTTGCTCAAGTTTCCTATGGCCATTTTGATTTCAGAGATTATAGTTTTATTATTTTTAGTTTTATTATAGCTTTTTTTGTACTCAGCTACTAGCATGTTGTGACTAAACATTTGCTCACTTGCAATGTGAACTTTGTGATACTTGAACAATTATTTCCTGACATATCTTTTCAAAGCTTTTATTTCATTTCATGGATGTCAGAGCAAACAACTACTAAAACCAGTTCATTAGTGCATCCTGCTAAAAGTGGAAATCAGAGATGTAAAAGCATAACAGAATCCCGGGGTACAAAGGATATTCTGCAGAGATATCTCACTTTCCCCTTGAAATCATAAGAAAATATTCATGAAGCAAATACTAGAGAAGGGCTTCAAGAGGTAGAGTTTTAAAAGAGGGAGTGTATTAAAAGAACAAGCATGGAAGTGGTTTATTCTGCTATATAAATTTTAGTTCAAGTTTAGAATAAGCCTGTTCCCTAATTCCACATCTTTTCTGGTTATCATTTTGGCAAAACTGGGGGTAAGTACTCCTTCTCTGAGGGCTCACCTCTTCCAGTCCTTCTGACTTCCCATTTGTCCTCAGACCACTCTTAGACAATAAAACTGAACATCACAATAATTATAAAATGATCTAAGAGCCTCCTATAAAAAAAAGTAGACTGTTCCATGTGATTAAAGTTTTTTAAAGAAACCCACTGAAAAACAAACCAGCATAATTTACTCCATTAAGATGTTATATTTTCTCATTTTTCATACTTATATGGCATTATGACTTCCAGGTTTTAATAATAATGAAGATTGTCATGCTTTTGTCTACAACTGTCAGTAAAATTGGGCATACCAAATTGTTATTACCTCCTTAACAGAACAAAGTCATCTTCAGGAATATCATTATCTTTTTATATTTTTTTATTAGTTTAACCCTGGATTCATCTTCATAACTTCCTTCTCAGATACTAACTTCCTTCTCAGGTAAAAGCATACCTTTTTTTATTGCATTTCACTTTATTGCATTTCACAGATATTGAGTTTTTTACAAATTGTAGGTTTGTGACAACCCTGCATCAAGCAAGTCTATTGGTGCCATGTTTCCAACAACATGTGCTCACTTTGTGTCTTTATCACATTTTGGTAATTCTCTATTTCAAACTTTTTCATTATTATTATATTTGTTATGGTGATCTGTGATCAGTAATCTTTTTAAGTCAATTAATAACCCTACAATGACTTCTAAGGAAGGAAGAATCTCAGATCTCTCACTTTAAATCAAAAGCTAGAAATGATTAAGCTTAGTGAGGAAGCCATGCTGAAAGCCAAGATAGGCTAAAGGTAGGCCTCTTGTATCAAATAGATAGCCAAGTTGTGAATGCAAAGGAAAAATTCTTGAAGGAAATTAAAAATGCGACTCCAAGGAACACATGGATAAGAAATTGAAACAATCTTATTGCTGATATGGATAAAGTGGTCCGGATAGGATATCAACCAGCCACAACATTCCCTTAAGCCAAAGCCTAATCCAGAGACCCTAACTGTCTTCAAGTCTATGAAGGCTGAAAGTGGTGAGAAAGCTGCAGAAGAGAAGTTTGAAGCTAGCAAAGACTGCTTTATGAGGTTTAAGGAAAGAATCACGAACTATTATATCAGGCAACATAAAAGTGTAAGGTGAAGCAGCAAGTGCTGATGTAGAAGCTGCTGCAAGTTATCCAGAAGATCTAGCTAGGATCATTGATGAAAGTCGCTACACTAAAAAAGAGATTTTCAATGTAGATGCAACAGCCTTATATCAGAAGAAGATGCCATCTAGGACCTTCATAGCTAGAGAGGAGAAGTCAATGACTGGCTTCAAAGCTTCAAAGGACAGTCTGACTCTCTTGTTAGGGGCTAGTGCAGCTGGTGACTTTAAGTTGAATACATTGCTCAACTTAAAGAAACCATTGTTCAACCATTGTAAAACTCCTAGGGCTCTTAAGAATTATGCTAAATCTACTTTGTCTATGCTCTATCAGTCTATGCTCTATCAATGTACAAAGCTTGGATAACAGCACATCTGTTTACAGCATAGTTTACTAAGTATTTTAGCTGACTGTTGAGACCCAGTGCTGAGAAACAGATTGCTTTCCAAAGACTACTGCTCACTGACAATGCACCTAGTCACCTAATAACTCTGATGGAGAAGTACAAGGAGATGAATGTTGTTTTCATGCCTGCTAACACAACATCCATGCTGTGGCTGATGGATCAAGGAGTAACTTCAAGTATTATGATTTAAGAAATATATTTTGTAAGGCTCTAACTACCATAGACAGTGATTCCTAACCGGGCGCGATGGCTCACGCTTGTAATCCCAGCACTTTGGGAGGCTGAGGTGGGCAGATCACGAGGTCAGGAGATCGAGACCATCCTGGCTAACACGGTGAAACCCCGTCTCTACTAAAAATACAAAAAAATTAGCTGGGCATGGTGGCGGGCGCCTGTAGTCCCAGCTACTCGGGAGGCTGAGTCAAGAGAATGGCATGAACCTGGGAGGCGGAGCTTGCAGTGAACCGAGATCGCGCCACTGCTCTCCAGCCTGGGTGACAGAGCAAGACTCCATCTCAAAAAATAAAATAAAATAAAATTAGTGATTCCTCTGAGGGATATGGGCAAAGTAAATTGAAGACCTTCTGGAAAGGATTCACCATTCTAGACGCCATTAAAAACATTTGTAATTCATCAGAGGAGGTCAAAATAGCAACCCTAATGGGAGTTTGGATGACTTTGAGGGGTTCAGGACTTCAGTGAAGGAAGTAACTGCAGATGTGTGGAAACAGCAAGAGAACTAGAAGTGGAGCCTGAAGATGTGACTGAATTGCTGCAATCTCATGATCAAACTTGAATGGATGAGGAGTTGCTTCTTATGGAGGAGCAAAGAAAGTGGTTTCTTGAGATGAAATTTACTCCTGGTGAAATGCTGTGAACACTGTTGAAATGACAACAAAGGATTTAGAATATTACAAACTTAGTTGATAGAGCAGTGGCAGAGTTTGAGAGGACTGACTCCAATTTTGAAAGAACTACTGTGGGGAAAGTGCTATCAAACATCATGTTGTACACAGAAATCTTTCATGAAAGGAAGAGTTGATCTATGCAGCAAACTCCATTGTTGTCTTATGTTAAGAAATTGCCACAGCCACCCCGGCCTTCAGCAGCCACCATCCTGACTGGTCAGCAGCCAACAACACTGAGACAAGACCCTCCAACAGCAAAAAGATTACAACTCGCTGAACATTCACATGATCATTAGCATTTTTTAGCAATAAAGTATTTTTAAATTAAGGTATGTACATTGTTTTTTTAAACATAATGCTACTGCACACTTAATAGACTACACTATAGTTGTAAACATAACTTTTATATGTCCTGGGAAACCAAAAAATGTGTGTGACTCACTTTATTGCAATGGTCTGGGACCACACCCACAATATTTCAAGGTATGCCTGTTAGTTTCTTCAAGATTTGTTATGCGCTGAAAAAGTCCTACAATCTCTTTCCTATTTTTTGACTGTGCTGCCCCACCTTTTAAAAGTATAATCACTTTATCTGTACATTTATTACAGCATGCAGGTTTGGATATTTATATGTTTAAAACATTATCTAGGAAAAATCAAACTGATTCACTAGCTCACAGAAATTTAAGCCACATCAAGTGCTAAAAATACATTATAATTCTATATTTTTATTTGAAATTTTAAATTCACTTTATGAAACATGTATTGCATACATTCCGCTGAAGGACAACCAAACTATATTGCTTAATGCTTATGTTAATTAATGTTTCTCATTGTTTCATAATTTTAATTTTTCAAATTTCTAATTTCTAATTTCAGACAAAAAAAACAAGAATGCTGGGATTCTGACAAATAATCCTCGGAGCATCCATGCAGAAATAGCTTTTCGGCAACTCAGAGGGATAAGTATCTCTCCATCTCTTTTATCACATCAGAATATTGCATCTCCTACTGCACAAATATACCAGAGCAACCAAGATAAGAGAAGGTAAAGCTATTTTCTCTGTGTTTTAATATCATTTCTCATCATTAAAAAAGTACTCTCCATATTTGCTAGTCATGTATAACAGGAAATATTGTTATGTACTATTATATATTTACTCTGGGAACTAGAAAAAACTGTCAGATAGCATAAGACTTCTTAATTCCCACGTTCACCAAACCTTTCCCAAAGTCCAGTGTATTTACATAGTAATTCAAAAAGGCTGAGAAATGGCTATCAAGGTCAAATAATTCAGAGTACTAGTGCTCACTAGTGAGGGAACAATGAAATAGCTACATGGGAACTACTTTAATTGTATCCTCTACCAACTCACTCTACTCACTGAATTTGCAAAGCAGTTCACTTATACTGTAAACAGCAGATAAATTCAACTTTCTGAAACCGTGAAGGCTAAGAATTTTGTAAATTCTTCCGAATTTTCTTTAAAATTCCTACTTGCCTCCTTCTCCAGTCTGAATCTAGCCCTAGAGCCTAGCTCAAAGCCTAAGAACATTGCTAGTTCTCATTAAGAATACACTCTTCTGCTCAACACTTGACTTCTTAGATTCCCAAGTATTACCTGTCCCCCATCTTCCTGGCATCCCTGCTCCTGCTCATCTGTTAAAATGACCTACCTCAGCAGCAGATCTAGCTTAGGCTTGGCTCTTGCTGCACTGACTCCTCCTGCTTTAATCAGCCATGTCCCACTGAGTCCACAGTATTTTTTTTTTTTTTGAGACAGAGTTTCACTCTTGTTGCCCAGGTTAGAGTACAGTGGCACAATCTTGGCTCACTGCAACCTCCACCTCTTGGGTTCAAGCAATTCTCCTGCCTCAGCCTCTCGAGTAGCTGGGATTACTACGGGCATGCGCCACCATGCCCGGCCAATTTTTTTATTTTTAGTAAAGGCAGGGTTTCACCATGTTGGCCAGGCTGGTCTTGAACTCCTGACCTCAGGTGATCCACCTGCCTCAGCCTCCCAAAGTGCTCGGATTACAGGTGTGAGCCACCAATGGGATAATTTTGTCTTTTTGAAATTGCGCACATCTAAAATACAGAAATTATTTATTGCAGAATTACCTTAAGTTAGCTGATCCATTACAAAATTAAGTCACCACTATTTGACTAATTAAATCTTATTTCTTACAGAATTTTTGGGAGCAACTTTCCAAGATCAAATCGAATGTAACTGCCTAAAGAGAAATGAGCATACACCAAGAAACTCACCTGTTTAGTAGTTGTACAAAAACTAGCGGACAGTGGTCAGTTAAAAAAAAAAAAAAAAGATAATCATGTTACTTAAGTTACTGAAGCACTTCAGTTCCATATGAAGATAATCTATTACCCTTCATGAACTTGATTTAATATCACCTCTCTTAAACTTTCTTTATGGTTATCTTTAGTTATTTGTTTGAATTTCTATATCATAAAAATCATCAACTATTACATCAGACTACAATTTGAAAAGACAAAAGTGACATGAAACAAAGTCCAGAGAACTGAATGCTTAGTTCTAGTATTAGAAACATTTAGTCATGAAATGTCATTATGAAAAGTCATAGGAAGATATTGAGAAAAGATAACTTTAGGAAATAGGCATACTTTCATTTGTAGAGTATCTATTCATTTGAGATTACACAAAACTACAGCACATTTCTTACCAAACACAACTATTACTAAAGCAAGATGAGTTTTGCTAGTTGAACTACAGATTGGTTTTTAGGACTGTATTTTTTTAAAAAATACCCTCAAACCAGATCGGCCCTCAAAATTGTTTAGAGATGCAAATTGTGGGCATCAATAGTAGTTTCTAAATGTGGCTAACCGTGGGTGCAACCAGTCCTTCATGCTCTAAGAATAAAAAAAGCGTCCGATTTCAAATACAAATCATTTAATTACACCTACAGTGATACAAGTTTACAAGTAGTTTCAGGCTGAAGAGAACATGTATTCAAACTGAGTGGACACATTTAAAAATATGACCTTCAATAATTATACTTCACTGAACTTTTCTAAACTATTACATTGCATAGTACTAGGACGTATCACAGATTAATCAAATGTGGTTATGAATTTGCTTGTTACAGTTACTAAAATTGATAACCAAATTGCCAATCATATTTTGATATAAATGAGCTCCATCATTCATGAAGTATTCTATTCAAAATTTTAAAGTTATTGGCTCAACAGTACACATAGTTTCATAATATTTTATACTTTCCTTACACGAAAATAAATTATTTTAACTAAAATATGTAGACTTTATAATCTGTCTGGAAATAGTTTTAAAGGTACTTTGGAAATGATATAATTCCAATGTCTATGCAACAATTTTGTATTTTTCTTTTTAAATGCTGTATGTCTTTACTTTAATCATGTAATATTTAAAAGTTCAAACCTAATTACAGATTGATTTTGCTCTTTGTAATGTGTGGTTTTTAAACAACTATTACATTTAGGTGGAAATAGGATCTTTTGTTTAAAAACAACTATGCAGTTCTTAAGATGTCCAGAAGATGTCTTTGTTGCCCTTTAGTTTTGACAACTGCTTTCATTATAGTGTTGTGACAGTCTACTCTTCACTATTTATTACTAAATTGGCATCATCTTCTTTTTTTCTTTTATGATTATGTATAAATTAAATGCTGAATATATGTTACTTTTATAATAAAAAGTGTCTTAAAATAACAAAGTGGGAAAATAAATGTAATAGGTTTCACTGGAGAAAAATGTTCAGAATAGAAATATATAAAGCAGAAAAAACATAACTTACACTGTATTCACTTAGCATTTTGGCATATTTTCTTTTAGCCATTTTTCCTATGGACTTTTAATACATTTGAGATCTTCATGTGATTTTTATGTACACATTGTTAAATTTTGAGCTATTTATAATTCTTAAAAATTGTTAATTAAATGTCATCTGAGCCGGGCGCAGTGGCTCACATCTGTAATCCCAGCACTTTGGGAGGCCAAGGCAGGCAGATCACAAGGTCAGAAGTTCGAGACCAGCCTGGCCAATATGGTGAAACCCCATCTCTACTAAAAATACAAAAATTAGCCAGGCGTGGTGGTGTGCTCCTGTAGTCCCAGCTACTAGGGAGGCTGAGGCAGACAAATTGAGCAAGACTCCATCTCAAAAAAAAATTTTTTTTTCATCTAAATTTCTGAGTAGCTGGAATTACACCACCACGCCAGGTGCAGTGGTTCACGCCTGTAATCCCAGAACTTTAGGCGGCCAAGGTGGGCAGATCACCTGAGGTCAGGAGTTCAAGACCAGCCTGGCCAACAAGGCAAAGCCCCATCCCTACTAAAAATACAAAAATTAACTGGGAATGGTGGCGTACACCTGTAATCTCAGCTACTCAGGAGGCTAAGGCAGGAGAATCGCTTGAACCAGGGAGGCAGAGGTTGCAGTGAGCTGAGATGGCACCACTGCACTCCAGCCTGGGTGACAGAGTGAGACTCCCTCTCAAAAAAAAAAAAAAAAAAACTGTAAAAGAGAGTAAACTATTTATTCATCAAGGTATTTCACTTAGATAAAATGTATAATTTATCCAGTAAAGTTATTATGTCTTTGCTCCCAGCAAATGTCTTGATTTATTTTGCAAGCAAATGTATGATTATATAACTTGTTTTCATTAAAGACAATTCCACAAACAACCTGGTAAGCTAGAAATTAAGGCACTTTATAGATTAGAAGCCTCCAAAGCTGAACCGAATACAGGCAGTGTGAAATTAGTCTGATTTCTATATATAAAATTAACTGCGATTAATTGTCCAATACAAACTTTACTATTTACTTCCATTTTTAAAAAAATTTTTGTAGAGATGGAGTCTCACTATATTGCCCAGGCTGGTCTCAAACTCCTGGCTTCATGTAATCCTCCTGCCTCGGCTCCCGCAACGTGCTGGGATTATAGGCATGAGCCACCATGCCTGGCCATTTACTTCTAATTTTTCTAGTCTTAGATTTTTCTGACTATTGACACAAAATTAACTGATTGTGAATATATTTTTGCCTAGAATATCTAGTGTGCACTATGTATGTGTGTTTGCAGGCACTCCTGACTAGTTTACAAATAACCCTTATATTTAAGTAACATGCCATTTCACTCTTCATAAGCTATCTTACATTATGAAAAGTGTTTAATGTTTTAAAACATTAGATCTCACTCTTAGTCATGCTCTAGGCTCTTGGCTTCAATTAAATATTACTTACATAAAGGGAGGTAAGATTATTATAATATTCTATTAGTAGAAGCAAGCACTTACGGCCAAATTCCTTTGGTTATTCAGTGAAGCTAACCAAATCATTTTGGTTATGGGCTAGAAACCGGCTGGTTTTTCTGATGCCTTACTATAAAACTTAGAGCTTCTGGACCACCTGCAAGTGCTAACTATGTGTTCATTTTTCTACATTTTCCTCCCTTCTCCATTATTGAAGTATTTTTGAAGAAAAACCTACGCTGAACTGCAATTTAAATTCTCAGTTGCCTTTTAGAACTAGGTCAGTAAGAAATACCACAGCTATTTTATTAGTAATATTATTTCTGCAAGTTTTTACTTTACAAATATGTAAATTATACCATTCTACTGTTACTGTTTTTCTTTCCATTGTGAATAAAATTGTTTTGTAAACTACTCAAAAGACATTTCTCAGACTTAATTTACGCATTTTTATCTTAAGATTTTTGTTTTGGTAATGATTTTTCCTTAAAATTAAGCTAAAATGAATGATTTAATAGCAAAGACATACAATGTTGTAATATAAAAATAGAATAGCACATTCAAAGGAACTTAGAAGTAGCTTTGAAGGTATTAGTTAGCTGAAGTCAAATTATTTATCTTTTATATTTTATTAAGCACTACCTTAACTATATGCTCTTTTAGGTAAATCAAAAAGTCAGTTTATCAACATTGTCATTTTCCATATAAGATTCCAAAGATTCTGAAATGCTAAATTTTAAATTAGAACAGATTTTTTCTAATATCATTAAAAATAACAGTATTTCTATATGCTCTAAATAAAAATCCATTGAGATAACATAGTTTGTTTTTTCAAAATAGTTACATTTTGATCAAACATTAAAATAGAAAGGGATGCGAAGAATTTTTAACAAATAGCATTCTATATTTTCATTTGGTTTTTAATTTTATAATTGTAATTAACTTCTAAATGTTTAAAAATATTTTATACCAGCAGTTAATTTTAAACATTATAAATAGGAAAAGAATTAGTGATAATCTTACTATTTTTGTAAACCACAAAAATAACAATGACTATAGTTTAAATAGAAAAAAGATATGGTGATATGATTTTTGTTTGTTTCCAGTGGGGTTGGAGTGATTTAAAAGCTATAGCTTTTAATCAAGAGCTGCACGTTTTTCTTCTTGCTTATTGTAGAACATTATTTTTTCTAGAAAATGTTTTCAATAATTTTAGTGGTTTGGCTCTACTATTTGTTCCATCTTTAATTATAGCATAGCTCTTCCTCTCCCTTCCCTCTCAGAATGTTTTACAAGTGTGTCTCTCAAAGAACAACCAAAAAAGACTAATCAGTAAAATATATATATATATATATATAAAACATTTTAAAGTTTCTAATTATTTCTTATTCCCCTATCAATTTGGTTTAAAACAGGTATTTATAAACACTGGTAGCCTACTTTCCTAAGGCCTTTGATTTTATATGAAGTGCTTTAAAAGAGTTCAATCAACCTTAATGGTGCATTTTTAGTTAAGGAAATAGAATGGGGGTAAGTCAATTTGAGCTCCCAGACAAACAAGTGTCTTCAGAAAGAATCAGCCATAAATGGGTTTAGAAATCAGAGTACGAGTAAAATGCAGTGAGCAGAGCACTCAGGGAAACCAGATACAATGGAAAGAGTAAAATACTGCAGAGCTTTTTAAGGTTCATACAATTGGAACAATGGACTTGATCCAGCCATCTATGTTAAACTGTTAAAAGATAGGTGAAAAGCAAGCTGGAATTCTATAAAGAGTGTTGAGGAACAGTAGAATGAGGAGCTTTAAATCTAAAGAGAATGAATACAGTCATTCAACAGGATGGCAATGAAGTCAAAATTGGCATATTTCCCTGATTACCTTGTGAAGGACTCTGTTCTGTTTTAGGTATTAAGCCGTGATTAGCAACAAAGCAGTATTTAAACTGCCACAATTGGAGTTTTTAAACAGCATAGTATAAATATGTGAATTTTACAAACATACACATATATACATGGAAGTAGAAATACATGTAGATCTCATATAGTTGTAACAACTTAATATTCTAGTCTATAGCAATCAGTACAGTATATCAAACTTCCTGTCATTTAGGAAAAAAAAGGCTAATTTAGGTTTAGTGGCAAAGGTGCAAATGTACAAATAGATAAAATTGTTTAATTTTTTAATTAGCTGTAATCAATCAGGCTTATTTTATACATTTTGGGGAAATTGTTCTTAAATGTATTGATGTATTTTCCTGCTTTAACAAACAGAATACATTAAACAAAATTTTATTTTCAATGATTTATAGTGCTTCAGGGTCATAGTGTGCATGATTTACCATTTTAGAGAAATGCAGCTGAGGAAAAGTGTTTAGAATGTGTTTTGAACTTCTGCTATAACCTTGGCAGTTGCTTAAGGCCAAATTCCCTTATATGTACTTTTTTTGTGTGTCCCTTCAATTATTATGATGCTGAAATAACTTTGCTAGTTAGTTGAAGATTCCAATATTAATGGAGCCATTACTATATTGTTAAATTATGCTTTGAATGAAGATATGATTATATTTATGGAAACATGCTAAAGTCTATAAATGGAAACAATACAATAAAACTAAAGCCCAAACATGTGTTAATGCTAACACATTGGGCCGTTGTTAACTCACAAGAAGTATAACTATGAGAATGTCAGTCACATAATTGTCATCCTTTAACAGTTCAATTATGGGCCGGGCGCCATGGCTCAGGCCTGTAATCCCAGCACTTCAGGAGGCCAAGGCGGGCAGATCACTTGAGGAGTTCAAGACTAGCCTGGCCAACATGGCAAAACCCCATCTCTACTAAAAATACAAAAATTAGCCAGGTGTGGTGGTGGGCAGGCACCTGTCATCCCAGCTACTCAGGAGGCTGGGGCAGGAGAATAGCTTGAACTCAGGAGGTGGAGGTTGCAGTGAGCCGAGATCGAGCCACTGCACTCCAGCCTGGGCGAGACAGAGAAAGATTCCATCACCAAAAAAAAGATAAAATAAAGAATGAAAAAGTCTTCAGGAACATGTCACATAACCTCAATGAAGGAGGCCAGACATAAGAAAAACTAGAGCCAGAAATATAATCAAGTGCACTTTTTCTGAAATACAATTTGCTAGATAGCCTCCACTTGCCCTTCCAGATCTATTCTCTACCTTTCTCCTCCTGCTCTGTGACTCTAAAGACTCACCTTTAAGGACAACATCACTTAGAGTCATTTGTCCCTCTAGCTGGCAGTTGGCTGTAGCCAATCAAGACACTAGAAGTAGATCAAAGAGTAAAAGAGTGAGATTTGGGCTTTAGTAGCAGCTGCATTCTACAAGAACTACAGCTTCTATTGGGCTTTCCTAAAGTATCTGGGTTCTGGTGAACTCTCTTTCCCTTACACCTTCAGGCCTACAGGCATTGCAAGTTCAGATGCTTCACCTGCCAGGGCACGGTGGCTCACACCTGTAATCCCAGCACTTTAGGAGGCCAAGGAAGGCAGATCACTTGAGACCAGGCGTTTGAGAACGGCCTGGCAAACATGAAACCCCATCTCTACTAAAAATACAAAAATTAGCCAGGTGACAGAATGAGACTCTCTCTCAAAAAATAAAAAATAAAATGCTTCACTAATCCTGGTCTGTTTCCTTAATTCTATCCACACTTCTGAAGTGGTCCCTTCACTAAACTCCTCAATGGCCCCATTTGACTCTGCCACTTGTTTCCTGCTGATACCCTAGTACATACAACGCCTATGTGACACAAATGTATAATACTGGGGAATTATATTTTAAATTAAAATGGAAAAACTAGCAATGTAAAACTGAAATATCTAATTGTTTTCTTTTATAATCCATTAGTCTTCTGGTTTAAGCCTAGACACCTGACACCTCGTTTACAGCAAGATGTTAATGTCAGGTTAGAGTTGTGACGTGCAACATGGAAACAGACTTGAATTCTGGGAGCTATATTTTTAGTTTCATAAAAAAGCAAAGCAAAACAAAACAACTGGGATTGAGAGAGTTCTAGTTTATCGTTGCTTAGATAGCACTCCCTATACCTGGCTATGGGCCAAGAAGATTTATTCTGAACAAAGAGAAAAGTGGGATTAGAACACCGGAGGTCTTTGGTCCCATTAAGAATCATACCCCACAAATAAATAGAGATAGCTGGATCATATAACTGTGCTCTTCTCAATTGACGTTAAAAATGCCACAAATAATTTAACATTTAAACACATTTTTTTTCCTGTAACTTTCACAGAACTTCTTGGCTGTATCTTTAACCTACTAATCAAAAGAATTTCCTCAAGTTCACATTTATAGATGTTTTTAATGAACATAATTTTCTTCTGTATTCAATAAACATGTAAAGAATATTGATGACTATGGAAAACACCAAAGTAATAATTGCTGTGGTTAAGAATCATCTATGGATACTAAAATTAGTAGATGACAGTATAAACAGGGTATTTGCATGGTCTCTAAGAATTTCCCTACAAGATACTTTTTAATTACAAATAGAAAAAAATATTAACTGTGCAGTGGAAAAAACTGATAAACACCTTAACCAAGAGATCAAATTTAATATCACCAAAAAATAAGATATATCAATATCCTGATATGATGCACTGATAAGGGCACAAAATCATTCTGTAGTATTCCTGCCAAAAATACCACATGATCATGAGAATGAGAATGATCTGATCATGAGAAAATATCAGACAAACCCAAACTAAGGGACATTCCACAATATAATCGGCCAATAAGTCTGGCCAAAAGGAGTCTAAAAAGATCAAGGGCATTGCATGATAAGGACTGAGGAAGTCATATTGGAGGAATCTAAGAAACATGATAACTAAGTATAATATACAAGATCTTGGATTGGATCTTGAACCAAAAAAAGGGCATTAGTGGGAAAACTGTTGAAATTCAAATAAAGTCCATAGATTAGTTAACAGTATAACTGTTAATTGCTAAGTTTCAATCATTGCTATATAAAATGTTAACATTAGGAAAAGCTGGGTGAGGAAATCACCATATTTAAAACTTTTCTGCATGTTCAAAATTATTTCTTTAAAAACAAGAATTTAAATTTTGAAATATAAATTATTGACAATGATCCTGATTCAAGGGTTATTTTACTGGTGTAGAAGCAAAAGTATAAGGGAGTGAGCCCAACCACCATTTTATTTCACACATTCTTCACAAATTCTGGAAAGTCTTCAGAATCTTCCATATTTTATTTTGATATCACAATCTAAAAGTAATATAAATTAGTTTACTTTAAAAATATACATTCCTTTTATAAGTAAGAATTTAAACTCATTTTGAAGCCATCATATCTTGAAAATAACTAAGTGGGAATTTTTGTAAGAAAACCACTTTATTCAGGCAATTAGAATGAGTGTAACAATACGATAAAAACTGTATAATTATTAAATAAAATATGTATTATATTAGGATCATTTTTGTTCCAAATTTTTACTAGTTGAACTAAATTTTTATTAGTTGAACTAAAAATTTACAAATTAGTCCCAAAACACAAAATAAACTGTTTTATCTAGAAAGATGGTAAATTACTTAGAGATAGTCAAAAGAAGTAGAAATTGTGGAGGAGACAGCCAATTGCCTCCCGGGCCTGTTCTGTCATTCTCCCTTAGTAAAAGAACCCTGATTATTAGCTAGGAATAGTGCTTCTCTTGCAGTCAAATGTGGCCCTTTGTTTTGGCAAATGACTTATATGTGGTAGTGTGGTATGGAAACTTACTGGAAGTCTTCTTAAAAAGGAAAGGAAGAAAAATTTCCCTTCCATTCATACTGTAGCTTGGGAAAAGATTATGATGGAGGAAGTCTGGCTGGACCAGGAGGAAAAAGACCTTAAAGATGACAGCATAATAAATGGGACTGTCCCACTAGCCCATAGAACTGCCATTCTGACCCTCGAATAATTAACTTATACGGCAAGAAGTAAGTTTATATCGGTTAAACCACTGTTATTATGGTTTCTCTGTTACAAGAAGTACAACCTAATCCTAACTGATACAGGAATGTTCCCAGAAAAGAGATGTGAAGGACTTTTGTACTAAAATTATAGCAGAAAGATACAACTTAACGAGAAATGAAAAAGCAAAGAACAAAAGTAGATTTTATGGAAGAGCATAAATGGGATAATGGCAAAATGAAAGCAGCAATTGGTTCTGAATGAGTCATAAAAGAAAGTCACTGAAAGTGGTTTAATGTCAGTATAAAAAGGAGGTCATGAAAGAATAAACTCTAGAATTTGAAGCTGTTAAATACATTAAGATGAAAAAGAAATCATACTTAAATTCACCAATTATTAGCATCTTAGAGAAAATAATTGTACCTCAAAATATCTTGGCTAAAAATTATTAGCGGAGAGTATCACTCAGTGGCTTTTGTTGCAAGCAAAAGAACATTACTCTGGATATAGCTCATAGGATAGTTCACAGAACAGAAAGGCTGAAAAACCAGGCTCATAGAATGAGAACAAGCGGAGTATAGTGGTCAATACCCCAGACAGTATCATGTCACAGGATCACCTTAATTATGGTGCCAGTGCCATGCTGCTGCCACAGGCATGGGTGCCACTAGATGAGTGCAATAAGGCCTTGATGTTTCTGTTGCCATCAAAATGAATTCTAAATATTCCTGCTTCTTTGCTTCCCATGTTCTACACTGAAAGGCCCAGGAAGAAGATAGCTAAACTTAGGTTGCCCGCCACAAACTTTAGTTATTAAAGAAAAGCAGGGGGTGGCTGGAAAGATGGCCAAATAGGAACAGCTCCAGTCTGTAGCTCCCAGCAAGATCAACACAGAAGGTGGGTGATTACTGCATTTCCAACTGAGGTACCCGGCTCATCTCATTGGGACTGGTTAGACAGTGTGTGCAGCCCATGGAAGGCAAGCAGAAGCAGGTGGGGCACTGCCTCACCAGGGAAGCGCAGGGGTCAGGGAACTCCCTCCCCTAGCCAAGGGAAGCCTTGAGGGACCGTGCCTTGAGGAACACTGCATTCCAGCCCAGATACAGGCCTCTCTCACAGTCTTTGCAACCTTCAGACCAGCAGATTCCCTTGGGTGCCTACACCACCAGGGCCCTGGGTTTCAAACACAAAACTGGGAGGCCGTTTGGGCAGACACCTAGCTAGCTGCAGGAGTTATTTTTTCATACCCCAGTGGTGCCTGGAATGAGAGCGACACAGAACCGTTCACTTCCCTGAAAACGGGGCTGAAGCCAGGGAGCCAAGTGATCTAGCTCAGTGGATTCCACCCCGATGAAGCCCAGCAAGTTAAGATCCACTGGCTTGAAATTCTCGCTGCCAGCACAGCAATCTGAAGTCAACCTGGGACACTCAAGCTTGGTGGGGAGAGTGGTGTACACATTACTGAGGACTGAGTAGGTGGTTTTTCCCTCACGGTGTAAACAAAACTGTCAGAAAGTCAAAACTGCCAAAGCTCGGCAAAGCCACTGTAGCCAGACTGCCTCCTCTCTGGGCAGGGCATCTCTGAAAGAAAGGCAGCAGCCCCAGTCAGAGGCTTATAGATAAAACTCCCATCTCCCTGGGACAGAGTACCTGGGGGAAGGGGCAATGGTGGGCGCAGCTTCAGCAGACTTAAACATTCCTGCCTGCTGGCTCTGAAGAGAGCAGCAGATCTCCCAGGACAGTGCTCAAGCTCTGCTAAGGGACAGACTGCCTCCTCAAGTGGGTCCCTGACCCCTGTGCTTCCTGACTGGGAGACACTTCCCAGCAGGGGTAGACAGACACCCCATATAGGAGAGCTCTGGCTGGCATCTGGCGGGTGCCCCTCTGGGATAAAGCCTCCAGAGGAAGGAACAGGCAGCAATCTTTGCTGTTCTGCAGCCTCCGCTGGTGATACCCAGGCAAACAGGGTCTGCAGTGGACCTCCAGCAAACTCCAGCAGACCTACAGCAGAGCGGTGTGGCTGTTAGAAGGAAAACAAACAAACAGGAATAGCATCATCATCAACAAAAAGAAACTCCCTCTGAAGGTAACCAACATCAAAGACCAAAGGTAGATAAAGACCAAAGGTAAATAAATTCACAAAGATGAGGAAAAACCAGCACAAAAAGGCTGAAAATTCCCAAAACCAGAACACTTTTCCTCTAAAGGATCACAACTCCTTGCCAGCAAGGGAACAAAACTGGACAGAGAATGAGTCTGAGGAATTGATAGAAGTAGGCTTCAGAAGGTGGGTAATAACAAACTCCTCTGAGCTAAAGGAGCATATTCTAACCCAATGCAGGGAAGCTAAAAACCCTGAAAAAAGGTTAGAGGAATTGCTAACTAGAATAACCGTTTAGAGAAGAACATAAATGACCTGATGGAGCTGAAAAACACAGCACAAGAACTTTGTGAAGCATACACAAGTATCAATAGCTGAATTGTTCAAGCGGGAGAAAAGATATCAGAGATTGAAGATCAACTTATGAAATCAAGCATGAAGACAAGATTAGAGGAAAAAGAATAAAAAGGAATGAACAAAGCCTCCAAGAAATATGGGACTATGTGAAAAGACTAAACCTACATTTGACTGGTGTACATGAAAGTGATGGGGAGAATGGAACCAAGTTAGAAAACACCCTTCAGGATATTATCCAGGAGAACTTCCCCAACCTAGCAAGACAGGTCAACATTCAAATTCAGGAAATACAGAGAACACCACAAAGAAAAGCAGCCCCAAGACACATAATCTTCAGATTCACCAAGGTTGAAATGAAAGAAAAAATGTTAAGGGAAGCCAGAGAGAAAGGTCAGGTCGCCCACAAAGGGAAGCCGATCAGACTAACAGCAGATCTGTCTGCAGAAACCCTACAAGGGGTTAGGGGGGCAATATTCAACATCCTTAAAGAAAAGAATTTTCAACCCAGAATTTCAGATTCAGCCACACTAAGCTTCATAAGCAAAGGAGAAATAAAATGCTTTAGAGACAAGCAAATGCTGAGAGATTTTTTAAAATTTTTTTATTTTTATTTATTATTATTATACTTTAACTTCTAGGGTACATGTGCACAACATGCATGTTTGTTACATATGTATACATCTGCCATGTTGGTGTGCTGCACCCGTTAACTCGTCATTTACATTAGATATATCTCCTAATGTTATATCCTCCCCCTTCTCCCACCCCACAACAGGCCCCTGTGTGTGATGTTCCCCATCCTGTGTCCAAGTGTTCTCATTGTTCTTCCCACCTATGAGTCAGAACATGCGGTGTTTGGTTTTCTGTCCCTGTAATAGTTTGCTCAGAATGATGGTTTCCAGCTTCATCCATGTCCCTACAAAGGACATGAACTCATCATTTTTTATGGCTGCATAGTATTCCATGGTATATATATGCCACATTT
The DNA here is from genome assembly GCF_000001405.40 of Homo sapiens. NCBI lineage: Eukaryota > Metazoa > Chordata > Mammalia > Primates > Hominidae > Homo > Homo sapiens. The sequence goes on from NC_000014.9 coordinate 60,075,799, forward strand.
TCTTAATCCAGTCTATCATTGATGGACATTTGGGTTGGTTCCAAGTCTTTGCTATTGTGAATTGTGCTGCAATAAACACACGTGTGCATGTGTCTTTATAGGAGCATGATTTATAATCCTTTGGGTATATACCTAGTAATGGGATGGCTTGATCAAATGGTATTTCTACTTCTAGATCCTTGAGGAATCGCCACACTGTCTTCCACAATGGTTGAACTAGTTTACAGTCCCACCAACAGTGTAAAAGTGTTCCTATTTCTCCACATTCTCTCCGGCACCTGTTGTTTCCTGACTTTTTAATGATCACCATTCTAACTGGTGTGAGATGGCATCTCATTGTGGTTTTGATTTGCATTTCTCTGATGGCCAGTGATGATGAGCATTTTTTCATGTGTCTGTTGGCTGCATAAATGTCTTCTTTTGAGAAGTGTCTGTTCATATCCTTCACCCAATTTTTGATGGAGTTGTTTGATTTTTTCTTGTAAGTTTAAGTTATTTGTAGATTCTGGATATTAGCCCTTTGTCAGATTTGTACAAATTTTCTCCCATTCTGTAGGTTGCCTGTTCACTCTGATGGTGGTTTCTTTTGCTGTGCAGAAGCTCTTCAGTTTAATTAGATCCCATTTGTCAATTTTGGCTTTTGTTGCCATTGCTTTTGGTGTTTTAGACATGAAGTCCCTGCCCATGCCTATGTCCTGAATGGTATTGCCTAGGTTTTCTTCTAGGGTTTTTATGGTTTTAGGTCTAACATTTAAGTCTTTAATCCATCTTGAATTAATTTTTGTATAAGGTGTAAGGAAGGGATCCAGTTTCAGCTTTCTACATATGGCTAGTCAGTTTTCCCAGCACCATTTATTAAATAGGGAATCCTTTCCCCATTGCTTGTTTTTGTCAGGTTTGTCAAAGATCAGATGGTTGTAGATGTGTGATATTATTTCCAGGGGCTCTGTTCTGTTCCATTGGTCTATATCTCTGTTTTGGTACCAGTACCATGCTGTTTTGGTTACTGTAGCCTTGCAGTATAGTTTGAAGTCAGGTAGTGTGATGCCTCCAGCTTTGTTCTTTTGGCTTAGGACTGTCTTGGCAATGCGAGCTCTTTTTTGGTTCCATATGAACTTTAAAGTAGTTTTTTCCAATTCTGTGAAGAAAGTAATTGGTAGCTTGATGGGGATGGCATTGAATCTATAAATTACCTTGGGCAGTATGGCCATTTTCACGATATTGATTCTTCCTATCCATGAGCATGGCATGTTCTTCTATTTGTTTGTGTCCTCTTGTATTTCACTGAGCAGTGGTTTGTAGTTCTCCTTGAAGAGGTCCTTCACATCCCTTGTAAGTTGGATTCCTAGGTATTTTATTCTCTTTGAAGAAATTGTGAATGGGAGTTCACTCATGATTTGGCTGTTTGTCTGTTATTGGTGCATTTATCCTTTGATAAAATTCAACACCCCTTCATGCTAAAAGCTCTCAATAAACTAGGTATTGATGGAACGTATCTCAAAATAATAAGAGCTATTTATAACAAACCCACAGCCAATATCATACTGAATGGGAAAGAGCTGGAAGCATTCCCTTTGAAAACCAGCACAAGACAAGGATGCCATCTCTCACCACTCCTATTCAATATAGTATTGGAAGTTCTGGCCAGGACAATCAGGCAAGAGAAAGAAATAAAGGGTATTCAGATAGAAAGAGAGGAAGTCAAATTGTCTCTGGTTGCAGATGACATGATTGTATATTTAGAAAACCCAATCAACAGCCCAAAATGTCCTTAAGCTGATAAGCAACTTCAGCAAAGTCTCAGGATACAAAATCAATGTGCAAAAATCACAAGCATTCCTATACACCAATAATAGACAAACAGGGAGCCAAATCATGAGTGAATTCCCATTCACAATTGCTACAAAGAGAATAAAATACCTAGGAATACAACTTACAAGGGATATGAAGAACCTCTTCAAAGAGAACTACAAACCACTGCTCAAGGAAATAAGAGAGGACACAAACAAATGGAAAAACATTCCATGTTCATGGATAGGAAGAATCAATACCGTGAAAATGGCCATACTGCCCAAAATAATTTGTAGATTCAATGCTATCCCTATCAAGCTACCATTGACTTTCTTCACAGAATTATAAAATCTACTTTAAACTTAATATGGAACCAAAAAAGAGCCTGTATAGCCAAGACAATCCTACGCAAAAAGAAGAAAGCTGGAGGCATCACGCTATCTGACTTCAAACTATACTACAAGGCTACAGTAACCAAAACAGCATGGTACTGGTACCAAAACGGAGATATAGACCAATGGAACAGAACAGAGTCCTCAGAAATAACTTCACACATCTACAACCATCTGATCTTTGACAAACTGGACAAAAACAAGCAATGGGGAAAAGGACTCCCTATTTAATAAATAGTGTTGGGAAAACTGGCTAGCCATATGCAGGAAACTAAAAGTAGACCCCTTCCTTAAACCTTATACAAAAATTAACTCAAGACGGATTAAAGACTTAAACGTAGGACCTAAAACCATAAAAATCCTAGAAGAAACCCTAGGCAATACCATTCAGGGCATAGGCATGGGCAAAGACTTCATGACTAAAAAACCAAAAGCAATGGCAGCAAAAGCCAAAATTGACTACTGGGATCTAATTAAACTAAAGAGTTTCTGCACAGCAAGAGAAACTATCATCAGCGTGAACAGGCAACCTACAGAATGGGAGAAAATTTTTGTAATCTATCCATTGGACAAAGGGCTAATATCCAGAATCTACAAGGAACTTACACAAATTTACAAAAAAAAAAACAACCCCATCAGAAAGTGGGTGAAGGATATGAACAGACACTTCTCAAAAGAAGACATTTATGCAGTCAACAAACATATGAAAAAAAGTTCATCATCACTGATCATTAGAGAAATGCAAATCAAAGCCACAATGAGATACCATCTCATGCCAGTTAGAATGGTGATCATTAAAAAGTCAGGAAATAACAGATGCTGGAGAGGATGTGGAAAAATAAGAATGCTTTTACACTGTTGGTGGGAGTGTAAATTAGTTCAACCATTGTGGAAGACAGTGTGGCAATTCTTCAAGGATCTAGAACCAGAAATACCATTTGACCCAGCAATCCCATTACTGGGTATATTCCCAAAGGATTATAAATAATTCTATTATAAAGACATATGCACATATTGCGGCACTGTTCACAATAGCAAAGACTTGGAACCAACCCAAATGTCCATCACTGACAGACTTGATAAAGAAAATGTGGCACAAATACACCATGGAATACTATGCAGCCTTTAAAAAGGATGAGTTCATGTCCTTTGCAGAGACACAGATGAAACTGGAAACCATCATTCTCAGCAAACTTAAACAGGAACAGAAAACCAAACACCATATTTTCTCACTCGTAAGCAGGAGCTGAAAAATAAGAACACATGGACACAGGGAGGGAAACATCACACACTGGGGCCTGTTGTGGGGTGGGGGGCAAGTGGAGGGATAGCATTAGGAGAAATATCTAATGTAGATGATGGGTTGATGGATGCAGCAAACCACCATGGCACATGTATACCTATGTTACAAACCTGCACCAGAACTACAGTATATTAAAAAATATAACAATAATAATACCTTCACAGCAAAAAAATAATTAAATAAAAGCACATGTATTTTTTAACATCTGTGATGGGGGATGTGGCCTGCCTTCCCACTAAAGCTCTCACAGTGGAAAATTCCAGAAAGGACAGGGATTCAAATGCTGCACAGCCAAAAAGAGACAAACATGCAGTACATCAAATGATTTTAAATGGACAGAAACATTGGTTTGTAATGTACCTAGAATTTTTTAAAAAGTTGCTTCACTATAAGGTGGGGAAACATTGGTATAATAGACTATGGGAATTGTTCTTCTTTTCTGCCTAATTTTCCCACCCCCCTTTCTTCAGAATCCTTTGGGAAATATCTCCTCTATGCATTAGTGCTGGGGCTGCTAATCATAGGATTATGCACACAGAACCTGAAATTGAGATATGGACATTGGTAGAGAGTTATTTGGTTTATTTCCTACATTACAATTGCTTAACTGGGAGATTTGAGTTTGTCTGGCAGCCATTTGTCTGCCACTAGGGGAGACTCTAAAAGAATAAAGCAATGCAAACAAAGAGCTGCAGAGAGAGTCTTCACAGCAGTATTTGAGTCTCCAGATGCACTCTTGCCATAAGATGCACTCTTGCACTTCCCAATTACATGAACCAATAAATCCTTTTTGGAGGAGTTGAATTTCTGTCACTTGCAACCAAGTATTCTGACTTTGTGCAATCATAAGATCTAGGAGTTAATAAGGTCAGTATCATTTGAGTCCCAAAATTACAAATATTTGAAGAAATACAGTTCAAGATAAGAGTGGGATAGGAAAGATATTTGAAAAACAATTCATAATGTAGATTATTTTTAAAAGCTAAGACAATGCAACCTCTCTTAGAATCAAAGGAACAATGGCTTGAGAAGAGAGCTGTGAAGTTAACAATTCCTTGAGAATATAAAAAACATCAAAAGCATGAGTAGAACACATAGCTGTAAACTATACCACAGAAAATTCATGTTTAAGAATTTCCTTTACCACTAAAGAACTTATCCATGTAACAAAACTACCTTTACCCCCAAAACTATTGAAATAAATTTTTTAAATTAAAAAATATAGGAATTTCCTAATAGAGAAGAAATAATCAAATGTTTCATTATTTTTTAAAAGATTAGAATCTAGCCTGCTTAATACAAAGCCTAAATAATACTGTAATGAAAGTCAAAGGATCCATTCGAGACAGATCTTTCACTACGTATCTATATAATCAATTTATCTGAACCTGTGGTGTCTTACCTCTAAAGCAAGTGTGGTGGTTAATACTGTCAACTTAATTGGATTGAAGGATGCAAAGTACTGTTCTTGGGTGTGTCCATGAGGGTGTTGCCAAAGGATACTAACGTTTGAATCGGTGGACTGGGAGAGGCAGACTCACCCTCAATCTGGGTAGCCACCATCTAATAAGCTGCCAGCGTGGCTACACTGGTGGAGTCTTCCTGCCTTTATCTCTCTCCCATGCTGGATGCTTCCTGCCCTCAAACATCAGACTCCAAGTTCTTCAGCTTTTGGACTCTTGGACTTACACCAGTGGTTTGCCAGGGGCTCTAGGGCATTTGGCCACAGACTGAAGGCTGCACTGTTGGCTTCCCTACTTTTGAGGTTTTGGGACTTGGACTAGCTTCCTTGCTCCTCAGCTTGCAGATGGCCTACTGTGGGACTCCACCTTGTGATCTTGTGAGTCAATACTCCTTAATAAACTCTGCTTTAGATATACATCTACCCTATTAGTCCTGGCCCTCTAGAGAACTCTAATACAGCAAGCATCTCTTTCACTTCTAAAATTGTGACAATATTCAAAGTTCATTTCAGTCTAACAATTACATTTTCTGCTACTATCTACAGTCATGAGCTTAGACAAAAAAAGGCAGGAGAAATACTTGAGCAAAACATTTCAAATCACAGATTTCAGTTTAACATAGAATATAATTTTGTGATACTTATCTTTGGAATTCTTTTTGAAACTGCCTTATGCATTTTGTTTTTTTTTTTGTACTATACTGTTACTCTATAAATTGCCCCCTTTTCAACCTCTGATACATATATAGAAATCCATCCACAGCTTCTGAACTACTTTTTAAAATTTTTTTTATTATAGCAAAATATACAAAACATATCTACCATTTTAACCTTTATTTTTTAAATTGTGGTAAAATACACATAAAATTTACCATCTTAACTAATTTTAAGTGTACAGTTTAGTGGCATTAAGTACATTCACACTGATATGCAAACATCACTATTACCCATCTCCAGGCCTCTTTTTATCATGCAAAACTGAAATTCTGTACCCATCAAACAATAACTTCCCATCCTTCCTCCCCCAAGTCCCTGGAAACCACCATTTTAATTTCTGTCTTTATGAATTTGACTACTCTAGATACATCATACATCATATAAGTGTAATCATACAATATTTGTACAATAATTTTGTGAATAGCTTATTTCACTTAGAATAATGTTCATCCAGGGCTGAGCACAGTGGTTCACGCCTATAACACCAGGACTTTGGAAAGCTGAGGTGGGAGGATTGCTTGAGCCCAGGAGGTTGAGGCTGCAGTGAGCATCCCAACACTGCACTCCAGCCTGGGCAACAGAGCAAGTCCCTGTCTCAAAAAAAAAAAAGGGTTTATCATCCATGGTGCAACATGTGTCAGAACTTCCTTCCTTCTTAAGGCTAAATAATATTCCATTGTATGTACATACATTTTGCATATCCATTCACCTGTTAATGAATACTTGGTTTACTTCTACCTCTTGGCTATTGTGAATAATGCTGCTATGAACATGGGTATACGAGTATCTGTTAGAGTCCCTGCTTTTAATTCTTTTGGGTATCTTAGAAGTGGAACTGCTGGATCATATGGTAATTCTATGTTTAACTTTTTGAGGAGCCATCATATTGTTTTCCACAACAGCTACACCACTTTACATTCTCATCAGCAATGCATAAAGGTTGTATGCTATTCAGGACTTTTATATATTAAAATATTTTATTAACCATTGTTAAATAGTACATGATATTTCAAAAACACAATGAGATGATCATCTGGAACACCTCCATGCGAATACAACTATCATTTTGTAAAATTCTAAGTTTTCTCATTTGTATATTTTCACAGAATTTTAAGTTTATATATTTTTGATTTTCTTCATATTATATATCTAAGCATTTTCCATGGCATTACAAAGCTATTATAATTATCATCCTAATGTTTATGTTATAGTCAACCAAGGGGAAATACTATAATTTTCTTAATCATTGAACATTCAAGTTGCTTCCAATTTTCCAGTATTAGAAATATGCAATAAATACATATGTACATAAATCTTTACTTCTTTTGAATCCTTTGCACAGAAAAGTATTAATCAGTTAAAAGTATGCACATTTTTAGAGTTGCCAATATGATTAAATTTATTTTCAAAGTGATCATATATATTTGTATTACCTCAGCACTCTCACCAGTGGGGCCCATAACGAGAGGTACTGGTACTCGTTCATCACTAGTCCTCTAACAAATTGTCTATCATCTATAAATGTTCACTAATTGAGTTCATGAGTGAATAAATGAGAATGCCATTTTACTGAAACCTCAATATCACTGAATCTTATTTTGTTTGCTAGTTTAAGACAGCTGGTACATTTTAGGCTATTTTAAAACTGTTTAAAATAATTAAAAACTTGGCCATTGAATCAGAAGGTCCATAAAAAATGAATCTCCTTGCCAGCATAAAGGTCTTTCTTGGTATTTAAACATTTTTCTATACATTGCCAAGTGTAATGTAATTTCATTCTATTATAATTTTTCTTTCTAAACACAAAAATATTATTATGGGAGCACTTTCCTAACTTGCCAGGTTTTGCCATATCAGGTAACTATAACCTCTATTTAGCATTTGGTATAAGAAAATGAAATTGTATCAGCCACACTCAACTCATCATAACTGAAACGCAATTGGTTCTAAATTTTTCTTATTTTGTTCATTTCTTTTTATTGTGAATTTTCTACCCATTAAGATGAAAGCTCTTTGAAGTTAAATCTTTCTTTTTCATCTCTATCTGCCAAATTGGTTAGCACAAAATTTGGCACATAGTAGGCATCAATAAATATTTCAGGCATATTTATTATGCTCTACAGTTGATTTTTGTTTGATCTAATTGAGAATAATTTTCAAGAATCATGATAAAAATAAATCATATATGCATTAAATACATATTACAAGGATTTCTTTATGTTAAGGTAGAAGAATAAAATTAGCAGATAGAAAGGAAGGCTTAAACTATCCTGGTAGTCAATGTAGTATTCAATTCTTTACAGATTGTAAATTATAATGGTAATGGTACTAGAATTATCAAATTTTCCCCAAAGCAATCTTCAAGGCTAATCAACATAGACAATCACTCTTTTCATTTCTATAGCAATAAGAAAATTTTAAGCAATATCTTTTGATGGGAGTTGTCTTGAAAATTGCTTAGTCAGGAGGCCTTATTTTAAAATGCAACAAGCCTGAAATATTAAATGTAATTTGCCATGCAGCCTAGAGAAAAGAACGAAGCATTTGGTACATTTTTCCTAATTGTTTCTGATTGCTGCCTGGGTAGCTCCAGCACTTCATGTTCAAAATCACCTTTGAGGGCTTCAACAACGTTGACTACTACTTTTAATCAAAAAGAGGCTAAGTATAAAATAATTTGACTATTACATGGCAGAAATCCTCATAATAACTGGCTTTAACATTTTTACTTAACTGACCTTAAAGAAAGAGCCCTCAGAAGGCAAACTGTTGGTACTTAATGAATACTGATTAACGTGACACATTACTGGATGCTAATATTCACAGAAATCACTGTCCCAAGAAAAGTGGTCAATACTGAAGTAAAGAGAGTTCGTTTTCTAATGATAACCATGTTTGCTTAGGTCTGCTTAGCATAAAGCTCACTCTTAAGTTTGTTATTTAAAAAATTTATGCACTTTAAAAAATGTATTTGCATAAAAAATAAAATTGTATAGACTATCTTTATTTCCACAAATAGCATGATAAAACTAACAGAAAAATAATATAGAAGTAGAAATATACACTTACATGAAAATTTAGAGACAGCCCGATCCTTAATATTACTGAGGAGAAAACGGAAACCTAGAGATTGACTTGCCCAACATAAAATTATCAAGTTTCTTGCAGAGCTCAAATGGTAATTCAGATCTCATTATTTCTTGTTAAATATGCTTTCCATCACCTTATGAACATCATTATCTTTTTCTTTCACACTAAGAACACTGTTTTCTTAATCAGTTGTTGAGTTCATGCTTTGACGAGGAATGAGGAAAATAACTGGTCTAGTAAATGGAGATCTTGCAAAGAGGACAACATATTTCAGAGTGTTCTCAGGTAGGGCTGCTTTTGCTTCTGAAAGGAAGGAATCATTCCATTGTCTTTGGAAGGAGGCATCAGTGGATGCAGTATTTGGGATATAATCAAAAGGAGGGGAAATGGGCTTCAGGCCCTCCTGGTTCTTAAAGATTGTTTACTGACTCATAAAGCAAATGCTATTCGTTCTGTGCATCAGGAGAAATGGAATAAAAATTCTAGAAGAATCCACACTATATTCAGGTTAGTACTTTTAAGATGTACTATATTTTTAAAGAATCTGTACATTGGGGAAAGAAGGCAAACATAAATAAAGGAAGTCTTCTCATAAGAGTAAATATAAGTTTTAGGTTTTCACAGCCTACTGTTATAGCCCAGAGTACATTTGGGAATATGAATGATACAGAAACAAGTTGCCCAGGGATACTGAATTGTGCAATTCAGGGTGTATGTTTCTACATGAATTTGACCACTCAGAATAAAAAAACTGTCACTGAATTTTTGCAGTACATAGTATGAGTAAGTTTTTTGGTTTTGTTAGCTGTATTAGGCAGGGCATACATGCTCTTAAAGCTTGCCTCTAAAATTTTATTATTTTCATTATTTTGATGCCAGGAGAAAAATTATCAGGGAAAAAATTCACAGGGAAAATAATGCATAGGCTAGTTTTATATAAAAGCCACAAATAAAAACAATCCATTGTTTCTTACTACATGGTTATCTCTACAAGTATATGCATCTCTTTTGTGCATACTGCTCTTTAAAGGTGTATGAATTTTCTACCAATTACAAAGTCTTGTAGGAGTAAAACTGCTGTGTAATAAAAACATGAATCAGATATTTGGCTTGGGATTCATAAATAACAGAATTTTAAAAATTCCGTGGGATTAATAATTATTCTAATATTTATTTCTATATATTGGTTTTAATTTAAACTAAGAGTCTAAAACACAGCTCTGGTAAAATGAAAATATTTTAAAGTACCAGCATAAATGTTATTAAAATCATTACACTTTAAAACTATACTGTTAAAAACAAACAACACCTAAAAATTTCCTACAGTAATACTTAGTCATTGCTGATTCGACAAAACACAGCGTATTTTATTTTGCATGTTATATATAACATATACTTTACATATGTACAAATTTTTGTATACATAAATATCTGTATATATACACTAATATATTTTTACACATATGCTAAAATTTATATTTTACATGCATTTGAAAAAATCAAATAAGCTTCAGAATGTATACATAAATTCAGTAAATGTTCTCATTTACTATATAAAATGAACTAATTTTAAAGATTTCAAAAGATGACCTATTAATCTAATACTGCAGTGGTCTAGTATCCTACTGTCTGATTATCAAAGCTCAAAATTTACCAATATACCAAACAAATCACAGTAATTTTCAACTGTAATACAACTCTAAAAAATAATATGGCCCTTCTCTTCCTATGAAAGCATCAATACTTTAATTTCTTTATTCAGAAAAACAATTTTTCCAAATATATTCTGGATAAAGGTACTACTATAAAAACAAAAATCCACTACACCTCTATACTGGCTATACAGTGGCTAAATCACTTAATGGCTTGGTGAATTTTTTGGAGGGTAGGAGTATTGCAGCCAATTTAATGTTTTTGTTTTTATTTTTTTATTATTTAAAGATTATAAAATAATATATATTATTTTAAAAATGTATTAACAGCACAAAAGAGTATAAGGTAAAAAGTGAAAGTTCCCCTTCCGGTCAAATCCCAGTTAATCTCTTGAGGTTAAGATCTGCTGTTTCTTATGTGTCTTTCAGAAATATGCATATATAAAACATGCTCATGCTTACATTCAGTTTAACATAAAATCATACCATGCAAATCATAATTTTTAATTGTTTTAATTAACATAAGTTGGACATCTTTGCATAGGTGTACATGCTGATATATCTCCTTTTTATATAATCTATTTAACCAGTCCCCTATTGAAGACTGTTTTGTGCTTCTTTGATATTACAAATTTTCTAGTACAAACACCTGTAGTAGCAAAAACACAAAACAGTCTTCAATAAGGAATAGGTTCAATAAACTTAAATGAAATCCTGCGTCAAGGGGAACTCCATTTTAAATTTTGTTAAACACAGCCAAGCTAAGTTTCAAAAATGTTCCTCTAATCTACCATCCCACCAAAATTGGTTTTTGTTATTTTATGCATAAACTGTTATTTGCTAAATGTGGTTTCATTTCCCATTAATAATTATTTAATATGAGTAACCTCTAGTTTTTGTGTTTTAAAATATATTAACCTAAAGAGAGCATCACAGTGTAAACTGCAGGAAGTAATTGTAACAAATGTGGACTTTTCCACTCAACAGTACAATAAGGCTGGAAGGATTGCAGGGGGGTCAACAGGGTTTCCTCCAACATTAGGCAAATTACACCTAACTTTTCCCCCCTACTCTTATGTAATCACAACTATCCTACCCAGTAGAAATTCTCTCAGTTAACTTGCACATGGCACTTCCATTTATATATTCATTCTAAAGGAAAGTGAAGATAATATTCACAAAATTCTAAATGGTTAGTACATTTATAAACAGAGAACTTGGCAGGCAAATGCCAGGAAAGGGGCATCTACTTGAGGTTGCTAACTTCAGTTATAGCTTTAGAAATTAATAAGGCATCATATCCTTGGTCACTGTCAGCAGGTTAACTGATGCTCCAATCTAGTGTAAAATGCTGGGAAAAAGACTATGAAATCTGCATCATCAACTATCAATAATGTTTGCAAAAATAAAGGAGAATCATTGTACTTAATTCAGATGTGTGTAATTTAATTTTTGTAGAATCAAATTGTTAAGTACGCCTGTGGTTGGTGTTTGGCAGACACACCAGACAACAAAACGTAAGCATGTCCTGAGAATGACCCCATATGGCAGACACACCTCAGTGTAGGTTTGGTCTTCCCAGCATGGCCAGCCCAGAGATTCATCCTTATCTATGAGAACATCTGAGCCCCATCCCATCCTATGGGACCTGGGCCATACAGGAGATTGAGGCCCTTTGTTTTGGGTTAAAGGAAGGTTGCCAGATGGAGATTGCTAGGGGGAGGGTGTTAAGTGCAAACGCTATCTAAACTGCATGCTTTCTGCACTTGGTTGCACTTCTGTCCAGCCCACTGCCACTGTAGTGCTCTGTATGTAAGTTCCCTTCAATAAACCCTATATATCTCATTTGCTGGCTCTGGGTCTCTATTTGGCCTCTTGAACCTGGTGCCATCCATACTGAAGTGAATGGGGTCTGGCATGACAGATGTTTACAGTTTTGTTACCATTAAAATTTGATCTTTCAGTGAAGTTAAAATTTTTACAAAATGTAACATAATTTAAAAAATTAAAGTCTAGCTTTTTAAATATTCCAATTTACTGATTTCCAGTCTACTAATAATTCTACTGTGTTCTTTCTTAAACACCTGTGTTTTTTTAAACAATTATCCAAAATAAGTTTCCAGTAGTTACAATGTTCCAAAATAATATCAACTGGAACACCTCTAAAATAAAGTCTCATCTGTGAAGTTATTGCTGTGGAATAATAGTGAAATTTAAGAGCTATACAAGAAAACTAAAAATTCTTTATCATAACCAAAATTTGAAACTATTCTTTTATCATACACTCCCCATCAGTAATTACTGTAAATTTTTCAGAACTGCAATTTAAAAGAAATATATTGTATCTTAGAGTAAAGCTTGAGACCAACCAATCGCAAAGCTATGATTACATTATATATTGTTTATTTGATGGTTCTATTTATGATTGTTTATGGGATATGAAAGTTTCTATATTAAAGAAAGTTTCAATATGAAACACTGTAATTAACTATTGGGCACGTCCTGTCTTTAATATTCTCATAACTCATAACTTGCCCAACCCAAATCTCACGAACATGCTCAGACACTCTAAAATTTCTACTCATCACATGTCCTTTCACATGATGTTTGATGCATATCATGATCTATGATACAGTGACTTTCAATAAGCCATATAAGTCAATCTTTTTATTTTATAGTCCTTTTCTTCTTCGGTTTTCTTCTTGTCCCATTAAGATATAAACCTTGACATTCTTTTCCAATCTTATTACTTCAACAATCTTTTAAAAAAAATTATTGAATATTCTACATCTTAACTTCTCTCCCAAGGTCAATATGTAATATAGGTCCAATTCTGTATTTCCAACTGGGCATAGGCACCTGAATATCGCATCAGCCCCTTACACACAGGTCTCAAAGTAGATTCATTATCTTTCTTCCCAAAGCTATTATTCCTCCTGTGTTTCTTTAAAGGCACCCGGAACTGTGAGCATGATTTTGCCTTCTCTTTGGCCCATACCTAGTGCTGCAGCTCTGCATTATTTTCAGAGACTTCTGGCCAGTGGTCTCTGGGAACAAGGCAGAGTGAGGGTTTATGGTGTGGGTTTTGCTTTTGTTTTACTTTTTAGCAAGAGAAGTTAACTTGGGTATGAACTGAAAACGGGCATTACCATTACACAATAACACGTATGTCATGATAATGCCTGGCTAAACATCTTCTCTGGCTGAAGCAGCAGTTCCAGATTTTTCACAATTTGTTTCATTTTATGTGAATCAGCAGGGTAGGAAAAAATACACGAATCTTGAAGACATACAGATACGGACTCAACTCCAGATGTCATCACTTATTTTACTTTTCTCAAGCTCAGATTCCTTACATTTGAAATAATAATAAGCTACCTCATAAGGTTAAGATTAAATGAGGTACACAAAGTACTGATTCTATGTATGCTCTAAGTATGTGTTGAATGAATTAAAGAATAAATGTTCCCCTACCTGGAATACCTCTTCTCCCAGCTAACTCTGTTTTTGTTTTTGTTTTGTTTTTTTTTTTTTGAGACAAGATCTCACTCTGTTGTCCAGGCTGGAGTGCAGTGGTGCAATTTCGGCTCACTGCAACAACCTCTTACCTCAGCCTCTGAGTAGCTGGGACCACAGGCGCACACAACCACACCTGGCTAATTTTTTGTATCTTTTGTAGAGACAGGGTTTCACCATGTTGCCTCAAACTCCTAGGCTCAAGCGATCCTCCTACCTCAGCCTCCCAAAGTGCTAGGATTGCAGGCAAGAGCCACCACGCCTGGCCCAGCTGTCCACTCACCCTTTAAAAATGGATTGCAACCATCCTTAATTTCCCCAGAATTATGTGTCCCACTTTGTTTCTGAAGCTCAGCGCATACCTGTTTATCACATACACTGTAATTACTGATGTCCTTGTTGTTCAAGTTATGTCCTTGATGTCCAAGTTATATTTTGGTAAATTCCTTAAGGATCATGTTTTATTTGACTTTATATCTGCAGCAATTAGTGTAGTTCCTGACAAATAGGAACCACTATTCCCTTCACTATTTCAATAAATGTTGAATGAATATTTTATACACAGCTAACCAAAGGGCTTGTACCATATGCCCTACTAATTTTATTCTAAGAAAGCACGATGTTCAAATATATTTGAAAAACAGCAGATATTTCAACAATAAACATGTTAATTCTGCTTGGGTCATATGTAATGCCCATGAGAAGAACAAGCATAAATACAGACTCTCTACATAAAGATAATAGCTCATCCTTACTAAGCACTTAAGCTGTGCCATTTACTCTGCTAAGCAATTTACAATTATTTGATTTAATCCAATGACATAACTCTCTGCGGGTTAAGTTCTATTATTTGCCTTATTTTACAAGATATGGGGAAACTGAGCACTAGAGAAATTACATAACCTCAAGATCTCACAAGTAGTAAGCAGTAGTGCCAGGGTTTCAACCCAGACTTCCTGACTCTGGAGCCTCCACTCTTAATTACATGAAACTCAGACTTCTTGGCGGTAAGTGATGCTTCCGAGATGCTTAATGTGGTACTCTGACCCGCAATGAGTGAGCTTCAATGAGAAAAACTATGGATGGACCAACAGCACGTTTTCCCATATTCTATCAAATCGTGAAGATACCAAACTATGAAAGGGTCTACCTGCAAATTAAGTCCTTGAAGACAAGTATATGTATATCCGGGGTTTTCTTCCACATGCTTTCAACACACTACACTTTTGCTCTGGACACAATATCTTAAAAATAAATAAATAAAGCTTTGGCTTTTAATATGAACACAGTAATTATTTTTCTATTACGACCTGAAAACCTAAATACTTAAATACAAAGTCAGCATTTCCAAGACAGCCAAGAGCCAAGAATTAAAAAAAAAAAAAAATTAAGGCCGCATTTATAGTTTTGAGGAATGGAGATCCAAACAAAACAGTCCACAAGTCATCTTGGACGCTGAAGTGTGCAGAACTGCTAGGGCATCTACCCAATCACATGGGGGAATTGCGGGTACCTTGATACCGACAAGTTAGCTTCAAAGTTCCCTTACCCGAGCCTCTAAATCAGCTGAGACCAATCATTGTTAACGCTCTCCGGGGCCGTCTTGAGGACTCCCAGTTGGCAATCTGGAACGTGTCCAGAACTTGGTGGGGCGGGGGGGGGATCATATTTCGTGGAGAATGGGGGAGGTGAGCCCTGGGTATAGGGATAACTTTTTAACTAGCGTTAATTGGGGTCTTTGCGGCCAGGCTGTAAAGATTCCCGCCACACTAATATGAATCAGCCATGGCCTTTTAATTGGAACGCCGGAACTCTGCCTTGTTTTATTAATATCTTAATAACACGTTTCTATAATGGACATGTTGGTTCCTTGTATTTTAAAACGCAGCCACAAACTGAGGCGATAGCGATCACGTTATGCAGTCCCCAATCGTCCAAGCCGAATAGGCTGCATGAAGTATCACTCAAAAACATTCATTACCGTCGGTGTGTTGAGTGGTAACGCCAGTGTGCGAATTCATTAATGGAAATCACGGGACCCCGAGCGGTTGGAGATCTGCCACACCCCTCTGCCTGCGTTAAGACAGCCTGACCCGACCTCTGGTAAATTAATGCGCAAAATGGCGGTTGCACGTCTGTTTCCCCACCCCGGCGCACAATCCTGAGGAAGGACGTCACGTCACCAGGGCAACGACGCTCTTGCGTAAAGGCCCGGCCCAAGGGAACGTTCAGGGCGTCTCGGCTTTCCCCGCTGCTGCTTCTGCTAGGCCCAGTGCGAGACCAGAGCACGAGCGACTCCCGTCGTCCCCGGCCAGGCAGATGTTGGCCTAGTCCTGGCGCGAACGAAGCGCGCTATTTCCCTGCTTCCTCTAGGCCAAGCCTGCTTTACGGCAGGGCCCGCCTCGGGAGCGAGCACAGACCGGGGCAGCGAGGCCAGCCAGGCGCCGACGAGGTCCCCGAACGCGCACGCGCTCCGTTCAGCTCCGGGTGGCGGCCGCCGGAGTAGACGTTAGCCATGGAAACCGAGAGCTGGCCCGGGCGGGGCCGCGGTGAGCTCGTTATTCGGCCGCCGCAGCTTTTCTGCCTCCGCATTCGGGCACTAACCAACCTCCCGGCGGGAGCGCCCAGCCCGAGTTTACCTGCAAAAATGCGGTCCCTGGGATGCCTTCGCGTCTTCTCTTCCCTCGGGTGACTTGAGGTACGTTCGTTGTCCGACGTCCACCTCGGGACTTCTTCGGCATCTTAATGTCCAAGCCTGTGCGGAGAGCCAAGTTGTTCTAGGGGCTTTCATTGCCACAAGAAACATATTTTTCGTTTTTCGTTGCAAAACCTTTAAGTGCAATTATTGCGCTTAATGAACTCAGTCATTAGAGATAGTAATTCAGTGTGATTTTAACTTTCCTTTGAAAGACTACTTTAGCCTGTTGAATTGTAGCATTTTGTTTCTAAGAGACTCGTACGAAATGGAATATGGCACACCCACCCGGAGCTGTGTCCGTTAGGTAGAACTGTACTCTCGCAATATCTCCAACTAAACCTCTTTTGTCCGAATTGTTCAACTCATGGCCCCCTGAACGTGAAGCGCTCCTTCCCCACTGATCTCGACCTCTGTCCCCACAACCTCTTGTCTCTCCAGGACCAGAATTTACTCCAGTGAATCGGAAGTTGTTTTCCATGCCGCTGAATTGGTTATCTGCTCTGTATCCATCATTTTTCACTTACTCATTTTTTACTATTTTTAGGTGTTTGTTTTCTTCATTAAATCATTCCTGCAGTTAGGGCAAAGACTGCCCTTCATGTTATTTGGTATCCAC
The DNA here is from genome assembly GCF_000001405.40 of Homo sapiens. NCBI lineage: Eukaryota > Metazoa > Chordata > Mammalia > Primates > Hominidae > Homo > Homo sapiens. The sequence goes on from NC_000014.9 coordinate 60,093,036, forward strand.
CGCCACTCACGCCAAATCCCCAGACCTTTAGCATAGCATCCAGTTCAGATGTTGCCTTTTCACGAATTTAACTGTTTGTAGCATCTGTTGGCTGCTCCTAAATTTCCTACTTAAAGAGCTGCCTTCTAATTATTAACTGCTGTGGAAAATACCAATCAGGGAAGCTTTTTCTTTTTTAAGAGCTTTATTGAGATGTAATTTACATTCAATACAATTCACCCATTTATAGAATTGTGCAACCCTTACCACAGTCAAGTTTGGAACATTTTCATCACCCCAAAAAGAAACCTTTTACCCTCAGCAGTCACCACCTCCCTCCCCCCATTATCCTTACCCCACCAGCCATAAGCAATTACTAATCTGTTTTCTGTCCCCATAAATTTGCTTATTTTGGACATTTCACATAGACGGGAAAATACAATATGTGGCCTTTTGTAACGGGCTTTCACTTAGTGTGTTTTCAAGGTTCAGCCATGTTGTAGAATGTATGAGTACTTCATTCCTTTTTATAGTCTAATTTCATTGTGTGGATATATCACATTTATCCATTCATTGATGGACATTTGGGTTGTTTTCATTTTTTGGCTGTTAGTAATATTTCTTCTATGAATCTTTTGTGTACAGATTTTTGTGTAGACATATATGTTTTTATCTCTGTTGGGTGTATACCTGAGAGTAGAATTACTGGGTTATATGGTAACTCTATGTTTAGCCTTTTGAGGAACTGCTAGACTGTTTCCCAAAGGAGCTGTATCATTTTACATAACCACCAGATATGTTTGAGGGTTCTGATTTCTCCACAGTCTCATGAATACTTATTATTGTCTGCCATTTTTATTTTAGCCAGTCAAGGAGGTTTGAAATGGTACCTCATTATGGTTTCAGTTTGTGTTTTTCTAATGAGTAATGATGTTGAGTATCATTTTATATTTTCTGTGCTTATTAACCATTTGTATATCATCTTTGGAGAAATGTCTGTTCATATCCTTTGCTCATTTTTTAAAGATTGGATTATTTGATTTCTCATTATTGAATTGTAAGAGTTCTTTATATAGTCTAGCTATAAGTCATATATATATATGATTTGCACAAATTTTCTTCCATTCTATAGGTTGTTCTCACTTTCATGATGGTGAGAACCTTGTTTTTTAAACAGTTTCTCACTTGTCTTGTGAAAGGGTACTGGATACCAACCCCCTCATGCTGGCTTAGCCATCAAAAGCGTCCCATTTTTACACTTTGTAGATTCCTCTTGGACCCACTTTTCTCCAAAGAACCCTATTCCCCCAAGTTATCCTTCCAGTTCTCTAGCATCAAAACAAAATTCGCTTTCATTTGGCAGTTGTTAGTCCAAACTGCACCATTTTGTAAGTCCCCCAGCATTTTGCAGACCTTGGTCAAAGTGACACATTCCAGGCGAGTTTGGGCTGTGAGAAACATCCTGCCTAACCACCTGACCACAACACACAAGAACATCCTTATCATACCCTGCTAAGCAAAGGCCCAACTGAAGGAACGTCCCTATCATACCCTGCAACTGGAACAAAGGGCCAAACCACCTGATCATAGGAACATCTTAATATCCTGCCGGGCAGCAAACCAGACAGCCCAGACCCCTCCTGCCCATACCTATAAGTCCCCAGCCTGTGAACGGCAGTGGGCTCTGGCATTAAGCTGCACCCCCCACCTCTGCAGGTTTTTGCAATATACTTGTGTTGCTGTAGAGCCCCCCCCCACCCCCATCTTTCTTTAACTCCCACCTTCCCTTTAAAAAAAACCTAACAGCAATAGCATGGTATGATTCAAAAACTCATTTTGCCACTAACTGACATTGTATCTTGGTTAAGTCACTTAATATCACTGGTTCTCAGGTTTTTTTGTAAAATAAATTAATTTATTTCTAGTAATTCATGTGAGTAGCAGACTTCATTCACCTGATACTTGATTTTAAAAGAAAAGTTTTTCAACCCAGGGAATTTATAGTGGGTGTCAGTCGAGAAAAATGATGGGACAAGTCTCAATCATTTTAGGAGATTTATTTGCCAAAGTTAAGGACGTGCCCGGGAGGCAAGTCTATGTCTTTCTTCGAAGATGATTTTGAGGTCTCCAAATTTAAAGGGGAAAGGGCAGGATGTTGAGAAGTACACAATTGTCATGTAAGAGGTGGGTAGGGGCAAATAGTTATTTATGCCTTTGGCTCAGTGAATCTGCATTTTTTACATAAGATGACATAAAAGGGGCAGAGGAAAATATTAGGGGAATCTGCATTTTACATAAGATAACAGACAAAATGGGGTAGGGGAACAATCAGATTTGCATTTATGTCTGGTGGGCCAGGGGTAACTGCACCTGTAAGCTGTCAATTGACATTGCCAGGATGAAATTTTAGCTCACTGGGAATTTCCCTGTGGGCAAAATATAGGGGAGGTGTGTAGCTTTTCATCTTGTAGCCATCCTATTTAGAAACCAAAAGGGGGGAGACAGGTTTGCATGACCCAGTTCCCAGCTTGACTTCTTCCCTTTGGCTAAATGAGTTTGGGGTCCCAAAATTTAATTTCCTTTCACATTTCCCTTCTTTTTTCTGTAAAATCTTTTGGAGAAAGCATTTTAAAAGGAAGACGAGTTCCTGGCCTCAGGTTGGTTTTTCCTCCCTTTTTTGAGCTGCTTTCTTATTGCTAGGATGGTTTATTCCTAGAAGTTCAGGTCCCCAGTCTCTAGGAAGGCTCATTTCTAAGAGGTCATGTCCCATGAAGGTTAAAAAAAAAAAATAGGAAGAGGAAAGAAGTAAAAAAGGAAAGGAAAAAAAAAGAAAAAATATATAGGGACCTAGGCCAGATTTATAGCAACAAAAGGAAATCACACCTGGAAGCTGGGTCAGGCTATATTACTGCCTTCTCAATTAGAGCAATTCTCTAGGGAATCATTACCCTAGCCCTTTCAGTTCATTGACATATTTGCAGGCACATAACCATAACAACACTGTAAGCAGAAACAGGACACAACACAAACTATTATTCCTAATATAAGCAATAAGCTTCTGTCACCAAGTTTCCCAGGATCCAAACCCACCACTCAACTGATTGATTAACGAAGGTTTTGGGTGTGACAGATATCTGGGTTTTCATATCAGTCATAAGTCAGATTATGTTCTTCAATTCATCTGGAATATAAACACAACATTCCATTTTTATGATGGTGCAGGTCCTCCCTTGTGCTGCCGTGAGTCTATGTAAAGCCATACGGTTTTGCAGCACAGCTTTCCTCATAAGCATGACTTCCTTGTTTAGCAAGGAAATACTCATGCAGCTATCATTCAGGACCTTTTGGGAGTAATTCACTAAAGCCTCTATATGCCATATAACATCTTCAGTACCTATCTGTGGTACAAAGATTGAAGCTAAGTGGTCATACCATTAGAATACCAAATGTGTCCAACAAGATTGTAAATGAAAAAGGTTTGCTGGTTTTGGCAGGTCTGAATTACTCGTCCTTGTGCCCAGGCATAACATAGGGAACATTGTCCTAACCACTCTGGAGGTAACCACGGCCATAAGTTAGTGCCACATAGCCAATATGTCCCATTTGGAGCTAGCCAATAAATAACTGATCATTGGCACCCAATGGGTGGCAAGCCATTCAGTGTCTTGTAATATGATAGTGTGGTCACAGCGTTCTCCAGGTATCCACCCCATATCTCTCGTACTGTTTGGACATAGGTCCTTGGTGTGATTTCTTTGCTCCCAACACAAAGCATTTTGGCTGAGTTGGCCAAATGAAGGGGTGAGCCAGATAAATCAATACCAATTTAAAAGGCCTGTGTAACAAATAATTATTCTTGCTGTACTGTATCCAAATAATTAAGCCAAGTATAGTAAAGCAAACCAGTCCTACCATGACTTGTCTTTTAATAAGTGGGAAACTGGAGAGAGAAAATTATGTTTCAAAAACTGTAGCACACCTGTTGTTAAATTCTAGTCTTGCCTCATGTTTTCCAATTTTTAGTATTTTCTACAGTTTAAATTCTGATTTTTCTGGCTACAAGTTTCTAAAATAAGTTGTGCTTCCTTAAAGTCCTATGAACTGAAAACTAGATGTTTTATCAGGCGCTGCCTCTAAACCCCCCAACCATCACAGAAGGAAATCTCTTCACTGCTGGCATTGACAACTAATAACTGAGGGTGCCCGGAATCCTTCACCCCATGTCTAGTGAGTCTACGGAACCAGGGTAATTGAGACAATATCTGTTACAGGAATCAACTCCTGGATACATCACACTTGAGTCAAAGCCTGGAAAGCTGAGGAAGCAACCCCTGAGAGCCCAAAGGAACGTCCTAAATATAATGGAAATTATTTACTACGCCTTGTGGGAATTGCTTTACTCTACTATTTGCAGTAGGACTATATACTATAGCACCTTCAGGGTGGAATATCTGACAGGGAATCTCAATTGCTGTAGCATTTTGCTTAATTATTATCCTCATAGCAGGAATAACTGTTACTAACAAAAGATAATATGTGGGCCTTTCCAAACATGTGCCTCTGCCTCTCATTAGGTAGGGAATGTTGTTTCTATCTCAACCAATCAGGCCTAGTAAGAGACTGCTGAAAAACTTAAAGGTCTAAAAAGCTAAGGGAATACCAAAACAACCAGACAGATTCTTGGTTTGGGAGCAGAATCATAGCATGGGTCACCCCATTCCTGGGCCCTCTCCTAATAATATGCCTAGGACTAATGTTCTTACCCTGCCTAATTAACCTTTTTCAAAGATTTTTAGCTGACAGACTCATGACCATTTCACACACAACTACCCAAAAACATCTACAGTGTTATTTCTGCAGTCAATCCAAGACCCAAAAACTGTCTGTCCCCTTGTCAGCAGGAAGTAGCCAGAAAGAACACACTGCCCCTCGTCATTTTTATAACTACAGGGTCTGGATTGACAGAGCAGGAGCATCACCCTCTTCGACTTCGACGAGGACCATCATTTTAAGTTTCACCTTGATCAAAACCCACCAAAATCCAAAGGGCATCAGCCTTATGGTTAAGGTCAGCATGAACATAAATCACACAACATCTCTGACCAGAAACATTCGAAACCCCTCCCGGACCAGAGACATGCCAGCCCCGAGATAACCTTCCCCCTGGCTGGAGAGATGTCAGCCCCAAGATAACCTCCCTTCTGACCAGAGACATTCCAACCCTACCATAAGCTTCTCCCCCATGCAGAAACATTCCAAACCTGTAATAAGTTCTGTCACCAATAAATACTGTAAGTCTGTAAGAGAGAGCTTTCCTGACTGAAATCAGCCAGAAGCCTCTCTCAGGTTTATTCTCCAAAACAAACCTGTCTTTGACTGTTGAGCCACTTTGTATTTCTTTCCTCTTTAACTTACACTGTGACCTTACAAAACACTCTTATTCAAAAACCCTCCAAAAGTCTTGAATTTGAGTGAATACCTTTTTATAGATCCAAAGAGATGTTAACGTGCTTGTTCCTTTTCAGTCTTTCTTTTCTAGTACTTGGGTAGACTTTCCTTTGGTTGGGGAGCGGGGTGCTTACCATATAACTTGTAAACCAAAGCATGAAATATATGTTTCTGTTTAAACATCAAAAGTCTTTTGCTGGGCACGGTGGCTCACACCTGTAATCCCAGCACTTTGGGAGGATGAGGCGGGTGGATCACCTGAGTTCAGGAGTTCAAGACCAGCCTGGTCAACATGGTGAAACCCCTTCTCTGCTCAAAATACAAAATTAGCTGAGCGTGGTGGTGCATGCCTGTAATCCCAGCTACTCCGGAGGCTGAGGCAGGAGAATCGCTTGAACCCGAGAGGCGGAGGTTGCAGTGAGCCGAGATCATGCCATTGTACTCCAGCCTGGGCAACAACAGCGAAACTCCGTCTCAAAAAGAAAAAAAAAAAAAGAAAGAAAAGACTCCAGAATTTAGCTGTCTATCCATGGCATGGCATTCGGTTAAGATTCCATAGAGTATTTTCCGGATTATAATGGTAGCTATCTTTGCATCTCTGGATTCCTACTGGTACCCTCAACAGATAGCACTTGGCTATCAAAAAAACTTCATGTATGCATACTTTTTAGAATTGCTCTAGTAGTAGCAAGTGATTTTTATCCAGAGCAACTGAAAATTAAGTTCTTTCATATCATGCTTTTGAGTACTTAGGTGTAGGCCAGTTTGTTTTCTTTTCCAGGTATAAAATTTTCCGTTTTCCAAATTACTAAATTTGGTAATGCTTGGAAATGTAAAACTTTGGTATATTTCCTTGCAGATTTTGTAAAATACTTTTTAGGAATATGGATGAATACATTGTATTTATTACTGAAAGTTTGTCTAATCATTTTTAAACAAGCAGAAATTAGTTTTTCTTGATAAGTTTAATTTTGTTTAGGTTATTTATAAATTAACTTTATCTTTCTTGCTTAATAATGAAAATTGAAAGAATTCCAGAATTGCTTCTACCAAAAACAGTTATTTGAAGGGAAAATGAGATTTACTGGATTGTAACCTTTGGGTTAGAGAGAGCAGTATTATCACTGAGCACATTGTAGGTACCCAAAAGTTTGTAACTAAAAGTTGAAATTGTGGGAAGTAATAATTTATCTTTTAGCTGTTTCTTCATAGAAGGAAGAGTAACACATTTGGCCTATATTTAACAACTATCAAAATTTAAATATTTAATCTTTTCTAGCATCTTCTAACAGTGCTTTAAGAAAAAGGTAATGGTCAGGTGCAGTGGCTCATGCCTGTAATCCCTAATTCCAGCACTTTGGGAGGCTGAGGCAGGCAGATCTCTTGAGGTTAGGAGTTCGAGACCAGCCTGGCCAACGTAGTGAAACACTATCTCTACTGGGGAAAAAAAAAATTAGTCAGGGGTGGTGGCTCATACCTTTCGTCCCGGCTACTTGGGAGGCTGAGGCACAAGAATCGCTTGAACCTAGGAGGCAGAGGTTACAGTGAGCCAAGATCATGCTACTGCACTCCAGCCTGGGTGACAGACTGAGACTCTGTCTCAAAAAAGAAAATGAAAGAAAAGGACAAAGTAACAGGAAGAAAAGAAAACCGTCATGTCAAAGAGCTAATGCCCTTCATATATGAAAAGTTCTTCCAAATTCGTAAGAAAAATGTTCAAAAATGATCACTTCAATAGAAAAATAGGCAAAGGACATGAGCCAATTTACAAAAAAAAAATACCATTTTTCTGCACACACACACGCCCCCAAACATATATACATACTTGTAATTAATTTTGTTTTTTAATTTTTGAGACGGAGTTTCACTCTTGTCACCTAGGCTGGAGTGTAATCGCGCCATCTTGGCTCACTACAACCTCTGTCTCCCAGGTTCAAGTGATTCTCCCGCCTCAGCCTCCCAAGTAGCTGGGATTACAGGCACCCACCACCATGCTTGGCTAACTTTTGTATTTTTAGTAGAAATGGGGTTTTGCCCTGTTGGCCAGGCTGGTCTTGAACTCCCGACCTCAGGTGATCTGCCCACCTCAGCCTCTCAAAGTGCTGGGATTACAGGCATGAGCCACCGTGCCCTCCGTAATTAATATTCTTAAACCATATTCATGAAACAATAATAGGATTTTGAGGACTCAGCTCTGATTTGTTAAATCTTGCCCAAATTCCTGTCTAAGGGGCCTAGAGAGTCATGCCCTACAAATCATAAATTCTCATCAGGTGGGTTTTATTTAACCCTGTATATCTTGACTTTCCAATCTGACTCTGGCATAACAAGGAAGAAAATAAAAATGTTTTACCCAAAAATATATTTCCTTGCCATACCTTGAAATTGCCCTGCAAAGTCTCTTGTGGGAAAAATCCACATTCTATAATGAGTCCCCTTTCCCCTTTGTTTTCCTTCCTTCCTTTCCAGATCCAAGAGATAATCAACTAACAGTCAGGTACCCTTTTAAGTCTGATAAGAAATATTTTACCACCTGCTCTCTGAAGTCTGCTCTCTGAGAGCTTCCTCTGCACAGTGAAACTTGGTCTCCACAATCCTTTATCTTAACCTGAACATTTCTTTTCTGTTGATCCCAGGTCTTCAGATAAACTCATCCTATTGTCAACCAGAAAATGTTTAAATTTACCTATAGTCTGGAAGCCCCTTCTTTGAGTTGTCCCACCTTTCTAAACCAGACCAATGTGTTTCTTAAATGTATTTGATGTCTTATGCCTCCCTAAAATATATAAAACTAAGCTGTACCTTAGCCACCTTGGGCACATGTTCTGAGGACCTCCTGAGGGCTGTGTCATGGGCTGTGGTCACTCATATTTGGCTCAGAATAAATCTCTTAAAATATTTTACACTTGTTCGGCTTTTTTCATCAACAATTTCATAAAAAGGAACACTCAGATTAAAGAAGAGCTCTCAGAAGTTAAAAAAATGAGCAAAGATTTGATAAATTTCCACAGATCTATTAGTCTCCTGAAAGTACAACAAAAATATAGTTGAGACAAGTGCCTCAGTGCAGAAGTACTCCTTAATATCACCTCACCTGTTATGATGACTACTATCAAAAAAACAAAAGAGTGTTGGTGAGGATATGGAGGAATTGGAACCCTTGTATGCTGGGTGGGAATGCAAAATTGTGCAGCCACTATCTATGCCAAAACAGTATGGAGGTTTCTCAAAATATAAAAAAAATAATTAAAAAAAGAGCTACCATATGATCTAGCAATTTTGCTTTTGGGTATTTATACAAAATAATTGAAATCAAGATAAAAGTGATAGTTGCCCTCCCATGTTTATTGCAGCATTATTCAACTTAAATGTCCATCAACAGATAAATGGTTAAAGAAAATGTGGTATAGACATACAACGGACTATTATTCAGCCTTAAAAAAAGGAAACCATGCCATATGTAACAACAGATGAACCTTGAAGGCATTATGTTAAGTGAAGTAAGCCAGTCACATGAAGGACAACTACTACATTCCACTTATGTGAGGTATCTAAAATAGACTAACTCTAAATCAGTGAGTAGAATGGTGATTGCCAGAGAATGGGGGGAGGGAAAATAGGGAGTTGCTATTCAACAGGTATGAAGTTTTAATTATGCAGGATGAACAAGTTCTAGAGATCTGTTCTACAACATTGTGCCTGCAGCTGACAATACTGTATTGTACACTTAAATGTTTAACAGTAGATCTCATGTTAGTGTTCCTACCACAATGAAAAATCAAAATCCTAACAATACAGGAAAAAAGAGGGATTCAATAAATGAAATCAACCAATCAATAAAAATAATATGATAGATTTAAAAAAACTTCAATCACTACAACATCTCAAAATTTTTTTGTTGAACTTAGAGAAATATATATTTAATCCAAAAATGTGGCCACTTTTTGTTGTTTTTTTGTTTAACAGATTTTTAGTATGGTGTTATATATGTCTGAGTTACATACAGTTTTGGTAACTAAGAATTCCTCTCAGTACGTTGCCAGATTGATCTCTGTTTCTTACTCTTGTGAGTAATGTGTAACAAATATGACTCCCAAATAAAGCAGCATTTCTGTGGCTATTTTGTTGGCCCACTTTCAGAGTAGTATGTGAAGAAAGCCTATGGCTTAAATTAGTGTTGTGATGTCATCTTTATCCCTTAAGTTCTCTTTTCACAGTTTTGTTTTTTTCCTAAGTCTTCAGCCGTTTTTTATTTGAATATTGTAGAGGTGGCATCCATACCAATGCATCAGTTCTTCTGGGAATTAATAGTCTTTCAGAACTATGTGCCAAATTCTCACTTGGGGAGTACATTTTAGTTATTGTGAATTTGTTTTCTATGCTAGTAATTCAGTTTGGCATTTAGAAGATTTCTTTGTATAAATGAAACTGTTGCCTCCTACAAATAAAGTATTTTCAAATTCTTAAATATTTTTAAATGTTCCAGGATCTGTAATTTAAATGTCAAAGGTTACCAGTGAATCGTAATTGTCTTTATACTTCCTTAATGAGTTGCTAAATACTCTTTAATCCTTAAAAAGAAAATAGAAACACCCATACTTTAAATCAGTTTTTAGGTCTGATATGCTTGCTACCTGTCAAATTTCTCTGATAGTTTTTTCCTTGTGTACCTCTGTTCATGACATTCCTCCTTAACTGGCATACCCTTTCAGTTCTTGGTTTGGCTCAATCTTTAAGATCCTGATGGAAACCCAGGCCAGTGTTTCTTAAAGTAGTTTCCATAAAACATTAGTTACATGATCTGTTACTAGATATCATGGGAAAAATGGGTTCCAAGGTCAAATAAGTTTGGAAAACTCAAATGACACATTTTAAGCAGACTTGCAGAAGTGTTTTTTAATTTCAAAGATCTCAAAGGCTTTAGTCTGCTGATATCCATTGTGACTCTTCAAGATGACAGTATAGTCTATAATTTTTCAAACTGCCCTGACCACAGACCCCTTTTCAAGGTATATTCTGTGGGATATATGATCCTGTATCTTTCAGCCTTTTAAAAATAGTTCATTAAAATAAATCACCATATCAGTGTTCTCTCCCATGCTTCTTAGGCTTCTTGAGGGAACATACATTCTCTTTGTGCTTCTTGGTCTGCTTTCACTCAATTCTTGATTTCTCCCACTTTATTTTGCTTCTTATGCCTACTGTTCTACCTCTGCCCTTCTTTCTCAGTATGAACTAGTTCCTGCTTTGCTGATGATGGAGATTAAAGCATAGTAAGGGACAGGGAGCAAATTAAAATTGGACTTCTGACATCTTAAAATTCTCCAGTCATTTCCTCCACAGGAGAAACACAGCCATATTTCTCCCTTAGGCTCATCCTGCTCCTGTGTTGCTTTGTGATATATTGATCTAGGCAGAATCTTCCCTGAGCCAGTAATACTATGAATAGATAGCATTATTCCGTAAAAAATAAGTATAGATACTTTCCAAACATTTTAAAACTCAATAAACAGTTTATGGGCTTACTGTTTTGAGTAGAGTAGGATATGCTGCAAGTTTTTGAAAATGGTAAATACGGCCTGGCGCAGTGGCTCACGCCTGTAATTCCAGCATTTTGAGAGGCCGAGGCGGGCAGATCATGAGGTCAGGAGTTCAAGACCAGCCTGACCAACATGGTGAAACCCCGTCTCCACTAAAAATACAAAAATTAGTTGGGTGTGGTGGCACACACCTGTAATCCCAGCTACTCAGGAGGCTGAGGCAGGAGAATCGCTTGAACCCAGGAGGCGGAGGTTGTGGTGAGCTGAGATCACGCCACTGCACTCCAGCCTGGGTGACAGAGCAAGACTCCATCTCAAAAAAAAAAAAAAAAAAAAAAAAAAAAAGAGCTAAAATGGTAAATACTCCCAGCTTCCGTTTAAGACAGCAATATGTCATATTTTCCAATTTTAATTGTCTTACTTAAGCTATGTCTTTAAAGTATTACATGCTTCTCCATGGAAAGGTATTTTGCTAAATATGGGGAATCAAGAATCTCAAGATGTGGCCTCTGTATTCATCTGTTTTCACACTGCTGATAAAGACATACCCAAGACTGGGTAATTTATAAAGAAAAAGAGGTTTAATGTACTCACAATTTCTCATGGCTGAGGAGGCCTCATGATCATGGTGGAAGGTGAAAGGCATGTTTTACATGGCAGCAGACGAGAGAAAATCAGAACCGAGTGGAAGGGGTTTCCCCTTATAAAACCATCAGGTCTCGTGAGACTTATTCACTACCACAAGAACAGTATGGGGGAAACCACCCCCATGATTCAATTATCTCCCACCAGGTCCCTCCGACAACACATGGGAATTATGGGAGCTACAATTCAAGATGAGATTTGGGTGGGGAAACAGCCAAACCGTATCAGCCCCTATGCCAAATAACATATTATTAGTAGAAGTTACTCAGAGAAATGCCGTATACTAATACGTGTTACAAGGTGAGTGTAGGTTGAGTATCCTTTATTCAAAATCCTTGAGACCAGAAGTGTTTTGGATTTGGGTTTTTTTTCCCCAGATTTTGGAATGTTTGCATTATACCAATTATGCATTCGAAATCCAAAAATCAGAAATGCCCTACTAAGCATCTCCTTTGGGCATCATGTTGGCACTTAAAAAGTTTCAGCTTTTGGAGAATTTTGGATATTCAGATTTGTGATGCCTAACCTGTAGTATGTAGAACAAGCAGTGGTTTTGGTATACAGAGAGAAGAGATACTCAGCTAGACCAAACTGCTCTGCAAAATTTTCAGAAATGTCTTAAAAGTTATTTAAAGTTACCAATTAGGGAAGGGAGGAGAGGACATCATCCTAGGCAAAGGAGAGAGCATGAGCTCAGTGGTACCCAGCAAGAAAAACACAGAATGTATTTACAGGGTGTGAGGTTGACAGTTCTGAAGGACATTTGGTAATTTGAAGAGATGTTAAATGTTACAGATAAAATACACATAGCTTAGTTAATATTCCTTCTGAAACTTTTTATACATACGCAAACCATATACAGCCATCTATATATATAGGTGTGTGTACTCTTTTTTTTGGATACAAATGGAATCAGTAGGGTGTTTATTTTTCAGTATATCATGGGCAGCTTTCCATGTTTCTACAATAATAACACTTCAGGTACTGCACTGTTTGGAATATAATCATAGATGATTTCATCAAATGAATGAAAACATTTAAACAAAACTTTACAAAAGACCCAGAAATACTAAAAGGGAAATGAATAGGGATACTAACATTCAGATAGATAATCTGGTTTATAAAATATCTTTACTTTCCTTCCCAGCAAGCCACCCTACCTTGTTTCCAAGTTATCTCAGTAGAGCCAGAAGGGCCAACTTTTACCTAACTCCTTGGGGAAATTTCAGGCACATCCACATTCTTCAAAATCCAGTCTATCCCTCCAAGTTCATTTTCCTGTCTGATGGCATCTTCCATAGATAACTTGTGTCAGAATGCTTATCCCCTCCCACAAGAGTGTGACCTTCCTTACCCATTGGCTTCTATAAGACAATTACAGTGGAATATCGTACACTGAGCCTGACGTCAGTGCAGGAGACAAGCTCGTACGGAGGGGAAGGAGGCACTCTTTCCATTCCCTGAGATTGACCTGTAGACCACTAAGGTTCGATTTGGCCCTGTAGTTCTGTTATTTTGTGAGTATAGTCATCCCTTGGTATCTGTGAAGAATAGGTTCCAGGACCTCCCTCATATACCAAAATCCAAGGATGTTCAAGTCTCTGATATAAAATGGTATCATATATGCGTATAACCTACACACTTCCTCCCTGTACTTTAAATCATCTCTAGATTACTTAAAATACCTAATACTATGTAAATGCTATATAAATAGCTATACTTTATTATTTAGGGAATAATAATGGGAAAAAAATCTGTACATGTTCAGTACAGATACAGTTATTTTCCTGACTATTTTCTGTCTGTGGTTGGTTGAATCCATGAATGCAGAACCCACAGACACGGAGGGCCAGCTGTACTTGCAGGGCTGTCATGTGAGTTAAAGCTGTGATTCATTCTATGCGGAACTAAGACCAATGACTGGAAGATGTAAGAAGATAGATGTTTACAATTTTAAAAACTCCATAGAGGTATAACAAAGAGGTGATCTAAGGTACTAATTCTTAAAGGTGACCCCCAAACTTTGCATGCTGCCCCAAATTTCTCTCCAGAATTGATATTGGTTAGGTAGAACTGACTAGAGGAAAGATTATTTTTAAACTGACTGGAAGAAAGGCTATTTAATTTAAGATGGCTTTAAATTTAATTTTTCCTTTCTAGCCTAACATGATCCACAAAGTAATACTTTGCTAGCTGGTTTTGTGTAGGGTAACTGTTTTTCAGAATAAGTTGCAAGGAATAGGGAAAAGTTGAACTGAAGATAACCTATATTATTTTATACTTAGATTTATATGGCTATTGAATAAAAGTAGCCTAAATTGATTTGAGTTGAAAGTATTGGCATTTTGAACGTTCTGTTGACCTCAGAATTTAAATATGTGAGTTAAAGTCTAATTCCAAAGGTTAGATTATAAATTAATAAAGAATATGATTTTTAAAAAAATAAAAAACAAGGCTGAGCACAGTGGCTCATGCCTGTAATCCCAGCACTTTGGGAGGCAAGGCAGGAGGAACACTTGAGCCCAGATACCCAAGACCAGCCTGGATAATATGGCAAAACCCCATCTCTACAAAAAATAAAAAATTAGCCAGGCATAGGGGCATGTGCCTATAGTCCCAGCTACTCAGGAGGCTAAGGTGGGAGGATCACTTTGAGCTTGGGAGGTCAAGGCTGCAGTGAGCTGTGATCACAGTACACTCCAGCTTGGGTGACAGAGTGATACCCTCTCTCAAAAAATAAAATAACTGAGCATATTGGTTTTGTTTATAAAAACTAGCAACTTAGTGTCAAGTATGTGCCAGAAAGGGGTCTGAGAAGTACAGTTATAAATCCTACCCTTGAAGGAAGTGAGGAGATGAAATAGTAATGTGAGGTTTTTCCTCATAGGTTTTAAATGACATTTTCAAACAGTGACTTTTTTTAATTTTTATTTTTTAGAAACTGCTGTGTTACAGAAAAGCATGTGACTTTCAGAATAATCCCGAGTGAGGATGAGTCCAGATGTGCCTCTACTGAATGATTACAAGCAGGACTTCTTTCTGAAGCGCTTTCCACAGACTGTTCTTGGAGGCCCTCGATTCAAATTAGGCTATTGTGCCCCTCCTTACATATATGTTAATCAAATTATTCTTTTTCTAATGCCATGGGTTTGGGGTGGAGTCGGAACACTTTTATACCAGTTAGGCATCCTGAAAGACTATTATACAGCAGCACTTTCAGGTGGATTAATGCTTTTTACTGCATTTGTCATCCAGTTCACAAGTTTATACGCCAAAAACAAATCAACAACAGTAGAAAGAATACTAACCACGGATATCTTAGCAGAGGAGGATGAGCATGAATTTACCAGTTGTACTGGTGCTGAGACTGTCAAATTTCTCATTCCTGGCAAGAAATATGTAGCCAATACAGTTTTTCATTCTATTCTTGCTGGATTAGCGTGTGGTCTTGGAACATGGTATCTGCTCCCAAATAGAATAACCTTGCTGTATGGCAGTACAGGAGGCACTGCTCTACTATTCTTCTTTGGATGGATGACACTATGTATAGCAGAATATTCTTTAATTGTAAACACAGCTACAGAGACTGCGACTTTCCAAACACAGGATACTTATGAAATTATTCCTCTTATGAGACCTCTTTATATTTTTTTCTTTGTTTCTGTGGATCTGGCACACAGGTAAAAACCTACCAAATACTTTGTAACTAACTTTGTTTTTAAGTATACAGAGTAAGAGAGCTTTCCTTTTAGTGTTACAAAAAAATGAATCCATGGATTAAAAATCATCAAACCATTGGGTGACAGGTTATTTTGATAATTATTCTTTTAGGATTAATCTCTGTAAAACATACTAAAGCAATAGTTAAAACTTATTAAAGAGTTTTTTTAAAAAACCCTTTTTGAGATAAGGAACTTTTCAATTTTGTGTTTCACTTTAAATAAGGAGCTTTGAGTTTTTAAGATAGCCTGGCTAAAACCTGTGTAAGGAGATGGAACTTTCCTGTGGGGGGAAAGAAGAAATTAAAATTTATACATATAAATATTATATACAGATTGAATGAATTTAAGACAAATACAAAATTTATTTCTAATTTTATGATAGCAACAATAGTAGAAGTAATATTGATTTTTTAAAAACCAACTTGTTACAGAAGAAAAGTAGAAAATAGTTTTTTTAACAGACATAATTGTTCACAAAATTGTTTGATAACCCCTTTTACTTGCCTTTTCAAGTTTGACTTTTCTTTCTCCGTCTCCGTAGATTGCAGCTTTCTTTTCTTAGGTTAGTGTCCAGGTAGAAATGTTCAGCATGTTATGGACTGAATATTTGTGTCTCTCCAGAATTCATATATTACAGTCTTAAACCCCAATGTGATGGTATTTTGAGATGAGGCCTTTGGGAGGTAATTAGGTCATGAAGGTGGGTCCTTGGTATGATGGGACTAGTCCCCTTATGAGAAGAGGTACCAGAGAGCTTGATTTGTCCCTCTCTGTGCCATCTAAGGACACAGCAAAAATGTGGCCACCTGCAAGTCAAAGAAGAGAGCTCTCATCAAAACCTGACCATACTGGCAGCCTGATCATGGTCTTTCGGCCTTCAGAAGTGTGAGAAAGTAAATTGATGTTGTTTAAGCCACTCAGCTTATGGCATTTTTTTATGGCAGCCCATGCTGATTAAGATTTTGCTACCAAGAAGTGGGATGCCTTTGTACCAAATACCTAAAAATGTGGAAATGGCTTTGTAACTGTTGGTAATGGGTAGAGGCTGAAAGAGGTTTTTTTGTTTGTTTCTTTGTTTTGTTTTGTTTGAGATGGAGTCTTCACTCTCTTGCCCAGGCTGGAGTGCAGTGGCACAATCTTGGCCCACTGCAACGTCCGCCTCCTGGCTTCAAGTGATACTCCTCCCTGAGCCTCCTGAGTAGCTGGAATTACAGACATGCGCCACCATGCCCGGCTAATTTTTATATTTTTAATAGAGACAGGGTTTCGCCATGTTGGCCAGGCTGGTCCCAAAGTCCTGACCTCAAGTGATCCACCCGCCTCGGCCTCCCAAAGTTCTGGGATTACAGGCTTGAGCCATCACACCCAGCCAAGGGTTTTGATGTGCATGCTAGAAATATGGACATTAAGGGTGATTCTGATGAAGTCTGAAGTCCCCTGAACCCAGAGGAAAGGCAGTCCTTGTTACAAAGCGTCAAAGAACTTAGCTGAACTGTGTCCTAGTGTTTTGTGGAGCCATGAAGTTGGATACCTACGTAAGGAGAGTTCAAAGCAGTGTTGAAAGGAGCAGTTGGCTTCTCCTGTTTCTAGTAAAATGTGAAAGGAGAGAGATGGATTGAAGAAGGGATTGTTAAGCAAGAGAAGGAACCAGAACTTGAAGATTTGGAAAATTTTCAGCCTGGATTATCCATATTGTAAAACATGAGAAAGCATATTCTGAAGAGAACACCAAAAGTGTGGGGCTGGACTGTCCCTCAGTAAAGAGCTTTTGGCATTATGTGAGTAGAAACACTGCCAGTTTGAATTGAAGTGGTTGGAGACAGGAAGTAATGAAGGCCGACAGTTGAACTTCTTGGATTTGACAGGATGTAATGATAGAACTGTTCAGCTACAAAAGTGCAGTATTCTTCAAGAAAAGGGGAAAATTATGCCAAAGGTGATTTAAGGGTCTTGAGGGCTACCACCTGTTTCAACAAGTCAGCTAGCCTCTACCCAAAGCCTCGGGAGCAGAACTGAACTTCAGAGCCACAGAAGCAGGACCCTCACCTAGAGCACTGGCGGTGACCTGCCACCCCAGTGGCCTGGTGGGCAGAGTATGGAACCAAACAGAATTATTCTCAAGCTCTAAGATCTAATGGAATTTGCCTTGCTAGGTTTTGACTTCCTTGGGATCATCACCCTTTTTTTCCTGTTTCTCCTATTGGAGTGGGGATGTCTCTTCTATACCTGCCCTACCCTTAGATTTTGGAAGCACGTAACTCATCTGGTTTCACAGATTCACAGCTGGAGAGGAATTTTGCCTCAGGATGGATTGTACCTAGGTCTCATCCATATCTGATTTAGATGAGACTTTGAATTTTAGCCATCAGAGTTAATGCTAGAATGAGTGAAGACTTTGGGGGATATGGGGATGGAATGAATGTCTTTTGCATTTGAATTTGGAAAGGACATGAGTTTTGAGGGGCCAGGGATGGAATGTTATAGACTAATTGTGTTCCCTCAAAAATGTTTATGTTGAAGCCCTAACCCCCAATGTGTTGGTATTTGGAGATGGGCCTCTGGGAGGTAGTTTATGAAGGTGAGACCCTAGTCTGATAGGATTAGTGCCCTTAGGAGAGATGCCAAAGAGCTTGATGTCTCTCTTTTTGCTACAAAAAGACACAGCAAAAAGGCAGCCATGTGTAAGCCAGGAAGAGAGTCTTCACCAGAACCTGACTATACTGGCAGCCTGATCTTGTACTTGTAGCCCCCAGAACTGTTAGAAAATAAATTTCTGTTGTTTAAGCCACTCAGTCTATGATATTTTGTTATGGCAGCCCAAGCTGATTAAGACAAGGCATTTTAAAATATTTAGTCAGTTTGGGCACTGAAACTGACCTGTCCTTGGGTGTCTGTTTGCAATTTCTTAACTTTTAGTCTCTTCTAGTTACACTACATTTATGAACCAGAGGACAATGTAATGCCCATGTAATTCTTCACCTAATCGAAAACGTAAGGGGAGGATTAATCAACAGGAAATCCATTTATAATTGGTTTTTTAATACCTCTACCATTTACTGACTATAAAATATATTCCAGTTAAATACTTGATTTTGAAAAGTTAGCATTAAAATTGAGTTTAAATGTGTGTATACACATGATTGCCTTTAAAATATTTAAATTTATAAGGTGGTTATTTTCAGAATACAAATTCTTGAGTTACTGTCTCCGTATCCCATTTCTGAGATCAGAAATTGAATGCCTGATGTAATCTTTGGATTCAAAGTGAATCCTAGGTTCTTTAATTTTAAAAAAGAATCTTTTAATTTGGTTTTCCCGACATTCTGCATTATTCATTTCTAAAAGTACATAAAAGGTTTTTTACTAAAATCTTGTTGGATTTAATATATAGTTTTAATGTTTAAGATTTGATAATTACAAAGAGTTTTTTGTTTTTGTTTATCTGTAACTAAAAAGACAAAGCCAGTCCCCACATCTATTTTTAAAGAAGAAAATGACTAGTTTATCCAGAAAAATCACCTCCAGTTTCACTTTTGATTAAGAAAATAATAGAATTGAGATCATCTCTAGACAATAGGTGTGATACTGCTGCCAAATGATGTATGAAATGCATGGACTCTTCAAATTTGGACAGTTGTCAGATAAATTGTTTCTTAATTTTATTTCAGAAGATATGAAAGGGAGCAGAAGAGGCGAACCCCGCAGTGTAGTAATATTTTCCTTCCCCATTCTTTACCTAGTACAGTTGTATAATAATACTTTTAAATGACTTCTTCTGTGCATTTTAATTTTTATCAAAGACAGACATTAAATCTACAATGCTTAGCTCAGACACTCAGGAATTGTTTGAATGAATGATACACATTTATATCATCTTAGCCACTGTAGAAAAAATCTTTTTTCTTGGCATGTGGATCTTAGTGAGTGTGCAAAATTTGAAACATTTTTATAGCTGTTAGGTTCCAAACTAAGTTTTCATCTTAAAAACTGAGATTTTTTTTTACCTTAGAAAATTTCTATTACATTATCATAAGTATTAGAATTTAAATTATCAGAAGTATTATAATTTAAGTGTTTTTCCATATTAAAGAATTAACCACAATAATGATCCATTTGGAGCTAAGTCCTATATACAGGAGAATAATCACAATGTTTGATTACTTCAATTATGTTATCCTTGTATACGAATACTTTACTTTGCCATTGCTTATTGTTAAAGGACCAAAAGAGATTTAGGGGTAGAATCTAGTTTTGATAAAAGATTTTATGAGCATACATTATTTTTACACAAATTATCCTATCCTTGATAGAGGAGTGTTGTCTTGGGGGAAAAAAAAGTGTACCAATCTACATGTTTTCCTTGACCTTCCTGCGGCTTACTATTTATGTGTGGTTTGATTTTCTTGATTTTCTGTTACTTGAATGGTTTCTACTCAGAATGAAATGAATTTTATTTTAACAAAGTATTGTCCTCTAATTTAACATCACATTGTTAATGTTTTGCTCATTAATTCTCTGCTCATAAAAATTTGGTCCAGGCGCGGTGGCTCACGCCTGTAATCCCAGCACTTTGGGAGGCCGAGGCAGGCGGATAACGAGGTCAAGACATCGAGACCATCCTGGCCAACATGGTGAAACCCTGTCTCTACTAAAAATACAAAAATTAGCTGGGCGTGGTGGCGTGTGCCTGTAGTCCCAGCTACTGGGGGGCTGAGGCAGGAGAATCGCTTGAACCCGGGAGGCAGACGTTGCAGTGAGCCGAGATTGCGCCACTGCACTCCATCCTGGGGACAGAGCGAGACTCCGTCTCAAAAACAAAACAAATTTGAAGGGCATACATTATGAGGCAGAGCACATTAGTTGGCATAGTCCTGACATCTATGTGAGCAAACATAAAATGGCGTTACTATATTATATCCATAATTGCTATACATTTGCTTTGGGGCTGTCAACATATTCTTAAGTGGATAATTATTTCAGAAATTGTCTTATTATTATTACTACTACTACTATTTTGAAACAGAGTTTCGCTCTTGTTGCCCAGGCTGGAGTGCAATCACGCAATCTCGGTTCACTGGAACCTCCGCCTCCCAGGTTCAAGCGATTCTCCTGCCTCAGCCTCCCTAGTAGCTGGGATTACAGGCACCCACCACCACACCCAGCTAATTTTTGTATTTTTAGTAGAGATGGGGTTTCACCATGTTGGCCAGGCTGGTCTCGAACTCCTGACCTCAGGTGATCTGCCCGCCTTGGCCTCCCAAAGTGCTGGGATTACAGGTGTGAGCCACTGCGCCCGGCCCCAGAAATGTCTTTCTCCTCAACTTGGATTTCCCGTAGTTTGGGTATTCAAGTACAATTATGCTATAAGTTTTGGGATTTAGTTGTCTCTTTTGAATGTTATCTTTGGTACCCCAGAAGTACTCTGACCTTATTGGTCTCTGGACACAGTGTTTACTAGCATTATTTTTAAAAATTTAGTAATATATTGATAATGTTTGTACTCTGTGCTTTAAAATTAAATTATTTGAAGCAGTTTGATGATGGTACATTTAACTGTTAAGTGCTGTGCCAAGTTTGAGTTTCTCCACTTAAGGTAGAAGTAGTCACTACTTTATGAGGAAATTGTAGTGTGCAAGTTTGTGTTCTCAGATTCATACCACTGCTTATACAAAATGGAAGTGTTGTAAATGCTAGTTAAGTTCTTAGGTTAAGCTGCAGAGATACAGTCATAACCTGAGTTGCGCATTTCTGATATTAACCGTTCTAATGTTAAATTCTGGGTCCTGGGAGCGGGACAGTACAAGACAAAGAGGAAGAGAAGAGCTTTCCCTCTTTCTTAGCTGCTAATGTATGAATGTGGGTAAGGCTTTGACTTTCCAAAGTTACTTGAAATTTTAAATTATAAAATTTTAAAACTCTGAAGAATCATTGGTAGAATTTCAGCCAATGTAGTAGTTTAGACATTTAGGGGAGAAATGTTTTTGCTCTGGCCTCAGTTGTTCAGTTTTACAAATTCCTGTATTCAATTTTCTTACTACTCAGTGATGGCTTTTAATTACTTCCTCCTCCTTTGCACATTTGAATTAACATATTCTCTAAATGCTAAGCTTGTACACAATTGTATAGGGGTAGTTGCTGATGTAGAAGGACACTTGTCACAATTTGTATGTATTGATCATTTGTAAGTTGGGACTAAGACTTTTCTGTGGTGTGTGTGTGTGGTTTTTTTTTGGAAGGGAGTGTGTTGTTATTCTGTGTTGCTTTGCTTTTTCTTAAAAGATCCTCTTCTATATATTTCGTGTGATTTAAATGTTCTTTTTTTTTATATAGGTTTGTGGTAAATATGCCAGCTCTAGAACACATGAATCAGATTTTACACATCTTGTTTGTATTTTTACCCTTTCTGTGGGCACTTGGGACTCTGCCCCCACCCGATGCACTTCTCTTATGGGCAATGGAGCAGGTTTTAGAGTTCGGCCTTGGAGGCTCATCTATGTCAACCCACTTACGGTATTTATTTTTAAATATTGATGTTATATGTAATATTCTTAAAGAACATTTTTCTTTTCAAGTAAATATTTTTTTCTTTTTTTTTTCTGTACAGGTTATTAGTAATGTTCATCATGTCTGCTGGAACAGCTATAGCATCATATTTCATTCCAAGCACTGTTGGTGTGGTTCTTTTCATGACTGGATTTGGTTTCTTGCTGAGTCTGAACTTAAGTGATATGGGTCACAAAATTGGAACCAAATCTAAGGATTTACCCAGTGGTCCGGAAAAACATTTTTCATGGAAGGAATGCCTTTTCTACATCATTATATTAGTCTTGGCTCTTTTAGAAACTAGCTTGCTTCATCACTTTGCTGGCTTCTCACAGATTTCTAAAAGCAATTCCCAGGCTATTGTGGGCTATGGTTTGATGATATTACTTATAATACTGTGGATACTTAGAGAAATTCAAAGCGTATATATCATTGGAATTTTCCGAAATCCCTTTTATCCGAAGGATGTGCAAACTGTGACTGTATTCTTTGAGAAGCAAACTAGGCTCATGAAGATTGGTATTGTCAGACGGATTTTGCTAACTTTAGGTAGGAAGATAAAGTCTATTAACCTTGTGTTACAAATCATATCCTGGAAGTATTCAAAAATATTACTCAATTCCCATATTTGTGTGGTATTATACCATATACAAGTGTTTGTTCTTTTATGTTATGGTTTTTTGTTTATTGGCTTTTTAGTTCATCGCTTAAATGTGCTCATAAAAAATGTGTATTTGCCAGAATAAAATATGGTAGAAGGAGCTATTTTGCCTTAATTAAATTTCTCTCTTTTTGTTTTGTTTTAGTATCACCTTTTGCCATGATAGCATTTCTTTCATTGGACAGTTCCTTACAAGGGCTCCACTCAGTGTCTGTCTGTATTGGATTCACAAGAGCCTTTAGAATGGTAATCCTAATATGTGTTTAATAGTATTTTCCTATTGCTAAGTTTTATTGTAATTTTGTTTAATAGTTTGCTTAGATTATCTAATTCTACCTGATAAAAATGGATAATTTGTATACTGCAGGTATGGCAGAATACAGAAAATGCTTTATTGGAGACAGTCATTGTATCAACAGTACACTTGATCTCCAGTACAGACATATGGTGGAACAGAAGCCTGGATACAGGACTCAGACTCTTACTGGTAAGTGTGTCTTTTAACAGCTTTACTGAAATATATTTTACATACTATAATATTTGTCCATTTAGTGGTGTATATTCAGTTTTGTAGTCATCACCACAATCTAATTTTAGAACATTTTCAACATCCCAAAAAGAAACCTCAACTGTTATTTCCCATTCCCCCTCTCCATCTCGCCTACTACCCACTGTAGTCCCAGCAGCTACTAATCTACTTTCTGTCTTTATGGATTTGCATATTTTAGATACTTCACATGAATGGAATTCTGCAGCATGTGATCTTTTGCATCTGGCTTCTTTCACTTTTATGTTTTCAAGGTTCATTCATGTTATAGCATGTATCAGTACAGTCATGCACTGCATAAGGACGTTTCAGTCAATGACAGACCACATATACAACGGTGGTTTCATAAGATTATTATGGAGATGAAAAATTCCTATCAGCTAGTGGTATAGCCCTTGTAGGGTAGCTCATTACTCACGTGTTTGTGGTGATGTTGGTGTAAACAAACCTACTGGGCTGCCAGTCATATAGAAGTATAGCATATACAATTGTGTACAGTATGCAGTACTTGACAATAAGCAACTACTGGTTTATGTACTTACTGTGCTTTTTATTATTTTAGAGTATATTCCTACATATTAAAAAAAAAGTTGACTGTAAAACAGCCTCAGGCAGGTCCTTCAGGAGGTATTCCAGAAGAAGGCATTGTTATCATAGGAGATGACAACTCCATGTATGTTATTGCCCCTGAAGACTTTCCAGTGGAACAAGATGTGAAGGTGGAAGACAGTAATACTAATGATCTGACCTTCTGTAGGCCTAGACTGATACGTGTTTTTGTATCTTCATTTTTGACAAAAAAGTTTTAAAAGTTAAAAATTTTTAAATAGAAAAAAACTTATAGAATAGGGATATAAAGAAAAAATGTTGAGCAGCTGTACAATGTGTTTTAAGCTAAGTGTCATTACAAAACAGTCAAAAAGTAAAAAAGAAAGTATAAAATAAAAAAGTTATAGTAAGCTGAAGTTAATTTATTACTGAAGAATGAAAAATATTTTAAAAATAAATTTAGAGTAACCTAAGAGTACAGTGTTTTAAAAATCTACAGTAGTGTATAGTAATGTCCTAGGACTTCACATTCATTCACCACTCACTCACTCACTTAGAGCAACTTCTAGTGCTGCAAGTCCCATTCATAGTAAGTGCTCTATTCAGGTATACCATTTTTTATCTTTTATAATGTATTTTTACTGTACAATTTCAATGTTTAGATACACAAATACTTAACATTGTGTTACAGATGCCTATGGTATTGAGTACTGTAACATTCAGTACAGGTTTGTAGCCTATGAGCAATAGGTTATAACATATAGCCTAGGTATGTAGTAGGCTATACCACCTAGGTTTGTGTATGTACGCTCTATAATATTCACTCAATGATGAGTCTCGTTATTAGTGAACATATGTTTTCATTTATCTTGGGTATACCTACCTAGGACTGGAATTTCTGGTTGTATATAGGAACTCCATGTTTAATACTTCAAGATACTGCAGAACACATTTCTTAGAACATATCCTTCTCTGGCCAGACACGGTGGATCACGCCTTTAATCCCAGCACTTTGGGAGGCTGAGGTGGGCGGAGGGGTGTGTTTATCTAGTTTTCTTTCCTTGTGATATCATTGCCTGGTCCCCTAAAATGAGTTAGGAAGTGTTCCATACTCTTCTATTTTCTGGTAGAAGTTGGTGAAGGATAGGTATTGATTATTCGTAAATGTTCTGTAGTATTCAATATGTATCTGAAATGTTTTGTGGTATGTAATATTTTGTAGTATTGAAGCCATCTGAGCCTCAGCTTCTCTCTGTGGGTAGTTTTTAAATTATTCAATCTCTTTACTTTTTGTAGGTTATTCAGATTTTTTATTTCTTCTTGAGCCAGTTTTAGTAATTTGTGTCTTTCTAGGAACTTGTCAATTTCTGCATTATCTAATTTGTGGCCTACAGTGGTTCAGCCTTAAAGCATAGTTAGTACACTGTCAGCTCTCTTTAGTGTTACTGTTTTTTTTTTTTAAGAACAAACTTTAAAATATAGTCTTGTTTATTAATTATGAGGTTGGAGAAAATTAACAAAAAAATCAAAGAATAAGATTTATTTCTTCAAAAATACTGGGGCAATAATAAAATTACTGTATAGTCTGTCTTATATGATCTTGAAAATTCATGAAAAATCTTCTAAGGATAAATAAAAATAATTTTTACATTTCTACAGGTTGGTATCATACGTGATCGTTTGATTCAGTTCATCTCTAAATTGCAGTTTGCCGTGACTGTGCTTTTGACATCATGGACAGAGAAAAAACAACGTCGAAAAACAACTGCCACTTTATGTATACTCAACATTGTCTTTTCTCCATTCGTGTTGGTCATCATAGTTTTTTCTACACTACTCTCTTCTCCCTTACTCCCTCTTTTCACCCTTCCTGTGTTCTTGGTGGGGTTTCCCCGACCTATTCAGAGTTGGCCAGGAGCAGCAGGCACCACAGCCTGTGTGTGTGCAGATACAGTGTACTACTACCAAATGGTGCCCAGGTTGACTGCTGTACTGCAGACTGCAATGGCAGCTGGAAGTTTAGGTAAGTAAATGGGTTGTGCTCAAGAATTTCTCACTAATGTATTTAAAGTACAAAAAAATAACAAACAGGAAAACAATCTTTTTATCCAACCATAAGATAGCATAACAACCATAACAATTTGATGTGTAGGCAGAAAGACTAAATATGAAATTAGAAGTTTATCTCCTGCTCCTTGTTTTCATCTAAATTAAGTTACAAAATAAAAATACTCAGGGAAATTTTTATTAAGGTGATTTTATAATTTTTTAAATACATTTTCTTGAATAAATTCAGATTACAATGCACCATCGAAACATGGAAACACCTTTCCCCGAAGATTTTCATGAATTTATAATGAGTTCATGTCAAGTAAATGCAGTAGCATACGTTCATAAAGTTTAGTGAAAACTAGCTTTACATAATATCAGCTTGAGGAGCAGATGGAGTTTTGTTCATGCTTTATGAGTTACAGAGACTTAAGCAGTCTGGACAAGATAACATAAAAACTTCGGTCAGTGATCAGTAGGTACGGTAGCCTCCCAAAATGAAATGCTATTCAGTTACTAGCAAGATAATAGGTTTTTGATGACAGTAAACTAATGTTATGAGTTTTAATGCTTTTGTCAAACACTAACTGTAAATTTTAACTGTATTGTACTTCTCAAGGTTGGTTTTAGATAAGGTATAATTTGATGACACTAGTGTGTCATCTCCTGCCATGTGCTTTAACCCCTGAAACTTGTTTTTAAAATGACAGATAACTTTCTGACAAACTCATTCTAGGCAGAGTAACAATTTAAGATTAGAATTTTAATAAAATGCTTACTTCAGGTTGAACTTTTCTAATTATTATGTGAGATGATTTATGAGAAAAAAATATTTTATCTTTGTACTACAGATGTTTTGTGAATAGTCATTTGTCTTATAGAAAATAGTCTATACTTACAATACTTTTATCCAGTGTTAATTAATTTTCATTATGTAATGCTGTTTTATTTTTTAAAACACCTGTGGGGTTAAACTCCCATCAGAAATAGTAATTAGATAAAAATTATACTTTATTATCAAACCAATTATACTCAACCAAGAATTGCGTTATAAAGTATTTTCTGGTGGGGAAAAAAGCAATGAAATAATATTTCACATACATCAGAGTGGCAAAAATGTAAACAATTTGACACTACCAAGTATTGGCTAGGGCATGGGGAACAAGAACTTTCAGACCTTTCTGGAAGGAAATGTAAATTTGTACAACCACTTTGAAGAGTTAAATGGTAGTCTGTAATAAAGATGTATATATCCCGTGGCTCAGGGATTCCAGTTTTAGATTCCATGATTTAGTGATTCCAGTTCTAGAGAAATTCTAGTACATGTGTTTTGGGGGGTCCTCAAGACTACCCCAGGTTTGATGGTTCACTAGGAGGACTGACAGCTAAGATTTATTACACCAAAAGGATGCAGAGCAAAATCAGCAAAGGGAAAAATCATAAGGAGTAAAAGAGACCAGGTGCAAGTCTCCAGGAGTTGCACAGAGTTGCACAGAATGTGCTTAATGCCCTGGCAACAAGTTGTGATGTGTGATATGTTGACTGCCAGAGAAACTCATTTGAGACTCAATGCCCAGGGCTTTTACTGCAGGCTGGTCATGCAGGCGCTGTCTGCCTAGGACATACCAATACTCCAGAATCCCAAAAGGAGAGCAGATGTTCAGTATATACTATATTGTTTGTACAGTTAGACACAATACGAGAGTCTTATCAGGTAGGGGGTTCCCAGATGCCAGGCAAGGACCAACCATATAAGCAGACCTTTTGAAGGATAGTAGTTGGTTCTGGTATGTTAACACTGTTCTGAACCACATATTGTACAAGCCGACTTGCACAAAGATAATTTCTGCAACATTATTTACAATAGTGAAAAGTTGGAAACATCTGAAAAGTTTATCAATAAGGAAATGAATACTCAAATTCAGTTAAATTGATACAATGTATTTTCGACAGCAGTTATAAATTTTAGCTGTTTGCCATAGATGTGGGCAAATCTCATTAATAAAAGTATTTAGAGAAAAACTAAATTTAAAAAGTATTTGTATGGTATGTAGCATTTTATGTACATTTTTAAACCACAAAACACTTTTTATATGTTTATATCCATGTATAAAAATGTCAAAAATATTTTAAGTCATGACTGTCAAGCTGCCTTTTATAAACTCAATACTTTTCCTAATATAATTAACATGTATTTAAGATTGTATACAACAACTTCTAATTTGTTTTTCTGGAAAATCCTTGAGTTTTTATGTAGTATCACCTGTAGATTATCTGTTCCAACTGCTCTTGTAAAGAGTTAATTTAATGCCTCCTGATACACATGAATAGTTATTTCTGTTCTTGACCTAATGAGAGGGTAGGAGTCGTGAATCAGTTCTAGATGTCTTTTTAGTTTTGAAGATTCACATGGCAAAATAAAAGAAGTTTGAAAATGATTTTCTTTTTTTTTTTTTTTTTTTTCTAATTTGTTGTAGGTCTCCTCCTACCTGGATCTCATTACTTGGGCCGTTTTCAGGATCGTTTAATGTGGATAATGATTCTGGAATGTGGCTATACTTACTGCTCTATTAACATTAAGGTCAGTGTGCATATAAAACATCTGTAGTATTTTTATAGTTCATGTGTAAAATTTTACCTGTTATGTTCACATCAAACACTCAATTTGAAAGAAGAATATCTTTTCAATTACCTGTGAAAACACCTAGGGATTTTTAAAGTATATTTCAATAAGCACATGTTGATAGGTGGACTAATGTTAATTGTATAATAGAGCATGGTAGCAAAATATACCTGCTTCCTTTTCTTCCAGTCCTATTCTTGTTATCTCTGTCAAGTTGAGCATCTCAAAAGTGTGAATCAGTAATTTTTTTTTAACTCCTATATCATTTAAGCATTCTCAACTTAATAAAAACTGTCTTCTAATCCTACTGCCCCTACCTGCTATACCCTATTTGTCTCCTTCCTTGAAGAGCAAAATGGCCTTATTAGAGCTGTTTATAATTGTATCTCCAATTTAATTTCTTTCATTCTATCTTCAACTTACTCTAGGTTTTTGACCCTACTACTCCACCCAGCCTGCTCTTGTCAAGGTCTCTAGTGACTGGCACATTGCTAAGTCCAGTGATCAACTCTCAGAACCAGTCTTATTCGAACCATCAGCAGCATTTTACACAGCTATTCTCTTCTTTTCACTTGTTTCATGGGTTACTTCTCTACTTTGTGGTTCCTTCTCTTTTCTTTGACCTTTTAACACAAGGGTGTCCCAGAGCCTAGTAGTCCTTGCTGACAACTCTGTCCTTCTGGTTGTTCAGGCCAAAAATTCTAGAGTCATGTTTAACTCCTTTTTCACTTGTATACTCCCACGCCCAGTCCGACAAGAAATCCTATGGGCTCCACCTGTAAACCATATTCTGTATCCCATCTCTTTTTACCACCTTGGTCCCAGCCACCTTGATCCCTTACCTGGATAATTGAAATAGCCTCCTAATTGGTCATCCTGCTTCCACCTATGTGCCCCTACAGTATACTGTCAGCCAGAATGATCTTTAAAATCTAAGTCAAACCATGTCACTTCTGTAGTCAAAACCCTGCAGTGGATCTCTTCTTTCATTTAGAGTAAAAGCCAGGCTCTAAATGGCTAGGCTTCCTATTCCCTCTTTGGCCTTTATTGCTTTAACCCTCTCACTCTATTCCAGCCTCCTGGCTATTCCCTCTGCCTAAAACACTCTACTTGCATATAATCACCTAACTCCCTCCCTCACCACTTTCAGGTCTTTGCTCAAATGTCACCTCCTCAGTGAGATTTCCTATGGCCATCATATTTAAAATTACACTCCCACTCTTATCCCAGCACTCCCAACCCCCCCTTGCCTTGCTTTACTTTTTCCTTATTTTTATAGTACTTATACCTTCTCACAAACTATGTAATTTACTTATTAGTTTTACTGGTGATTACCCATGTCCCTCACTTTATAAGTAGTATCATAAGCACAGGGATCTCTTGTTTTTATTCAGGAATACATCCTAAGCCCCTGAAACAGTGCCTGGCACAGAATAGGCCTTTAACAAATGTTTTGTTTTGTTTTGTTTTATATAATGAATAGTAAGTGAATTTTTTGTACTAGCACAGATTGGATAAAATCGCTAGTGACTAAAAAGCTGTCTCTTTAGTCCAGTGGTTCTCAAAATGCAGTGCCCTGACTAGTATTAGTAATATTTCCTGAGAACTTGTTAGAAGTGGAAATTCTTGGGCCCTACCCTGAACCTACTAAGTTAGAAACTCTAGGGGTGGGATCAGCAACCTGTATTTCAAACAGCGCTCCGAGTGATGCTGACTCACCTACAGATTGAGAACCTCTGCTCTAGTCTAACCCATACCAGAAGACAAAAAATATTGAGGACATTTTGATTACTTAATTTTATTCTATTTAAAAATGATATGGTTTAATAATACCTAATAATGTTGATTGATCCTTTGTGCTCTGTGACATATGTGGTTTAAAAATATACTTTTTGGTGTTACTCTTTTTTTCTGTCTGTCTTTTTTTGACACAAGCTGGGTTAGGCCATGCCATCTATTAACAATTATATTAATACTTTAAAATTTACAAAACATGCAACCTTCACAACCATATACACTAGGATTATTTTCCTTTGAAACAGGAAAAAGGAATCTCAGAGAGGGTAGGTGACCTGCTCAAGTTCTTGCCAGCACCTGGTGGAGCTGTGACTGAAAAACAAGTTCTGAAGGCACTGACACCTTTGTAAAAATATATAAATAAGCAATATTTAAATAAGCAGTAGCAATTATAATAGTAAATAGTGACCTGATACCTCCTTTTCAAGTGATTCCTTCTAAGGAGGTAATCAAAAGGTGTTTAAAATTTATGTAAGGATATATTGATGATATTCACTCAGCATATATTTGTTGCATACCCACTGTGTACCAGATACTGGTTTAGGCACTACTGACATAGCAGTAACCAAAGTAATCAAAGAAGTAAATCTGCATTCTGATGTTATAAATCTGGAACAGGAGACTGATAAATTCTGGCACATCCATACACTGAATAATGCTATTAGTCTCATAAAGTGGGATGGAAAGCATATAATACTACTGTATATACTGTATAATTCTAATTTTGCTTTTTTTCTCCTCCAGGATTATAATTTAAAAGTTTTTATTGTGTGGCTCACTCTTAACTATCATTATAGTCTTTTAAAATTATATTCATACCTACTAAATTTGCTCAATTTCTAGTAGAATTTCCATAATATTTTAAAAAATAATAGTAGCATTATTTTTAATCTCTATCCAGAATCAAATGTGTTAAGTGCCATTAACTTTAAGTCAGGATGTTGCTCTTGAGTTAAAGAAATTGTTTTTGTCATTTTCCATATTTTTGTGATGAGAATCTATGGGCATTTACATGACTAGTTGCTGTATATTATGTAATAAATGATTATAAACTCAAGTACTTTTTATTTCTTCTTTAGGGGTTAGAATTGCAGGAAACATCCTGTCATACTGCAGAAGCTCGCAGAGTTGATGAAGTTTTTGAAGATGCTTTTGAGCAAGAATACACAAGAGTATGTTCCCTTAATGAACACTTTGGAAATGTCTTGACACCCTGTACTGTT
Source organism: Homo sapiens (assembly GCF_000001405.40). Classification (NCBI taxonomy): domain Eukaryota; kingdom Metazoa; phylum Chordata; class Mammalia; order Primates; family Hominidae; genus Homo; species Homo sapiens. The sequence goes on from NC_000014.9 coordinate 60,124,362, forward strand.
TTGCCTGTGAAATTGTATTCTGATGCCAGGAATGTTCTATCAGGCATAATTGATTCTCATGAAAACTTAAAAGAATTTAAAGGTGACCTCATTAAAGTACTTGTGTGGATACTTGTTCAATACTGCTCCAAAAGGCCTGGCATGAAAGAGAATGTTCACAACACTGAAAATAAAGGGAAAGCACCTCTAATGTTGCCTGCTTTGAACACTTTGCCACCTCCCAAATCCCCAGAAGACATAGACAGTTTAAATTCAGAAACTTTTAATGACTGGTCTGATGATAATATTTTTGATGATGAGCCAACTATCAAAAAAGTAATAGAAGAAAAACATCAGTTGAAAGATTTGCCAGGTACAAATTTGTTTATTCCAGGATCAGTAGAATCACAGAGGGTTGGTGATCATTCTACAGGCACTGTTCCTGAAAACGATCTTTACAAAGCAGTTCTATTAGGATACCCTGCTGTTGACAAAGGAAAACAAGAGGACATGCCATATATTCCTCTCATGGAGTTCAGTTGTTCACATTCTCACTTAGTATGCTTACCCGCAGAGTGGAGGACTAGCTGTATGCCCAGTTCCAAAATGAAGGAGATGAGCTCGTTATTTCCAGAAGACTGGTACCAATTTGTTCTAAGGCAGTTGGAATGTTATCATTCAGAAGAGAAGGCCTCAAATGTACTGGAAGAAATTGCCAAGGACAAAGTTTTAAAAGACTTTTATGTTCATACAGTAATGACTTGTTATTTTAGTTTATTTGGAATAGACAATATGGCTCCTAGTCCTGGTCATATATTGAGAGTTTACGGTGGTGTTTTGCCTTGGTCTGTTGCTTTGGACTGGCTCACAGAAAAGCCAGAACTGTTTCAACTAGCACTGAAAGCATTCAGGTAATCCATTTTGATCATATGTAAGTTATAACATTGTTGGAAAAATACTGATTTTTCTAAATCACGTACAAGAAGACAGTTATTCGTTTCTAGTTTTTTAAAATTTACTTTCTTCAAAATGAAAAAAATGTTTCATGTGTAGTGTGATTGTATCAAGGGTACACTTTAATTTGTGCTTCCTTTGGTTTTGTTTATATGGAAAACCTGGTTTTTTTATGGCTTTCTGATTTCTTCACCTTAACTGCATCATTTCTTCCTCCACTTTTTATCTGAAATAGATATGATTTCAGTTCAATGTCTTAAAATATTGGTTTAACAAAATCTATTTGATCTTTAAAGTTGACAGCAAATATTCTAAAATTCTTCGGTTCTCCATTTTTTTTAGGTATACTCTGAAACTAATGATTGATAAAGCAAGTTTAGGTCCAATAGAAGACTTTAGAGAACTGATTAAGTACCTTGAAGAATATGAACGTGACTGGTACATTGGTTTGGTATCTGATGAAAAGTGGAAGGAAGCAATTTTACAAGAAAAGCCATACTTGTTTTCTCTGGGGTATGATTCTAATATGGTAAGGTTAAAAAATTTTTAAACTTACATATACTAACCTTAAAGAATGGATATAAGTTATAAAGTATTTGAACTAAGTGATAAATGATATAACGTTATAGCTGTGATATATTAATTATAGTTTTAAGGCATTTGTAATCATGACTTTTTGGCTAAGCTAGATGAACTCTAGAATAGCTGATTTCTCTACTTTTGCCAACTGAAGAGGAGCCAATTAAAAATGTTGTGTAGCCATAGTGCAATGCCTGACCTATAAGAGAGCTAAGTATGTGTAGTATGCTATAACATATTTGATTAAATGGATTGTATTCCTGTGTTCAAGTGTATGAATCATCACTTGGATTTGACTCCTAGAAAAATTTATCTGTAAGTGGCAAAGTATTTTGCTGACATTTATACTGTATTGAAGCAAACCTAACCTGTGAAAATCCAGAGACTTAAAATAGGGGATGACTCTTTAAGATTTAGTACTTGTTCTTATTGCATTTAAAATGTTGTCAAGTGTACACAACATGAAAGATTCAATGTTATGAGCTTATCATGGTTTTGTCTGTCTGGCATTATGGTTTGAGGAGCTCTGCAAATGCACTCCCTAGTGAAACTGATGAAAATTCTTTTTTTTAAGTAACCATTTAAAGTCTTAGAAAGTCTCCTAAGGGCATACAGCAAATGAACACACATTTATTCAAAGAAATCTGCTAAAACCCAGTGAGAATAGCAAGAGACTGCAGTATTTGAACCAAGACCTACCCTACCTGAACCTCAGCAAGATGGAATCTCCCCTCAGACTGGTACAACCCAGAACGTAGGCTCTCTTCTCTGTCAGCTCCCAGTTGGAGGACTGTTTCCTAGGAAGGGCAGGAGTTCAACGTTTTTAATCCTGTCCCAGCTATGTGTTGCTGAGGCTGGATTCCAGGCATGTGATGTCCAAGTAAAGATTCCCTTCTGGCCAACCGCACTTACGGGATGGAGACTTTATCTTGGGTGTGATGCCACTGAAAATACTGGGGCCTTGATCACTCTTGCCCACTCATAATGTGGAGGTCTTATGCTGGGAGAGGCAAGCTAGAGAGACCTGAGGCTACTCCTTCCCTCCACCAAATGCTTATCTCCTAAAGCAGAAGTGTCGCTCAAGAGAGAAGCATGCTATCGCCCAGAACTCTGGCTCAGAGATTTTGCCCAGTGGGAGAAGCAAATTATTATTAACAACAACAAAAGCTCTGAATCTCTTCTTCCCAGAGGAACTGATTTATCTGCAACGGAGTGTAGACACATTAAAGCCCAAAATGTTCTTGAAAACAATGGAGGACTTGCTGTTTTATGATAGTGTCAAAAAAAGAAAACAACATAAATGGTGGAGGTTGTGGTGCAAACTAATGTTTAGGAGACTGGTAGGTTCATTAAGCTAAACTGTAAACTGGCTAGATTTTTTTCAGGGGAAGAAAGAGCAAAGAGCCTTCCTGGGATCAGAACAAATCTCAAACACATCAAAAGCTATTCCTTTCAAGGAGTTCATGTTTAATTGGATCAGTCTGTGGAGCAATTTATGCCCCAGGTCTCTGTTGAAAACATAGAGTAACCAGCTGGCAATCAGTGGAGCTTAATAGCTGGGTATGAACACTTAACAGACAAGATAGCCGTGCCAAAACCATCCCAAGGTAGCTGTGTGCATTCACAGTTTGGCTGTACTCTATGAGAGGTCATATCTGAGACTTCAAACTGGGCAGGGTATGGTAGGGAGCAGACAGATACTGACTTCACTACAATAAGCCAGCCAATCACTAAACAAACAAGTACATAATAATAACAAGCCCTGGAGTTAGGAATGAAGAGGACCAGCACCCAGAATTTCTACAGTGTTACCTGGAATATCCAATTTTCAACAAAAAGTTGAGATATGCAAAGAAATGGGAAAGTCTAACCCATATATCGGGGGAAAAAAGCAGACAACCAGGCTTGCCTGTAAGAGGGAACAGATGTCAGATTTAATAAAAGATTTCATAGTAGTCATTATAAATATGTTCATAGAACCAAAGGAAATCATGGTTGAAGAAATAAAGGACAGTATGGTGACAATCACATCAAATAGAGAATGTATGTAGAGATAGAAATTATAAAAAAGAACCAAATGAAAAATTCCACTAGAGGGGCTCAACAGTAGATTTAAACTGGCAGAAGAAAGAATTAGTGAACTTGAAGATTCTAGATCAATAGAGATTATGCAATCCAAAGAAGAGAAAAGAATGAATAAAAAGGAAGAGAGCTTCAGAGAAACGTGGAACACCATTAACTGCTCCAACATACACTTAGTATCGGAAGGAGAGGAGAGAGAGAGAAGGGAGAAAAAAAATTATTTGTTGAAATAATGGCTGAAACTTCTTAAATTTATTGTAAAACATTAATCCACACATCCGGGAACTTCAGTGAACTTTAGAATAAATGCAAAGAGATCCGCAGGCAAATACATCATAGTAAAAATGTGGAAATCCAAAGACCAGGAGAAAACCTTGAAAGCACCAAGTAAAAACTACTTGTACATTTTAAGGAAAGTCATATAAAATTCTGATTTGTCATCAGAAGCAATGGAGGCCAGAAGCATGGAATGACATATTCAAAGTGCCCCCTAAAGAAAACCCCAAAACAGAAAGGTTAACCAAGGACCCTATATCTAGCAAAGTGATCTTTCAAAAATGAAAGCAAAATAAAGAAATTCCCAGATAAACAAAAACAGAATTTGTTGCTACCAGACCCACCTTACAAGAAATACTAGAGTTCTTCAGGCTGAAAGTAAGTGACCACAGACAATAATTCAAATTCACACACAAAAACAAAGAGCACCAATAAAGGTAACTGTGTAATTATAAAAAACAATAAAAAGGCATATTTCTTCTCTTAACTCATTTGAAAAGCAATTCTATAAAACAATATGTATTCATGTATTGTTGGGTCTATAACATATAGGAATGTAATTTGCTAATAATTGCACAAAGGAAGGCAGTAGGGGCAAAGCTGTACTGGATAAAGGAAATGAATCCAGATAATTCATTTCTGGATTCTTGAATCTACAGGAAGAAAGAGAAATAGCATTTTTTTTTAAGGTTAACATAAGGCTGGGCGCAGTGGTTCACACCTGTAATCCCAGCACTTTGGGAGGCCGCGGCAGGCGGATCACCTGAAGTCAGGAGTTTGAGACCAGCCTGGCCAACATGGTGAAACCTTGTCTCTACTAAAACTACAAAAAAAATTAGCTGGGTGTGGTGGTGGGTGCCTGTAATCCCAGCTACTCGGGCGCCTGTAATCCCAGCTACTTGGGAGGTTGAGGCAGGAGAATCGCTTGAACCCAGAAGGTGGAGGTTGCAGTGAGCCGAGATTGCACCACTGCACTCCAGCCTGGGCAACAAGAGCGAGACTCCATCTCAAAAAAAAAAAAAGAAGGATAACATAACAAGGCTGGGCATGGTAACTTATGACTGTAATCCCAGCACTTTGGGAGGCCAAGGCAGGAGGATTGCTTTGAGACCAGGAGTTTGAGACCAGTCCGGGCAACATAGCAAGAGCCCATCTCTACAAAAAATAAAAATTAGCCAAGTGTGGTGGCGTGCATTTGTAGTCCTAGCTACCACTTTAGAGGCTGAGGTGGGAGGACTACTTGAGCCAGGTGTTCAGGTTATAGTGAGCTATGATTGCACCACTGCACTCCATCCTAGGTGATGGAGCAAGACCCTGTCTCTGAAAAATAATTAATATAACAAACACAATAAATGTATACTTGCTCCCTTTTCTCTCAGCTTCTCTTAAAGGCATAAAATTATATAAAGTGATAATTATAACTATGTACTGTTGGATTTGTAACGTTTATAATGTGATATGTATAACAGTGCCACAGAAGGGAAGAAAAGGAACTAGAACGTTGTAAGAGTAATATTTCTGCTTCACCACAATTAGTGTAAATCTGAGGCTGAATCTTGTAAGACAGAGATAGTAAGCTTTAGTCAACCATTGAGGAAATAACTGAGAAAAAAAGTGAAAACAATCATTAAAGAAATTTAAATGGCATATTACAAAATAGTCAATACGAGAGAAAGTCACGAAAGAGGGATAAAAGTCAAGAAAAAGGGATAAAAAAGATATGAGACAAAGAAAACAAAGGAAAATGACAGGCAAAATTCAGCTATTTCAGTAATAAAATTAATGGGAATGGATTAAATAATCCAAATGAAAGGCAGAGATTATCGGATTGGATTTAAGAAAATGCCTGTAATCCCAGCACTTTGGGAGGCCAAGGCAGGTGAATCACTTGAGTCCAGGAGTTCAAGACTAGCCTGGGCAACATAGTAAGACCTTGTCTCTTAAAAAAAATAAACAAAATTATCCATACATGGTGGTATGTTCCTGTAGTCCCAGCTACTCTGGAGGCTGAAGTGGGAAGATTGCTTGAGCACAGGAAGTGCTATGATATATAAAATATATAATATTTTATTAATATATAAATATGTAATATATAAAATAAAAGACACAAACCACATGATCATCTCGGTAGATATAAAAAAACTATTTAACAAAATCCCACACCCTTTCATAGTAAAAACAAAATAGGAAAGAAGGGAACTTCTTCAACCTGAACATCTATGAAAAACTCACAGTGAACATCATCATTATTGGTGAAGATTGGATGCTTACCCCTAAGATCAAGAAGACAAGAATGTCTACCCTTACCACTTCTATTAAACATTGTACTAGAACTTCTAGCCAGGTGGTATGGACTGAATGTTTATGTACGCCCCGAATTTATATGTTGAAGCCTAAAACAATATGTATTCATGTATTGTTGGGCCTATAACATATAGGAATGTAATTTGCTAATAATTGCACAAAGGAAGCCAGTAGAGGCAAAGCTGTACTGGATAAAGGAAATGAATCCAGATAATTCATTTCTGGATTCTTGAATCTACAGGAAGAAAGAGAAATAGCATTTTTTTTTTTTAAGGTTAACATAAGGCTGGGCGCAGTGGTTCACACCTGTAATCCCAGCACTTTGGGAGGCCGAGGCAGGCGGATCACCTGAAGTCAGGAGTTTGAGACCAGCCTGATGGTAGTAGGAGGTGGGGCCTTTGGGAGGTAATTAGGCTTAGATGAGATCGTGAGCATGGAGCCCCATGATGGGATTAGTGCCCTTATAGGAAGAGGAAGAGACACCCACAGCTTCCTGTCTTTCTGCTTAGAACAGAATAAGAAGATGGCTATCCATGAGCTAGGAGGATAGCCCTCATCAGAACCCAGCCATGAAACCACCCCGATCTTGGACCTCCCAGCCTCTAGAACTATGAGAAATAAATGTCTCTTCTTTAAGTCACCTAGTCTATGGTATTTAGTTATACCAGCCTGAGCTAAGACACCAGAGTAATTAGGCAAGAAAAAGAAAGAAAAGGCATTCAGATTAGGAAGAAGTAAAATTGTCTCTATTCACAGCTGACATGATCTTAATGTATAGAATATCTAAGGAATCAACTAAAAAGCTTAGAACTGATTAACAAATTCAGGATGGTTGCAAGATATAAGATCAACATACAAAAATCTGGTGAATTTCTACACACTAGCAATGAACAAACCAAAAATGAAGTTAAGGAAATCCCACTTAAAATAGCATCAAAAAGAATAAAATACTTAGGAAAAATTGAACAGTAGTAGTACAAAGCTTACACTCTGAAAACTACAAAACATTGTTAAAAGAGAAAACTATCTAAATAAATAAACATCCAGTGTTCATAAATCAAAATAATATTGTTAAGATGGCAATACTCTCCAAATATATCTACAGATTCAACACAGTCCTTTTCAGAATTCCAGTTGGCTTCTTTGTGGAAATTGACAAGTTGATTTTCTAAAATTTATATGGAATTTCAAGAGACCCTGAATAGCCAGAACAATCTTGAAAAAGAAAATTGGCCGACTCATACTTCCAAGTTTCAAAACTTACGTGAAACAATAATCAAAACAGTATGGTACTGGCATAATGATAGACATATAAATCAGTGGAATTGAATTGAGGATCCAGAAATAAACCCATGGGTCTTTAGCCAGCTAATTTTCAACAAGGATGCCAAGACCATTCACTGGGGAAATCATCTTCCGATAGCAACATTCAAAAGAATAATGTTGGATTACTAGTATAAGTTTCTAAGGGCTGCTGCAACAATTATTACCACAAACTGGGTGACTTTTTAAAAAATGGAAATTTATTCTCTCATAGTTCTAAAGGTTAGAAGGCTGAAGCCAAGGTGCCAGTAGAGCCACGCTTCCTCTAACGGCTCTAGGAAAGAATCTCTCCTGGCCTCTTCCAACTTCTGGTGGCCCTTAACATTCTTTGGCTATGGCTGAGTAACTCCAGTCTCTGTCTCCGTATTTACATGGCCTTATTCTCTATACTCTCATGTGTCAATTCTACCACTACTTTCTTTTATAAGGATGTCAGTCACTGGCTTTAGGACCCACCTAAATCCAGGATGATCTCATCTCTAAATCTTTAATTACATCTGCAAAGTACCCATTCCAAATAAGGTCACATTCACAGGTAACTTCAAATAGATGTTATTTAACCCACTACAGACCTTACTTTATATACGGTATTTTTAAAATAACTCAAAAATACATCAAAGACCTAAACATAAGAGCCATAAAAAACTTAGAAGGAAACATAAGGGTAAATCTTCATGACCTTAAACTTGGCAATAGATTCTTAGATATGACACCAAAAGCATGAGAAACAAAAGAAAAATAGATAAATATGACTTCATCAAAAGTAAAAACTTCTGTTCCTCAAAGGACACCATCAAAAAAGTAAAAAGACAACTCACAGAATGGGAAAAATATTTGCCCATATCTGATAAGGGACTGTTACTAGAATATATAAAAAAAAAACTTACAACTCTATAATAAAAAGATAAATAGATTTTAATGTGGACAAAGGATCTATATAGACATTTCTTTAAAGAGGATGTACAAGTTGCCAATAAGTACATGAGAAGTGCTCCGTATAATTAGTCATCAGGGAAGTGCAAATCAAAACTACAATAAAATAACACTTCACACACACAGGATGGCTAAAATCAAAAGGTCTGAAAATAAGTGTTAACAAGATGTGGAGAAATTGGAACCCTCTTCTGCTCTTGGGAATGTAAAATGGTACAGCCACTTTGGAAAACATTCTGGCAGTTTCTCAAATAGTTAAGCATAGAGTTGACATGTGACCTAGCAGTTCTATCCCTAAGTATGTATACCTAAGAGAAATAAAAACATAAATCCACATGAAACCTTGTACATGAATGTTTATAGCAACATTATTCTTAATTGCTGTAAGGTGGAAACAAACCAACTGTACATCAATTGCTGAAAACAAATTTTATTATATCCATATGATGGAATATTATTCTGCCATAAAAAGGAATACGGTACTGATACATGCTACAACATAGATGAACCTTGAAAATATGCTAAGTGAAAGAAATCGGTCACAAAAGACCACATATTATGTGATTCATTTCAAGTGAAATTTACAGAACAGGCCAGTCTATAAAGATAGAAAGTATGTTAGTGGTTGCTTAGGGAATGGTCAGTGAGGAGATAGGATGGTGATAACTAAAGAGTACAAGGATGCTTCTTGAGGTTATGATGTTTTAAAACTTAACTGTGGTGATGGTTGCACGTATCTGTGACTATAATAAAAGCCACTGAATTGCATATAGTAAGTAAATGTGAATTATATGGAATGTGAATTATATCTCAACAAAGCTGTTTCTTTAAAAAGAGCCTATTGTATCATTCACCACCAAATAGTATTTATGACTATGCATCGCTGAGGCAACAGATCAGAAAAGGCAGACAAAGAGAAGTGACTAAGATTTTGCCTAATGGTGATTGAGATGGCTGCCAGGAAACTTTTATTTAAAGAACCAAGGAAGTAGAGGTAATTCTTGATTCTGAATACAGGCAACTTGTGTACATTTTTAAACACTACTTTCTGTTTTTTGAACTTGGGAAAAGTTTGCCTAATTACAATGCAATTTTTCTCTAAGTTTATGAATAAAATATAAAGACCTAAATGGAATCTCTTTTCTTTTTCTCCTCCTCCTACCCTTTTTACTTTAAAGGGAATTTACACTGGGAGAGTGCTTAGCCTTCAAGAATTATTGATCCAAGTGGGAAAGTTAAATCCTGAAGCTGTTAGAGGTCAGTGGGCCAATCTTTCATGGGAATTACTTTATGCCACAAACGATGATGAAGAACGTTATAGTATACAAGCTCATCCACTACTTTTAAGAAATCTTACGGTACAAGCAGCAGAACCTCCCCTGGGATATCCGATTTATTCTTCAAAACCTCTCCACATACATTTGTATTAGAGCTCATTTTGACTGTAATGTCATCAAATGCAATGTTTTTATTTTTTCATCCTAAAAAAGTAACTGTGATTCTTGTAACTTGAGGACTTCTCCACACCCCCATTCAGATGCCTGAGAACAGCTAAGCTCCGTAAAGTTGGTTCTCTTAGCCATCTTAATGGTTCTAAAAAACAGCAAAAACATCTTTATGTCTAAGATAAAAGAACTATTTGGCCAATATTTGTGCCCTCTGGACTTTAGTAGGCTTTGGTAAATGTGAGAAAACTTTTGTAGAATTATCATATAATGAATTTTGTAATGCTTTCTTAAATGTGTTATAGGTGAATTGCCATACAAAGTTAACAGCTATGTAATTTTTACATACTTAAGAGATAAACATATCAGTGTTCTAAGTAGTGATAATGGATCCTGTTGAAGGTTAACATAATGTGTATATATTTGTTTGAAATATAATTTATAGTATTTTCAAATGTGCTGATTTATTTTGACATCTAATATCTGAATGTTTTTGTATCAAGTAGTTTGTTTTCATAGACTTCAATTCATAAACTTTAAAAAACTTTTAATAAAATATTTTCCTTCCTTTTCAAATATCCTTCTAATATATGTGAAAGGAGCGGGGTTCATCCCATTCATCATGTGAATATTCACAGGAAGAGCAATGTTAGGGTAATCTGCATATGACTACTAAAGCATATATCTGACTCATTATGTATTTCTTTCAACTGAATTTACTGCTTCTGAAAAATGATTTACCCAACAGGACTACCAGTTACTAGTGTCTTAAGGTATATGAACTAAAGTCAGAAGGAGATGGAAGAAAATTTTTATAATACGATCTGAATTTTATTTTCATTCTCTTCTTGCTTAGGAACGTTTTACAGATACATGTAAGGGGGATTAATAATGAATCCACATCAGTTGAGAGATCAGTTTCCTCTAATTCTTACTTAATTTCCAATGAAATCAGTAGGAGCCCCCTAGATTTATAATAATGTATTCTCCTTAGAAATCATTCAAATTATATGAAATGTACCAGTTAAGTTGTTATTAGTATTCCATTTATTTAGTATGTGGACGAGTTCACTCTAACAATGTTAAAGGATAAACTTTTTGGACCAATTTTCAGTTAATGAATTCAAGAGATTTGTATGTTATTCTTTTTTTGGAGGTAATATAGTACAGTTACTAAGATAGGATTTTGTATTACTCTGAGTTTACATCTCAGACTTATGATTTAATTTACATGATTGAGATTTGCTAGCTGTACACCTTTATATCTTTGTCATGTAGAAATATTTTCTCATGTCGTTAAAAGTACTTGTAATTATCAGCTTTTTTTTTTTTCCGAGATGGAATCTCGCTCTGTCACCCAGGCTGGGGTGCAGTGGCACGATCTCAGCTCACTGCAACCTCCGCCTTCTGGGTTCAAGCGATTCTCCTGGCTCAGCCTCCTGAGTAGCTGGGATTAAAGGCGCATGCCACCACGCCGGCTAATTTTTGTATTTTTAGTAGAGACAGAGTTTCACCATGTTGGCCAGGCTGGTCTCGAACTCTTGACCTCATGCTCCGCCCGCCTCAGCCTCCCAAAGTGCTGGGATTACAGGCGTGAGCCACCGTGCCCAGCCATAATTATCACTTTTAATGACAGCATAAAATTCCATTGATAGATATTATTTATTGGACTACTGTCCCCCAAATAATGTGAATTTTAAGTTGTTTAGAGATTTTCACTGTGATAATAATGTCAAGCTATGCCTTCGCTTAACCTTGCATCCTCCTCAAAGTGCTCCCATATCTCCATTTCATTCATAGCCAGGTTTTCTCTTTCATTTACTTGTCAAATCATTCCAATCTGGATCCCATCTCCATGACTCTCCCAAATTAAAAAAAAAAAAAGTTTTTATTAAGGTCACTATTGACCTTTTTATTGTCAAACCAGCTAGTAGTAATTGACACATTTGACCATTCCTTGAAGCAGCTTTTGTGTTTTCTTTTGAACTTTCCTGACACTACATTATCTTTGTTTTCTTCTTATCTTCCTAGCAACTCCTCAAACATCTTTGCTGCCTCTCCTCTTCTACCTGACCTCTAAATTTTAGAATTTCTCAACAATTGATTCTAGGCCCCCCTTTGTGTTTCTGCAATCACCATAGATAATCTCATCTACTTCAAGACTTGAAATATCATCAATAAATTGATGATGATCAAATATATGTACCTAACCCAACCTCTCTTCTTACACTGAACCTATATATATCACTTATTTGGTATCTTCACTTGGTATATTAAAAACTGACTGTTAGATTTTGAAGGGAAGGTGAGAGTTAAAGAAAGACACACAGAGGGCAGCTTGACAGCAAATGCAGACTTTATGTCTAGCATAAAACCTACAGAAGTGGGGGACCAGCTTAATGCCAGAGCCCACCGCTGCTTACAGGCTGGGCGTACTTATAGGCATGGGTGAGAGGGGTCTGGGCAGTATGGCTTGCTGCTCGGCAGGATATTGATAAGATGCTCCCATGATGAGGTGGTTCTGGCCCTTGTTGTGGTGGGATGTCATCATAGTATTCCTTGGAACTTTGCCCAGCAAGATATGATAGGGATATTTCTTAGGTTGGGCCTTTTTCCGCCTTGTGGTCAGGTGGTTAGGCAGCATGTTTCTCACTGCCCGAACCCCTGTGAAATGTTTTACTTTGATCAAGGTCTGCAAAATAGCGGGGAGCTTACAAAATGGTGCAGTTTGGACTAACACTAACGTTACTGAATTTTCCCTAAAACCTACTTTTCTACTTCTAACTTTTAGTGGTGCATTCATACCAACTATTTCAGAGAACTAGCAATGCCAGGCAAAATAGTATTTTAAAATCTGCTTAAAGGCATTAGAGAACCAAAAGACAGTGAAGAATAACATCACTAAGATCTAAGACAGAATGAAACTTAGAGACCTGAGCTCAGCATTTGGGCTGCTTTTCTTATAGGAGACATGCCAATTCAGGATAAGGTGGTTGAGAGTCTGAGACGCTAAGTAACACTTATAACAGCCTTGCTGCTGAGTTAGAGGGACAAAAACTGGAGACCAAGACTCTCCAAGGAAGTAGGGGAGGGGAAAGGAATCCTAGTTAACTGACCATACATTGGGTTGTGACCCCAAGGACCATATCCAAATTGTAAGGGTGAAGAAAAACCAGATGCAGTTAGGATCTTCTCACTTCCCAAAACTGGATTCAGGTGACCCTTTGCTGCAGCCGCTACCCAGAGCAAATGTAAATCCTCTCTGGACTGATCTTTTGAGTTATTTTTATAACTTTTCATGTTTAGTGTTGGAAAGTTATTTAAGGTATCTGAGGAAACAAGACAACATGATGAAAATCCGAAAGAAGCGACAGATGATGGGACAGAGCCACAGGGGACCCAGATAATGAGCTATACAACACAGGGTCTAAAATTACTATGTTTAGTGTGTTTAAAGATCTAAAACACAAGATTGAGAATTTCAGCAGAAAATCAGAAACTATATAGAAGAATCAATCAACAAGTCCCCAACTTAAAAGTACATTAATCAAGTTTAAGAATTCAGTGAATAGGCCGGGCGCGGTGGCTCACGCCTGTAATCCCAGCACTTTGGGAGGCTGAGGCGGGTGGATCATGAGGTCAGGAGATCGAGACCATCCTGGCTAACACAATGAAACCCCATCTGTAGTAAAAATAAAAAAAAAAATAACCGGGTGTGGTGGTGGGTGCCTGTAGTCCCAGCTACTCAGGAGGCTGAGGCAGGAGAATCACTTGAACCCGGGAGGCAGAGGTTTCAGTGAGCCAAGATCATGCCACTGCACTCCAGCCTGGGCGACAGAGCGAGACTCCATCTCAAAAAGAAAAAAAAAAAAAAAGGATTCAGTGAATAGATTTGATAGAAAGTGCATACAGTGAAGTAAGAATTAGTGAACTAGAAGTTATGTCAGAAGTAAATACCAGATGTGAAAAACTAAGAGACAAAAGAATAGAAAATATAGTAGAGAGTATAAGAGACATAGAGTTAACTTGAGAAGATCTAACATACACGTAACTGGATTTCCAGGAGAAGAGAGAATATGGCAGAAGCAACCTGTGAGGAGATAATGACTGAGAATTCTCCAAGTTTTTAAGACATGAAGACCTGCAAGATCAAAGCATGATAAATAAAAACAAAATTACAACTTAGCACATCCTAAGAAAAAATAAAACACAAAAAGAAAATCATTAAAGGAGCCAGACAATGATAAAAGACATTACTTTTAAAGGAGGCACAATTTTATTAAACTGACAGCTAACTTCTCAACAGAAAATATGGGAAGCAGAAATCAATGGCATGATATTTTCAGGTTACTGAAAGAAAATATCTGCAATTTTAGAATTCAATACCCAGCCTTTCCCCAAAAACAATTCTTAAGAATGAAGGCAAAGACACTTTCAAACGCAACAAATTTAATAGCAGATTGTCATTAAAGGTGATAGTAAAGGGTATTCTTCAGACAGAAGGAAAAAGATCCCAGAAAAAGGTTAGAGATAAAGGTAGGAATGAACAGTAATTTAAAAATATATATATACAGTTTAAGTGAATATTAACTATATAAAATAGTCTTCGAGGTTAAAATAAATAATGTTAAAATGTGACAATAATATACAAATTTGGTGCAGGAATTCTAAGGTCAGAATTATCAGAAAGAAGATTAAAGTATAAATAAGACTGCTGTGTCATCTATAGGGTAACCACTAAAAGAACAGCAAAAAGCAAAATAAAACAATCGTAGAACTACAAAGCTAATACAGGGCTAAAGTGGAATAATAAGGCAAAAAGGTAGAGAAAATATAGAACAAATAGGACAAATAGAAATCAAACAGTAGATTAGGAGGTTTAAATATCAGTTACAACATTCATATGAATAGACAGTGTACCAATTAAATGCAAAGATCATCAAAGTGAAAAGAAAGAAAACCCACAAAGTACCTTTATGCAAGAGATGTCTTAAGTATAGGAATACAAAGGTTTGAAGTAAACAAGAATGGAAAAATTATAATATGAAATACAAAAAACAAAAACGATAGGGCAGGGGACTATGGTGGCTATTGCAACATTATTCAATGTAGACCTTAAGGTGAAAAGTATTACAAAGAGAGACAATTTGTAATGATAAAAGATTTGATTCACCAGAAAGTTTCAACAGGTCTAATATTTTAATGATTTAACAATATAGCCTCAAATATATAAGCAGAAATGAACAGAACTAAAATGAGAAAAGACAAGTCTGCATTCCCAGATTTTAATATACTCAGTAACAGAACAGCAGCCATGCAAAAATACGTAAATATGTAAAGATTGGAATAATACTTTAAAACTTAACCTAATTGGCATATATGAAACAGAATACCCAACAACTGCAAAATACACATTATTTTCAAATGCAGATAGAATATTTATCAAAACTGACCATATTCCAAGTCATAGGAATGGAATATATTCTTTGGCCATGTATCATTCACTTAGAAATCAATAATAATTTCAAAAATAGAAAAATTCTATTAAGTTCATAAATTAAGAAATACACTTTTAAATAACTCATGGATCAGACAATAAATTACAATGAAAATTAGAATATATTTGAACTGAGTAGTGAAAGTGCTACATGTCAAAACTTATGGTAGACGCCTAAAGCCATGCTTAGAAGGAAATTTATAGTCTTAAACGCACATTAAAAAAAAAAGATTGAAAATGAACCTAGTAGTTAAAATATTCTAAGAATAGCAAATTAAACCTGAAGAAAATAAAGGAAATAATAAAGAACAAGAATTAATGGAGTAGAAAATGAAGATAAAGTGGATCAACTAAGCCAAAAGTTGATTCTTTGAAAAGATAATTGATAAGTGTCTGGTAGACTGAAAAAGGAAGAAACACAAACAACCAATATCAGGAATGAAAGGATATTACAAATCCTAGAGTCATCTGACAAAATATGTGCACAACTTCATGCCAATTAGTTGGAAATTTTAGATGAAGTGAATAAATTCTTTAAACTATGGAAGAGCCAAAATTGACAAATGAAAAAATAGAAAATTCGAGTAGTTCCCTATCTGCTAAAGAAGTGGAACCTATAGTTACTTTATTTGCTTTTCCATAGTGAAACAACAAGCCTAGATGGATTGATTCGTCAATGGAAAGACAATCTTAAATTCTTACAAAGAGCAGTAGAAATGCAGGAACCCTCCCCAACTCATTTTATGATGCCAGAAAACCTAGATACCAAAACCTGGCAAAAACTTTATGAGAAAGGGACCTATTTCATTCCCCCCAACATCAATGCAAAAATCCCAAACAAAATACTAGCAAACTAAACTACACACATACACACACACACACACACCCCTACACACACAGAATAATCACAATCAAGTTGGGTTTCTTCCTGAAAAAGTGAGGTTGGTGTGATAGTTGCAAATCAATCAATATGATTCAACACATTAACAGAATGAAAGGAGAAAAATAATATTTCAGTAGATCCAGAAAAAGTATTTGATAAACCAGTATCCACTCATAAAAAGTTTGCTTTTTAATATTCATCTTTATTTTTCTTATCTTGAGTATGCACATAAGATGTTCAGAGTCAGAGATAGATTTCTTATTACTCAGGGTAAACAAGTGCACCTGCCCACCTTTGCACTCGTCCATATCCCCCAGAGCAACCTGATAAGAAACTCATGGGATTTTGGCTATGTAAGTGGCCAAATACTGCATAGGCAAGGGACAGGGAAAATTAATTTTCCCTACTTATAAAGATGAAAGAGGCAGCCATCCTCTTCCCTTCCTGAAAGAGTCTGCTTTTACTCTATTCTTGTGGTAGACAAAGTCTCTCCAAAAGCCAGATAGCCAACCCCATGTGTCTCCAAGAGCTGTCTCCTACATCCCAGGGAATACCTAGGAAGATAGCATATTAGAAATGAGGAAAGGTCTCAGCACAATAACCTAAGTTCCCACCACAAGAAACAAGAAAAAGAATAGCAAAATAAGCCCAAAGCAGGCAAAAGAAAGGAAATAACCAAAAGCAGAAATCAATGAAACTGCAAATAGAAAAATACATAAACAAAAAACTGGTTCTTCAAAAAACAATCAAGAAAATCCATAAACCTGTAGAAAGACTGACAAAAAGAAAAAACACAAATCATTATTATCAAGAATGAAATGAAGAGTATCACTATAAATCAGGCAGTCATTAAAAAGATAATGAGGAAATACTGTAACTTTCGGCTTATACACATGACAACTTAGAAGAAATAATCTGATTCTTGAAAACCACAAACTATTAAAACTCAACCAAGATGAAATAATCTGAATATCCTATAACCATTAAAGAATTAAATTCATAATTTAAAATCTCCTGATAAAAGAAATCTCCAGACCCAGATGCCCTGGCTTCTTTGAGGTTCTTCCATGTTGTTTTATGTATCAATCATTCATTATTTTTTATCGCTGAGTAGTGCTGCATGGTATAGAATATAACAGTTTGTTTATACCATTCACCTGTTGATGGACATTTGTTGGTTCCAGTTTTGGGCTATTATGTAAAGCTGCTATGAGCATTCATTTACAAGTCTTTATGTGGACATAAGCTTTCATTTCTCTTGGGCAAATACCTAGGACTGGGATGGCTAAATCATATGATAAGTGTATATTTAAATTTTTAAGGAACTGCTAAAAGTCTTTTTCAAGTTAATTGTACCTTTTGACATTCCCGCCAGCAGTTTATGTGTACAAAATGTATAATTACATTTATGTAAAACTATAAAATGCAAACTAATCTATAATAATGCAAGCACATCATTGGTTGCCTGGAATGGGGTGGGCGAGGGGAAATGATTACAAAAGGGCAAAGGGAAACTTCTGGGGCTGATATATGTGTTTACTCTCTTGATTGTGGTTATGGTTCACAAGTGTAGCCATATGGCAAAACTTAACAAATTGTACACTTTAAATATATGCAGTTTATCATACATCAATTATACCTCAGTAAAGGTGTCAGAAATAACAGGATATTTATATTTAAATCTACCTTTGAATTACCGATTGTGACTGAGGTCTCATGTGGCTTACTGGTGAATCCAGTAGTTGAGGAAACGAAAGCCGTCACTTCTGCTAACTCTTTTACCAACTCACCTGCTGTCACCTTACACAACCCCAACTGTGTTTCAGCTTTGGAGTAATGAACACACCATTTTCTTCCTACTTAAAAGTCCACTCAGGATAATGATTAAGAAATACATTGATGCCGAGTAATAAATACTTTAAAAAAAGTTAAATGTGAACATTTGGCTTTCACAGCTCTTGACTGTCTTTGGCGAACCTTGACATAAAGCTGCCTTTTCCATCTTGGGCTGCTGACAAAAAAGCCTAAGAAAGAAAGAGGGTGTGTACAGAAAATTACATGCCATAGAAAAATACCATACACAGGCCGGGAGCGGTGGCACTTTGGGAGGCCAGGGCGGGTGGATCATTTGAGGTCAGGAGTTTGAGACCAGCCTGGCCAACATGGTGAAACCCCCGTCTCTACTAAAAATACAAAACTTAGCCGGGCATGGTGGTGCACACCTGTAGTCCCAGCTACTTGGGAGGTTGAGGCAGGAGGATCGCTTGAACCCAGGAGGCAGAGATTGCGGTGAACTGAGATAGTGCCACTGTACTCTAGCCTGGGCGACACAGTAAGACTCCATCTCCAAAAGAAAGAAAGAAAGAAAGAAAAAAATGCCATACAGATGAATCTTTAAAGATTTTAATTTATATATACCTCTTCTACCATTCATTGGCTGGAGTAGTTGAACAGACATCAGCAGGCACAATGCTAGGCAGGCACTGGAGATTCAGTGATGAATAAAACAAAACTGACCTGGAACCTGGCCTCCTGAAGCTTCTCTTCATCTGTCTAAATTCCTTTCTTTCAAGGCCCAGTGCAAGTGACACCTTCATCAGGAAGGGCTTCCACATGATTCTATCTGCAAATCTCCCTTTTCTGAACTATTATGCTTATAGTCTGTACCAGGCCACATGACATATGTTATTTTGTGGCATTCTAGAATTATTCCAATCTTTTCATTCTTATAATTGGTGTGTTGTATTCAATAAATAATGTTGTTATTCCAGTTTTCATCACTGGTCACGCAAGAGTCCTCTCTTTATTATATTTTATCCCCATAGTTCACCCCGTTTCCTCCCCATCCTAAGTAACTATTACCATACCTAAATATATATCTAATTAGGTTGTATGTTTTCTTGCAAAATGAGCACTATCTTCTGTGCACATATATTTGTGTATGTGAACAGTATTGTGTTAGCGTTGCTTCTTTATTTCTTCACTTATGACTATGCCTCTAGTACATATCCATGTTGTTATGTATGCATTTATTCCATTGCTTCTACCCGCTATACCTCATCGTGTACCTCTACCACATGTCATCTTCCCCCTTTTCCAAGGACAGCCACTTGGGTGGCTTCCAACTTGCCCAACAACTATTCTACAGTTATTTTATGTATGTTACTTTGGCTCCAGCTCAATTGTGAACTGCTTGTAGATAAGGACCATGTTTTTCTTTACCTGTTACTCCTGCTGATTTCCTATTAGTGCCTGTGCATGTTTTCTGCTGTAAGGTGTTAAATGTTAAAGTAAAATTAATAATAGTAGAAGTAAGGAGTTGCCAGTGGAATCTTCCTGAGCTGAATCTAATCATGGCTTTACCCCTTACTAGCTTTGTGACCTTGACCTTGGAAAAGTAAAACCTTGTTGGTCTTTCTTCATCTATCAAGGTAGGTAATACCATCTATCTTAGTGGGCTGTTATGAGGAATGAGTTAATTAACTAATACTAAGCACTCCAGTACAGTAGAAGACATACAACAGGTGTTTAATGAATAATAGGTGCAATGAATCCTACCTGCTGCTTCAAATTACAGCCATCTGTACCTGTCAACTTTTCTAAGAGTATAAGCATCTTGGAGGTAAGGTCATTTCAAATACTTCTTTATATCTGGTCATTACCCAGCACTCTGCTTTGTGTGAAATATTCTATACATTTATGTTGCTATGGTTTGGATGTTTTTGTCCCCTCCAAAATTCATGTCGAAACTTAATCCCCAAAGCAACAGTATTAAAGGATGTGGCCTTTAAGAGGTGACTGAGTAATGAATGAGATTAAATGCTCTTTTGAAAGCATTTTGCTCCTCTTTCCCTTCTGTCCCTTCCACCATGTGAGGACATACATTCCTCCACTGTGGAGGATGCAGCAATGAGGTGCCATCTTGGAAGCAGAGATCAGCCTTCACCAGACACTAATTCTGCTGGTGCATTGGTCTTGGAATTCCCAGCCTCAAGAGCCAGGAAAAACAGATTTCTGTTGTTTATAAATTACCAAATCTGTGGTATTTTGTTATAGCAGCACAAATGGACTAAGACAAATCTGTTAACTTAGATTTTAAGCATATGTGCTAAAGTATTTTAAAAGGTTATTTTATCCAAGAATATAGTATGAGTTAATACCTTTTTTGCAAGATTCATGGCAATCTTTTATTATTTATTTTTTATTTCATTCCATGTTGGAAGCAAAGTCATATCTATTAAAAAGTAAAATCACAAATTAGTCTTTGATTATTCAGAAGCATAAGAAGATTGCTGTTTTCATGTTTTCCATTTCTCCCTCCAGTGGCTTGAAAAGTACAGGTGCTCTTTTCAGTCATGTTTTGTCTTAAAGATTTTAAAATAAGAAGAGTCTGCATCCTGTAAAAGAGGGACAGAAACATGGATCAGTACCTACTCCTATTTACTCCAGTTTTTAACATTTAAGTCCTTCTGTTTTGAGGAGCTGTATCATTATGATTCACTATTAAGAATCTTTACAAAAGTTCAGAAACTGCTTAAATTAGAATTTAAAAATCATAGCCAAAATTCTAGATGTACACAAAAGTACTTCTAATGAGTTTAGCATCATCTCTGGTTTAGAGGAGGTATAAATAGCATTGGACTGCAATGCTAAATTCTCTATAATGACTTTTCTGGATCAGCATATCATACCTACACTGACTTGCCCTAATAAATAAAAACAATGAGTCAGATTATGTAGAATTGAGATATATGGAAGATAACTCTTTAAAATTATTTGTGGCCAGGCAGGCACTGTGGCTCATGCCTGTAATCCCAGCACTTTGGGAGGCCGAGGTGGGCAGATCACCTGAGGTCAGGAGTTAGAGACCAGCCTGGCAAAACCCCATCTCTACTAAAAATACAAAAATTAGCTGGGTGTGGTGGTGTGCACCTGTAATCCCAGCTACCCGGGAGGCTGAGGCAAGAGAATTGCTTGAATCCAGGAGGCGGAGGTTGCAGTGAGCTGAGACTGCGCCATTGCACTCCAGCCTGGCCAACAAGAGGGAAACTCTGTCTCAAAAAAAATAAAAAGAAAAAAAAATTATTTGTGAACTTTTTGTATATTGCTTAAGGAATAAAACAAGGCAACCTGATAATCCCCAAGATGTGATGTTTCTTTTCAGAAGATATGCATTTACCACTTTCAAAACTTTGCACTAAGAAAGACAAAATAATAATAATGATAATACAAAATTCAGTGTAGCCACTGTTCTTGATCCCTAAAAATAATAAAGATTCATAAAAACAAAGTTCCAGACATACAGACTAAAGAAGCAAATTCTAGTTAACAAGTACTATTAGCTTGAAATAAGCTATGCTAGCATTTTCTTAACTTAGACGCTTATCAATAAGAAAATTTATATATATACATATATATAAAATATAAAATAGTGGGAGAGAGGAAGAGTACAGACTATAAAGAATGAGGTATTATGTCCTAAAAATTGCTTTGAGAAATGACAGAATGCCCAGCTTATAATAAAGAGTGACAAAGTAGTAAGACTATATAATAAGCAATATTTCAAAGATGGTGGTAGGAAGAAAAAGGCTGTCATTTTTTTAGAAAAACCTAGATGTAAAAAAAA
The DNA here is from genome assembly GCF_000001405.40 of Homo sapiens. Classification (NCBI taxonomy): domain Eukaryota; kingdom Metazoa; phylum Chordata; class Mammalia; order Primates; family Hominidae; genus Homo; species Homo sapiens. The sequence continues at coordinate 60,146,243 of NC_000014.9, forward strand.
TGCGAGATTTGCTAAATGATGTTTATATTTTACAGTTAGATATTCTCTAAACAAAACAAAATATCCTTCATATGGACATTTCTGGAAGTACTACTACAGTGGGACTGAAATTCTCTAGTCCCTGGTCCCTCTTTCCCCTTTGAAAAAAAAATCACTTCTATAATATATTCTTTCTCTGCCCTATTATTTAAATTGAGAATGTGAACCAGTACAGACATTATGGAAAATACGGAAATTCCTCAAAAAATTAAAAATAGAATTACCATCTGATCCAGCAATTCCACTTAAGGGTATAAATCTAAAGGAAGTGAAATCAGTACCTTGAAGTGATACCTACACTCCCATGTTCATTTTAGCATTATTCATAATAGCCAAGATATGGAAACAACCTAAGTGTCCATTAGTGAATGAATGGATAAAGAAAATGTGTGTGTGTGTCTGTGTGTGTATATATATATATGGAATATTATTCCACAATGGAATATTTTTCAGCCATAAAACAATGGAACTCCTGGCATTTGTGAAAACATGGATAATGAATGGACGTTAATGCTAAGTGATATAAGCAAGATACAGAAAAACAAGTACTATGTGATTTCACTTCTGTGGAATCTAAAAAGTCATACTCAAAAGCAGAGTAGAATGATGGTTGCCAGGAGCCAGAAGATGGAGGAAATGGGGAGATCTTGGTCAAAAGGTACACATTTTGGCCAGGCACAGTGGCTCACACCTATGATCCCAACACTTTGGGAGGCCAAGGTAGGTGGATCGCCTGAGCCCAGGAGTTTGAGACTAGCCTGGGCAACGTGGCAAAAACCCGTCTCTACAAAAACTACAAAACCTAGCCAGGCATGGTGGTGTGCGCCTATAGTCTCAGCTACTCAGGAGGCTGGGGTGGGAGGATTGCTTGAGCCTGGGAGGTAGAGATGGGAGTGAGCCATGATCACGCCACTGCAGACTCCAGCCTGGGTGACAGGGCGAGACCCTGTCTCAAAGAAAAAAAATGGTAGATATTTTCAGTTATAAGATAAATAACTTATGTTATTATAATTTACAGATTCTAAGGATCTAATATACCGCATGGTGACTACAGTTAATAATACTGTATAGCATATTTGAAATTTGCTAAGAAGATTTTAAGTGTTCTCACCACACACAAAAAAAGGTAACTGGGTGACATGTATTAATTAGCTTGATTGTGGTAATCATTTTACAGTGTATATTAGATCATCACAATGTATACCTTAAATATATATAATTTTTATGTGTCAATTATAAAGAAAATCTTTGATCATTAAGGAAGCTGAATATCCTGCTATATCTAACTCAAGCTGAGAAGGGGGAAAAAGCACAATAGCTAACACTTAGAACACTCCAAGTTGTGTTTTAAGTGCTTTTCATATATTAAATTCATGTAATTCCCATAACAATCCTGTGACTGGGCACTATTATCATCATTAATCTCCATCTTATATTAATAGATGGGGAGACTGAGTGATAGAGAAGTAACTTGCTTTAAGGGCATGGGGCAGAGCTGGGATTTGAACCCAGGTAGCCTAGCACCAGGCTGCATGCTCTGCCAGGAGGCTGTGCTTCCTCTGTAGTAAGGTGGCCTGTCCCTCTCAACTCTTTCCATCACTGGGCACAAAGCTACTGCATCAGCTGTCCTCCATATTTAAAACTCAGGTATACTCTTTGATGAAACTCTACCTTTAGAGCTTCTACCCACACTACCAAGTCCCAACAATACCAAAACACTCATAAGGGATCTGGCCCAAAGCAAACTGTTCCACATTACTACTTGGTAGAAAACGAAAAGCTCCTTTTTGATTTTTCACACTCTGGACATTTTAGTGTGTCATGACCCAGTCTGATAACCTTTTATGTCTCTTAAGCATTTTGTTGTGTTTGTAACTTTTTACCCCCTAATTCATTTTCACTGTCCTGCAAAGAGTTGGAATAAATTAAATGTCTAACAATTAGTGGATTGCTTAAATTTTTGCAGGTATATATAGTATGATCTTGTTTTATAATTCTTTTTTTATCTGTCAATCCCCATTGATTAATTTCTAAAAGAAGGTGGTAACAAAGTATATCAAAGGCTAACAGTAAAAACCATCCTCAGCAATAATCTTTTGCTGCATAATCATCTATAATTTTTGGTTTACTTCATTACATTTCCTGTACTGTCTATAAATTAAATTCTTTTGAGGGTCACAATTTCTCAGAAATGGTTAATAGTATTCCCTGACTAATTGCTATAAAGAATGAGTGCTGAAAGAATGATAATCAGCATATTTCCTTAGACAGGGGAATAGGCACATCTTAGATGTGCTGAGTACTTCGGGAATGAGGTAAAACTGCATGCATCTGTTTTAACAACACAGTAAGTGCTTTGACAGGAAAGCATAGGGGCTGAGGTGCACTTGGTCCTGGGGAGAAGTGGGAGGGAAGGCCAGGTACCATTCCAAGGAGGTGACATGGGAGTTGAGACTGGTAGGATGGGTAGGAGTTGGTGGGGAGAAACAGTAGGGAAAGAGCATTTTGACACACACACTGGTCAAACAATATGTATAGAAGAAAAACATGGCAATCTTTGATTTGATTTTACCTTGTAAGAAACTTCTCTCTCCAAGACTAGTAATAATTTATAGTAAACCAAAATATATGCATGGGGATAAAATATTTTTTATTTATTTTTCTTTATATCATGAGATTGGTGGAGGGTTAGAAAGGTTTTTTGATTTTGAAATAGAGTCTCGCTCTATCACCCGGGCTGGAGTGCAGTGGCACCATCCTGGCTCACTGCAACCTCCGCCTCCTCGGTTCAAGCAATTCTCATGCCTCAGCCTCCCGAGTAGCTGGGATTACAGGCATGCACCACCATGCCCAGCTACTTTTTGTATTTTTAGTAGAGATGGGGTTTCACTATGTTGGCCAGGTTGGTCTTGAACTCCTGGCCTCAAGTGATCTGCCTTGGCCTCCCAAAGTGCTGGGATTACAGACATGAGCCACTGCACCCAGCCAGAAAGTTTTTTAAACACTGGAAAATTCTGTACCTTCCTGCAAGATTGGTACATACTATTAAGAAACTTAGAAATTGGTCTTACCACACCACTCTTAAAGTTCTCAATCCTTTTCTTCCCCATCTTGTTGGTTATCCACCAGGCCCAGGTTGGCATGTATTGCCACAAATATGTTACTAACAAGAAAGGTTGTTCTGAGATCCAAACTTCTTTCAAATCATTGGCCATGCTGATTAACATCAGCCGCACACAACGACTGGTTGTCATCTTGTGGGACTGGTCTCCATTATTGCCTATAGTCTAAGAAAAGTTAAAAATTAAGTGAATTTATCCAAGCGATTTCACATAACTTTAAGCTAGAAAGGACTCAAATGCCGTCTAGTTGAGTGGTTCCTTTAGTGGAGCTTCATGCCCCTTAGGAGTCTCCATAGGTACTAATGGGAGTTTATAAACTATTTGTAATATTTCAAAAAGCCTAACAGAAACCATATGCTTACTAGATAATATAGTGCAGGCTAACTAAAAGATGAAGATTCTTTGCTTTTAATTAGAATTGCATCACCCTAATGTGCTTAATGACAATTATCACTTTTGTAATAAAAATCAAACTATTAAGACAATGCATTTAGCAAATGAAATTCCATAAACAATTTTCATAATGGCAGGAGTTTTGTGAATAATTCACATAAAAGCACTTCTAAGGCAAAAACTATGATATACAGTGATACAACACCAATATATAATGCCAATATATAACTAGTAAACATTCAAATTATTCCCAACTAGAAATTTTTACCTTTGTGACTTCTCCAGCTAGGGAATTCTCCACAATATTTGATTGCACAGGTCCTGGGCAAATGTTAGAAACTATTATACCTGGGTATGTGGCAAGTTCTGTTCGAAGGCCATTAAAAAAACCCTAACAGACAAAAAAAAAAAAAAAGGAAAAAGGCAAATAAATACAGACACATATCTCATGATTTATCAAAATATGTTCTAAAATGTGTGAGTAAAGGACAGGTAGTGTAATCATGCAAGCTTATTAGGCACTTTTTTTTATTATTATATTTTAAGTTCTAGGGTACATGTGCACAACATGCAGGTTTGTTACATATGTATACATGTGCCACGTTGGTGTGCTGCACCCATTAACTGGTCATTTACATTAGGCATATCTCCTAATGCTATCCGTCCCCACTCCCCCCACCCCATGACAGGCCCCACTGTGTGATGTTCCCCTTCCTGTGTCCAAGTGTTCTCATTGTTCAATTCCCACCTATGAGTGAGAACATGCAGTGTTTGGTTTTTTGTCCTTGCAATAGTTTGCTGAGAATGATGGTTTCTAGGTTCATCCATGCCCCTACAAAGGACATGAACTCATCCTTTTTTATGGATGCATAGTATTCCATGGTGTATATGTGCCACATTTTCTTAATCCAGTCCATCATTGATGGACATTTGAGTTGGTTCCAAGTCTTTGCTATTGTGAATAGTGTATAAGGCACTTTTAACAGTAGACTGGAGGCAATCTAGAACAGACATTCTCAGCTCTTTCCAGGTATAAATGGTTCACCCCCTTTGATAGTGAGGGGTCTTCCCATCAATGATTTTTATGGTAGGCATGCACTGGATAGGTAAAAAGAACTATCCCTATAGATTCTGATATATGCTCTTCATACCAGTCCTCCTCTCCCCACTCCAAAAGGGGTATATGTCCTCCACTGAGAATCACTGAGGTCAGGTTTCTATTTATTCCCCAAAGTAGTCTAAAGTGCAAATTTTTGGGGCAAAGGTGAGGAAGATGGGATTAGTACTTCACAGAAAGTATCAGAAAGAATGAATTCAACTTTTTCCATTTATATTTCTATTTTAACAGTATTAATTCATTTTAGCAAACATTTATCTTTTTGGGTAATAAGAGGGTATGTGGCTAATTAAAAATGTAATATGATTGCCTACTGAATGACTTGTGTAAAACAGACTAGACCTTCTAGACTTAAAAAGATACTGACCATTTCTAAACCAATGGGGAGTAAACAGAAATCTACTGCCTCTCATCTCTTCCTAAATTAGGAAATGTTCCAAGACTACATTGTTATAAGGCTGGGTTATCTATTGAAAAGCCTAAACAGCTAACCCACAGTACATTGTATATGATCCAAAAATGTTAAACAGTTATCAGCTCTGAAATGCTGACCCCAACAAACAGAGGGGCTATGAGGGTTTATGATCAGAGACCAATACAGTGCCAGACTCAGAGATGAACCCAAAAAAAAAAAAAAAGCTTGCTAATTGAATGGAAAACTCCCATAACTTTAACCTTCTGCCTCTCTGTAGCAAAAGAGGAGAGAGGACACCAAGCAAGCCAATATATCAAACACTAAAACCTCTCCTTGTTTGAAATCACATCTAGTATTGTGTGTAAACTTTTCAATGATAAACAAGTTAATTCTGTAGTTTACTGAGAATCTGAGAAGGAAATGTGCTCTTCAAAAAGAGCTTCCTGGTAACTACAGTCTCAACCTGCCACATTTTATCATAGGATCAAATCCAGTAATAAAATAATGAGTCTTGGAGGGCAGGCCAGACAGCTCATCTGTGTTTACTGAAAGCATCCAGCATATCTTATGAGACACGTGGTGCCAAACAGATGGGTGGCCGCCCTCCCTCATCTGCCTGCCTGAGGCTTGCCCAACTGCTCCACAGGAAGTGACTGATGCCTGTTACTAAATATGAGGAAATCATCAGTATAGCATTCCGCTTCATCACTGTCTGCAATTGTCTGCACTTTGCAGCAGAAAAAAGATGTCCTAAAGAACCAAAGCTTCAAATTTTCATGAAACCATGATGACCATGTAGCTATTGCATCTCATGATTCCAACAGTGAAACATTCTACTTAAACTGACTTCAACAGCTTTAAATATAAATTTTGTGTCTTCCTTAATCATTCTTTTCCTATTGGCCTTATAATTTCTTTATATCCAGTCTTAAGCCACCATTAAAAATTCATCCATTTCTAATATTTATACATCGTAAGTTATGCAGTCCAAATCAAGCTTCTCTCCTTGCCTCTGCCTTGACTAGATTTTCTTCTTCCAATGAAACCAGAGAGAATACAGTCAAGATTTTTCCCAGTAAGGATATGAGACCAGGACTAATCATCCTGTGGGAAGTACCTATTTCTGACATGCATATATAATTAGACCAGGCAAAATAAACACCAACTACAAGGGGCAAGGAAAAGAAGTCACAGAAATGGGGAGGAAAAAGTACATCCTGAAGTGTATGTAGAAGAAAGGAGAAGTGGACCCCCAATTTTCCATGAAGATTTAGTAGGAATAAGGATAAGGTGAAGAGTAACATGTTAAATAGATGATACACTTTTTGAGGGCAGAGACCACATCTTATTATCTTTATATCCCCAGGGTCTGTTGTAGTACATGGCACAATGCAGTGCTTGATACATATTTATTTGTTCAACAAGTTAGAGGCATGTGTGGATCAAGTCTTTTTTAGCATCTACTGGGGGTGTCCTCTACCAAAAGTCTCCTTGGGTCTCTCTGTCTCCCCACATCACTTCCAGTTCCAAGGACCTCACACAGTGATGGCCATATCCCCCATATACACATTTAAGTCAGTTCTATCAGAGTTGAGTTTGAGCAGCCTTACCCGGAGAGCATGCTTGCTAGCACAGTATCCAATGGAAAGAGGTACAGATATGATACCCAGGATGCTATTCACAGTAACAATCTTTCCTTGCTTCCTCTCGATCATGTGAGGCAGAACACATTTTGTCAAGGACACCGTCCCTAAGTAGTTAAGCTCTATTAGCTTTCTGTAGACATCCAAGCTGGTATCCATGCACAGAGAACGCTGGGACATTCCACCATTGTTGACCAGAATGTCGATCTAGTTAAATAAAATCAGAAAAGGGGTGTTTGGGGGATGTCTTGTGGATAGATTGATGGAATTCCTATGGATGGTTGGTTATTTTGTTAACTTAAAGAATCAATGGAACAATGGTATATTTCCAGAAGTCAGCAATTAAAAAGATAAAATAAAGCCCTGAATTTACCTGTGGAATTAAATTCCCGTTTTAGGTGACTTTTTGTGAAAGTTAATAATTGTCATTAAAATAAATAAAAGCAGCCAGCTGGGCACAGTAGCCTGTAATCCCTGCACTTTGGGAGGCTGAGGAGGGTGGACCATGAGGTCAGGAGTTCAAGACCAGCCTGACCAACATGGTGAAACCCCATCTCTACTAAAAAATATAAAAATTAGCTGGGCGTGATGGTGCATGCCTGTAATCCCAGCTACTCAGGAGGCTGAGGCAGGAGAATCCCTTAAACCTGGGAGGCGGAGATTGCAGTGAACCGATATCACACCACTGCACTCCAGCCTGGGCGACAGAGCAAGACTTTGTCTCAAAATACATAAATAAATAAATAAAAGCAGCCGTGAATTTTTAGCTTCTTTTGTTCTACATGGAGGAATTTGTACTTGTTAAGACATGAAAAGTACTAATTCCATAATGACAAAGGCTCAGAGATTAAGGGGCCCAACTCATGGGCCCGATCTCACTGCATGGACCCCACTTGCCTAAAGCCCTTTGTATGACAGCACCACGGATGGGAATCTCTTCTGCAGTTACTTCAAAGCAAGACTATATCAATATAAGATGCTACTTACTCTACCAAACTCCTGGAGAACAGCTTTGGTAGCCGCTTCATGGGAACCAGTGTCGGTCAGGTCAAGGGGCAAAACAAGTATATCTTTTTCTTTTAAATTGCCATTCTCTAAATAAAGACAAAAATTTGTGTGGAAGTCATGCCATAGTTCAGTCAAGCTCCTTGCTACTCCCACTAACACCCACCCTGCAACAGGACTTGGCAACAAACTCATTTCTGGGTGGCCCTGTGAAAGTTCCTCTCGGTGGTCAGGAAGAGGACTAGTGGTTATATCAGACAAAAAGCTGGCTGGCCTCACAGGAAGTAGAATGGCAACTTGAATATGCAGTCTAACTTTACAATTTGATTTCTGATAGAAATCAAGATTATACTACAAACTAGAAAAGAGCAAATATTTTAGAGCAATTTCTTTAGAAGTACAGAGGTACCTTTGTTTTGTGATAGGCTCACAAAGATGAGTTGCTCTTCTACACACAAAACAACTACTTGTGCTTAAAATCAGTAAGAAGCTCAGAGTCCTACAGTCAAATGACATATAGAAGCTTCTCTCCAGAGGCTAAGGATTCCTGGAGGTAAACAGGGAAAAGGACACATGCCTGAAATTCCCAACCAAGAAACATGCTGCTGCTTTGTGATTGGCTTTCTGTTCATCAAAAGAACAACTGAAACTAATTTTCCTGGACTCTAACCTTGAAATACAAGTAACATCAGTAAGAAAAACAAGCAAGTATAGAAAATAGAAGAGGTAAAAAGACTTCATGGGCAAAAGAGTTAAGCGTGAAACATCAACTGTATTAAATGAAAAAGTGGGCACTACAGATCTGCAAGATAAAAGGAAACAGCCTTGTGCCAGGTAAGAAATGCTGACCTGGTTCATCTACTCCACCAGTACAGGACTTGCAAGTCACAGCAGTAGAGGAACAACTATCAAAAGAAGTGGCCCAGTGCAAAAACACAAGAGGCCTTTGAAAGCAGTATCATGAAAGAGGCCTGTTGCCCTGCTGAGCACTACTGTGGCAACTAACTCTCATTTCTGGGTGGTTAGCTCGATCAGCAAAGTTAAAGATTTAAAAGAATGACAGGTAGAGAGATGGCCCAAAAAATGGTCTGTTGGAAAATTCAAAATTATCTCAGTTTAGGTACTATTAATAAATGTTCCATGAAAAATAATAACTTTATACTTGAAGTTGCTTTCAATGTGAACATAATGGCTGGGTGCGGTGGCTCACACCTGTAATCCCAGCATTTTGGGAGGCCGAGGCAGGCAGATCACCTGAGGTCAGGAGGTCGAGACCAGCATGGCCAACATGGTGAAACCCCGTCTCCATTAAAAATACAAAAATTAGCTGGGTGTGGTGGTGCACGTCTGTGGCCCCAGCTACTCAGGAGGCTGAGGTACAAGAATCGCTTGAACCTGTGAGGCGGAAGTTGCAATGAGCCAAGATCACACCATTGTACTCCAGCCTGGGCAACAAAGTGAGACTTCATCTCAAAAAGAAAAAAGTAAACATAACTACACCAAAATTCAAACAAAAATATTAACACTGTTGCCCTTTATGTGAATATGAAAGTATTACCTCAAGTTGTATTTTTTAAAGCTAATTCCATTCCTGTTCTTTTATCCTATATAATAAGTCTTATCCCATATGATTTTAATATCTGATACTTTAATAAAATGAGTAAGGATTCTTCCTAATTTCTATGATCAGATACATGTATGTCATGGATAAGAACCCAACTGTTTTTTCTCTAAGACAAAAATCTAAGATACTTGGTCACTAAAAATCCACCAGCATTTTATATAATTGTTGGTCACTCCCTAATGCCAAGAGTCAGTGCAAAAAAAGCATAGAAAGGTGGCAGAAAAGAAGAAAAAGGCGAGGGCAGCCAATTAAGGCAAAAAGGAGAGGAACTGAGATGAAGCATGTAGAACATTTGGAGCCGGGGGGAAATCTCACTCCTCTCTAAAAGTCCCAAAACTGTATTTGAGTTTGGACTGATTTATTTCTAGGAAGCACCGCTGCTATTTCAGATCCGCTTACCTAGGCATCTTCTTTTCACCCTTTCCAGCTCATGCACTCTTCTGGCTGACAGCACAAGAGAAACTCCTAGTTTAGACAACTGGTAAGCCAGCTCCTCACCAATTCCACTCGAGGCTCCAGTCACCCACACCACCATATCAGTCAGCTCCCATTCTATGGAAGGAATGTAAATGGAAGGAAGAAAATAAGCAATGAATTACGCTCATAAATCCAAGATTAGAAAAAAAAAAGAAAGCCTTAAACAATACCACTAAATATGAAGGCATGATGTATAGAGTTAAAATTTGAAATATTCTAAGAAAGCATCTCCTTCTTAACTAAAAAAAAAAAAAAGCATTAATACAAATCATACTAGTAACAGTTATCAACACAGTATTTGTATATTACAGAACCTTCATGACTTTTCCAGACTTTACTTCAAGGTAAGCCTTATAACCTCATGGTTTCACTCTAAGGCTCTATTTAACACAAACAGGTAAGATAAATATGATAGATAAGATAAACAGGCTAAGTAAATACAAAAATCACTGTCTGGACTCACTTTTCCTTAGCCATTAAATGAGGCATTCAGATTAGATGATGGCTGAAGGTCACATCCAGTTTTTAATTCTATTATTCTAATATTTTGCAATGGAGGTTGATGAAGAATCTAAATATACCAAGTTCTGTGCTGTTGATGGAAACATCCTAGATTTTTAAAGTAGTATTTTCCCCATTTGCCAATAATGCCTGATGCCTATCAGCTCAAGGTCATTTTGTAAAAATGTTCCCCAGATGCCTGAGCTTTCATCTTAGGAGAATATAGTAATTCACCCAAGAACAAATGCATATTACAGAGAGATGAAATATTGTACTCTGCTTCTCCAATTATGTTCCTCTTAAAAGACTACAAATGTTACAGTACTAAAGCAATGACAAATGGTTTATTCTTTTCTCCAATGAAAAACTTATTAGCACTTCAGGAGATGATATTCACTGTCTCTCTGAACCCGTAAAGTCACTGTTATGCAAAGTTCCTGGGTGACTTATTTACTAAAATATATGTTATTTATCAAAAATATCAAATATCGTATCACTTAACATCACATTTCCGATTTTAGATCAGAAAAGTTAAAATCAGGAAATGATTGTACTGTTTTAAACAGCTCTAAATCCTAACTGTGATGTTAACAGTACCATCCCTGGAGACTGCCAGGGTTCAAATGCCAGCTCCATCACACACAGCACTGAAATGCTCCCAGGTGAGAACTTGGTGCCTTAATTTTCCACAACTGGAAATGTGATGAATAAGAACACATCCTTCACAGGATTGTTGAGAAATGAGTTAAAACATGGAAAGCACTCAGGGCAGTATCTAGTACATACTCAGTGTTTAATAAACGTCAATTATAATTATTGCTCAAGTTTTTTAACAGATGGACTTTACTACAGCAAAACATAGAACAGTCACTTAATAACGTATGTCTCCTAACTTCTCCAGCCAGGAAAACAGAGTTACCAATTCTAATGGCTTAACGTTTTTACATTACTTCCTATGTACTTAGCACATTGTCTACTAAAAGCCTCACCAGAACTGTATGGAAAGGTATTATTATCTCAGTTTTACAGAAAAGGTAACTGAGGTTTACAGAGATTAATTTGTCCCACTAGACCATAGATTCCATTAAGGGTAGGACCCTGTCTACCTTGTTCATTGCTGTGGCCTCAGTGCTTAGCAAAGACTGGAATATTGAAAAGGCTCCATAAATAACTACTGAATAAACACCCAAGAACCCTGGCAGAGCCGGGATATAAGCCCAGGTATATCTAGCTCCAAAGCCCACACTGTCCACTATTTCATGATATACACATTTACATATGATCAATATTTTAAAACCCAACTGTTTCTTAGACATTCAAGAAAATACCACTTGTCCTTAAGAAAAAGGTTCCATGTAAATATCTCAACTAAGGCCAGGTACGGTGGCTCACATCTGTAATCCCAGCACTTTGGGAGGCCAAGGCGGGCAGATCACTTGAGGCCAGGAGTTCGAGACCAGCCTGGCCAACATGATGGAACCTGTTCTCTATGAAAAATACAAAAATTAGCCAGGTGTGGTGGCGCATCGTTGTAACCCCAACTACTCAGGAGGCTGAGGTGCAAGAATTGCTTGAACCTGGGAGGCAGAGGTTGCAGTGAGCCAAGATTGCTCCACTGCACTCCAGCATGGGTGACAGAGTGAGACTCTGTCGGAAAAAAAAAAAAAAAAAAAAAAATCTCAACTAAGGATGGAAACATCCCAAATACTATGTCTGGGCTACAATGCTTTCCTGTCATATAACGTACTTTTGTGAAAAGGCACAATTGGGCCACCTTCCTATAGGACTTTATCAAGAACAACATAACATCTATTCAGATAATCATTTATTCATTCATTGACTACTTGTTGTTCCCAAGTTCTGCAATCATCACACTCTAGAGTGAATATCATTTGTTTTAGAAACACAGGATTTACTAACTAGTGTCGAGCTAACAAAGACCTCTTGATATTTACACACATAAGCAAATATTTAAAGCTGATGGTGTAAACTTTTAATACAATCACAATTCTGGCCTCTTCCTCCCACCCTGAAGAAACTTTTTTATTTAGCACCGTTTGTTTCCCGATTCCACAGAATCTGGTATACATAATGGCCTCCCTTTAAGAGCCCCTGAAAGTAGATTCTTAAGAGTTGAAAGGAAAGTGATAGTTCAACCCCCACTCCAGTTTGAGAATTCTCTTCTCAAGCCCTTGACCCATCTCTAATTCCCTCACAGGATGAGGAAGCTAATTATCTCTGAAGGCTTCAGCTCCTTTTTTGGGAAAGTCTAATCATTCCAGGGATCTTTTTTATACTGATATGATAAGCTTTTAAATGCTATCAACCAGTAGCAGTGGGCAGTAATCCTGCCTTGTGGTTTGACAAAGAAGAAATCAAACTTCTGGTGTCGGTGGGTCCAAGTGTCCAGCCTGAGGCATCCTCCCCATCCCTTCCTCTCCCAGCACCTCAAACATTCATCAAGGATTTTGTATCCAAGGCCCAAAAGTTTGTTACCCAAGACGACAAATATTGACATGGATGCAGTTGATGCTGAAAATCATTTGGAATTGGAGGGAAAAACACAGCTTATTAATCAAGTGTTGGAACCCCAACATACACTTCAAGATCTCCCTGTCAGAGGAGATGCGGTTACGGAAGAAAATCTCAAGCTAAAATCAGAAAACCAAGTTTCTTAGACAATACACAGAAAATTTCATGTCAGCTTCTAGTGTTTTTCAAACAACTGACACAAAAAGCAAAAGAAAATACAGAATTGAAGCCCTTCTGTTTTATGGAATTGCTGCTGACCTTTCTTTATATGTTGGACAGATTTCAAAAGTGATAGTACCTTTGTTTGTGGTTTCATTGAATATTTATGAAGCTAATGTCAGATGTAGGCAACATTCATAGCATAACAGGAAACTTCCATAAGTTTGTGTATTATGTTAGTCTATGAGAATGTGCAAATGTATTGGAAACTTAATTTAGAATAGCACATATTTATGAAACTTAAGATGAATGTTTTATCAAATTTGCTCTGATTTGTGGGTTTAGCCCTGTCTTTTATTATAGGCTTAGTAAGATATACAAGAAAATAACCATCATGCTGTGAAAAAGTGACCCCAATCAGGTACTGACTGCACAGATTCATGTACCCTATCCATCTTCTTGGGCCCCTTCTCCACTGGCTTCTTCCTTCCTATCTCCCCTCCCCCAGGGAAAAACTGGTTTCATATTTGTAAAAGCAATTTTAATACTTAATCATCTCTGAGAGTAACCTGAACTTTAATTGTCAAAACTTAACCAAATGAAGACATTTTCTCAGCTAGAGCTTCTCATTTGTGATATTTAATACTAAGATAGAATTGCTGGTTTCTCTTTAATCAATTGAAAACAAAAAGAGACTATAAAAATGAAGATTTTTCATTGAAACTGAATTGTCAATCTGGGAAGATAATTTTTTGTTGTCAAAAACTTCTTTTTGGCCAGGTACAGTGGCTCACGCCTGTAATCCCAGCACTTTGGGAGGCCGAGGCAGGAGGATCACCTGAGATCAGGAGTTCAAGCCCAGCCTGGCCAACATGGCGAAACCCCATCTCTACTAAAAATACAAAAATTAGCTGGGCGTGGTGGTGGGTGCCTGTAATCCCAGCTACTTGGGAGGCTGAGGCAGGGAGAATTGCTTGAACCTCTAGGAGGTGGGGTTTGCAGTGAGCCTGCACTCCAGCCTGGGCAACAAAGTGAGACTCTATCTCAAAAAACAAAAAACAAAAAAAAAACTTCTTTTTTTTTTTTTTTTTTACAAAATTACCTACTTTGTATCTGAAAAGATATAAATTATGGTCGTGTGTGTTTAAAATAGAAAAGCTTAAGGGAAAATAGAAATAGGATGGAAAAGTACTTGGGAAAATACTAGTAACCAACTCCAAATATTTTCACTCCAGATTTTTGTTATCTCTGGCACAGAGTAGATCTTTTGGGAAATATATGAGAGTAGATTAAGCTCGACTAACCTGTTTTTTGGCGGGGGGACGGGGGGAGGGGACAAGGCCTGGCTCTGTCACCCAAGCTGGAGTGCAGTGGCATGATCTTGGCTCCCTGCAACCTCCACGGCTCAGGCTCAAGCCAACCTCCCACCTCAGCCTCCCAAGTAGCTGGGACTACAGGCGTGTACCATCATGCCCGGCTAATTTTTTTGTGTGTATTTTTTTGTAGATATGAGGTTTTGCCATGTTGCCTAGGCTGGTCTCGAACTTGTGAGCTCTAGCGATTTGCCCACCTCAGCCTCCCAAAGTGCTGGGATTACAGGCGTGAGCTACCGCATCTGGCCAACTTTGACTAATCTTATGTACCACATCTGGAAGAGAACAGTTACAAAGAGTTTGGTCTCAAGGTATATTTCTACTCAGCAGATTAACTTTTGCAAAATTCCTTAAGAATGTATTAGTATCAGAACTGTGAAAAATGGGAGTTTCAGATGTACACTTATTGATAATCTTGCTCAGTTTTATCCTGCTTGTTCTCCCAGAATTTTTTGTAAACTCAACTCCTCTGTTTACAGAGTTTTAGTCACTTTTAACAATTTTTTAAAATTCAGTTTGTAGACTCCATTTGTTAAGGGAATCAATATCAGAAGTAATACTAAAATGTTATAATAGGAAAAGGGATCCACTAATATAGCTTATGGTTATTAGAGCTGGGCTACCTTTAATCATGGAATAATCTTATGTATAGGTGTAAGAATGACTCACTATATGAATACATACTAATCATATTACAAACATTTTGCATCCCTTTTGTGACCTAGACAGACATTTAAATTGTGTTGCAATTCTGCTTTCTTGTTTTACAAAAAGCTGTTTCAGGAAGAAAAGAAAAGAAATGAAACCTGTCTTCTAAATGACAATCCCTCACAGCTGTTAGGGAAGACAGCCATTATGTCTTCCCTAAGTCCTTTCATCTCTTACCTTCTCTAAGGCTAAATAAACCTATCCAATTTCTGCCACCTTCCCTCACATGACATGGTATCAGGTTTCCTCACTCTTCTGCTCACACCCACCTGCACCAATTCTAGTTGGTTAATGTTCCTCTTTATTAAAGGGAGCTGGCTAGGGCAGGACACAGGATTCGGTAGGGTCTGGACAGTGCAGAGCAGGATGAGATGTCAAAAATCACTTCCCTTGTCCCCCAGAAGGTAGGGTCTATGAGGGCCTGGACTGTGGCTGATTCAGTCACTGCAGTGTCCCCAGTGCCCCAGCACAGAGGCCGGCACATACAAGCAGCTAGTCAGGAGACATCTGTTGTTTGCAGTTGTTGCTTCAGACACTGAGGTCTACAAATGCAACCCAAGGTTGCCTGATCTTTTCTGGCAGCCACTTCACAGTTGACTCCTATTGAGGTTACTGTTAACAAAAACCTGAGTTTTGCTCACATGTGCTGCTGTTGAAATTTTTCCTCCTCTAGACTTGTGCCATGGATTTTTCTGGACCATTTTAATGTCTAAAATTAGTCACCCTTAAATTTCACCATATGTGGCTGGGCTTGGCAGTTCACATCTGTTATCCTAGCACTTTGAGAGGCCAAGGTGGAAGGATCACTTGAGGCCAGGAGTTCAAGACCAGCCTGGAACATAGTGAGAGCCTGTTTCTACAAAAAGTTTAAAAATATCCAGGTGTGGTGGTTTGCACCTGTAGTCCTAGCTACTGGGGAGGCTGAGGTGGGAGGATTGCCTGAGCCCAGGAGTTCGAGGCTGCAGTGAGCTATGATCATGCCACTGCACTCCAGGCTGGGTGACAAAGCAAGACCTTGTCTCTCTATTAAAAAAAAAAAAAAATCACCATGTGAGATATATGCTTGGAAATGCACAGAATTTCTCTAGACGGATACAGAGGAGGCAGGAAATGGTGGCTGCCTCGAGAGAAGCACACTAGGTAGCTAGGGCACAAGGGTCAGAGAAAGCTCTTTACTTTTTACTATATATCTTTTTGTATTTTTACTTTTGTATTATGTGAGTGTGCTATTTTTTTAAGTGACAAAAAATAATAAACCTACAGAGAAGTCAAGAAGGATTTTTTTTTCTTTTTTCATCTTGATAGAGTCTGCCCATCTCTCCAGTCTGAGCTGTTTTGGGAATCTGAGTCTATTTCAATTTTCCTTTAATCTTTTCTTCTTTCTCACTCCCTACCTCCACCAGGAGTCTTTTTAGACTTTTTTTTCCCCTAAAACTCTCCTGTGAAATGTTAATTCCACAGATATACTGTATATCATTTATGTACTGTACATATATCTGTGCTTTATACATAAAAGGAGTTCTATAAAGTTTACTCCTGCCAGGCGCAGTGGCTAATGCCTGTAATCCCAACACTTTGGGAGGCAGAGCGGGGTGGATCACCTGAGGTCAGGGGTTTGAGACTAGCCTGGCCAACATGGCGAAACCCCAGGTCTACTAAAAATACAAAACTTACCCATGCGTGGTGGCACGCACCTGTAATCCCAGCTACTAGGGAGGCTGAAGCAGGAGAATCACTTGAACCCAGGAGATAGAGGTTGCAGTGAGCCAAGATCATACCACTGCACTCCAGCCTGGCCAACAGAGCGAGACTCTGTCTCAAAAAAAAAAAGAAAAAGAAAAAAAGCTTACTCCTTAGTTAATAAGCATATGACTAAATAAGCATATGACTAAATTTTAAAATTAAGTTAAATGTTAAATTAAAATTTAAAAGTTATTAACTTCTAACTTTATAACTGTATTTGCTGAAAAACATTTTTATGGTTTTTGAGACAGTGTCTCACTATGCTGCCCAGGCTGGTCTTGAACTCCTGGGCTCAAATGACCCTCCTACCTTAGCCTCCAGAGTAGTTGGGATTGCAGGTACATGCCACCACGCCAGATTTTTGCTGAATAACTTTTATGTAACTTACTTAGATAAATAGCAATTTATCAAACTACATGTGCAAATTTGCAAATTATATAACTACATAATGATAACAATGTAATTAAATTTAAAATCCTTCAAACTGTTCTTTTCCGACAAAACACAACTGAAAATATTAAATGAATTTCTTAAAATTTTCAATGATCTTAACTTTTAACTTTTCCTTAATATGAGAAAATAACTTTTAACTTAGTAGCTTAGAGATATTCATTCAGATGTTGTCAATAATTTTGCTTTTTAGCACTTGACATAATTTGATGGGTTGAATATTTTTTGTAGGATTAAATAATAAAATATAATCTATTTTCGTTTAATTCTCCAAGTCCAAGTGAACACAAAAGCACTAAAGATCAAACACAAACAACGTCTGCAAGGCAGCCAATGGCAGCCAATAGGCACACATATTCCCCCGCTGAGGTGGAACAATCGATCAAGAGAAAGCCCTTGGTTAATGAAGTTGTGCAGTATTTGGGATTCCTGCTTTAAAAGGAGAAAGCCCAATCACTTGCCATAGTTTTGTAGCACTGCTGTGGCGTCCATGTTGTGTATTTTTCGTGAACTCAATGTCAGTGCTGCACATGCTATACCCAAGAAAACCCAACCAGAAAAATGAAATACTAAGGAATAATATTTTCTCGGGTGGGGTTAAGCTTTGGAGGGGCACAAACCACTGTATTACCAGATTTTTTTTTTTTTTTTTTTTTGTCCACAGGAACCAATTCTCACCTTGGGATCAATATCACCCCCCTCAACGCCCAACCCATAACGCCCCCCCCAAACATAGTCTATCTTTCGAGCTACTATCTCTTCCAAGCAAACTTTGTAACATGCTTTGAGTATTTTTATACCAGAAACTTGGTCCAGGGAAACCCCATTTCCCCAAGTCCTTAAGGATCCAAAGCCTAGCTTTCGGTAGGTCATTTAATTTCTCTGAACATCAGTTTCCCTATCTGGAAAATAAGATTAATAATGCCTACCTTGTAAGAGTTGTTGTAAAAGTTAAATGTTATGTGTGTAAAGCGCTGAGCCAACATACAGCAAATGTACACGATGTCAAATATTAAGCAAGACACAGATAAAGTGAGATAGGCAGTATGCCAATAATGATCTCGCTCCAGCAAACTGCCATTTTTAGTTCTTTCTAGTGTTTGACTAGAATGAGTAAGTAGGTGAAGGACTTCGGATTATCTCAGATTTTATTTCAAAACTGCAGGAGTGGGAAGTGGAGGACAGACTACTTCAGGTAGTAGAACGACCGGGCTTCCGGTACTTACAAAGGAGTTTCCCTTACAAACGCAGGGGGACGCTCACTGTTTCTCAAAGTATCGTCCTCTGAGACAACACCAGAATCCCTTGAGTCCTGCGTAAGATGTCAGAGTCCTCAGGAGCACCGCCGACTCCAGTGCTCTCTTAACAGTTTGGCACTCCCTGGAGAGGTTTCCTAGCCTGAATGGCAAGTCCATGCCATCTTCCGACCAGTACAGAAGACAAAGGGGCTTTTTAGCCCTCGCCTCTTCCTCCCCAACCCGCAGCCCCTGCGTAAGGGGCAGCCGGGCCTTCGGGAAGCTCCACGCAACCCACAAAGGACCCGGGATCACTGCAGAACCCCCGGAGACCCGGACACGCCTCGGCAGCTCCGAGCCCGGCCTCCCACTCGGGAGAGGCTTTGGCCGGTCCTCACCTGGGCGTCGTCCCTGCCACTCGGCCCATAGTAGCGTCAGGTCGCCGTCAGCCCTCAGGAAGCGCAGCAGCTGCACCAAGAGCAGGAGCAGCGCGCACAGCACCAGCAGCCACAGCAGCAGCTCCCAGTTCATTGCGGCCGCGCACGCCCAGCTCGGGGGGAAGAAGACGGCCCGCACCAGAGTCGCGTCGCTGCCCTGCGGGATCGCAGCGCCACCCCTTCGGCCAGCCCAGAGCCGCACTGCCCCGGCTCCGCCCAGGGAGCAGGCCGGGAGGAGGAGCGGCTCGGGCGCGCCGGGCTCAGCACTCGCGGCCCCACTCGCGGTCCTTGGGCGGCCCGCGCCCTCATGCGGCACACCCGGCGGGGCCGGCAGATTGCTTGAATTCAAGTGTCCGAGACCAGCCTGGGCAACATGAGGAAACCCTGTGTCTACCAAAAATAAATAAATAAAATTCCAGTATTTTTAAAGAAGCTGATTCAAACATAAGCTACATATTATACTACGTTATTTCCTCTCTGTACAGGGACACTATCAACGGCCAGGAGACAGATAGAATCATTCTTGCTTGGCCCCTCTTCTCCATTCCTATTCAGAAAGAACATCCCCTTTTCAAGCTTCAGTATCTTTTCATGAGGTCGAGAAAGTGCTGAAGAAAGACTGTGGCTATCACTCAAGACCCCACAAGCCAAGGCAATGGTCCCTCCATGGGGACAAGGTCCTTTTACAATTAGAGAAAAAAAGACTGAAGCCATGTGCTGTGTTGGCACCTTACAACCTGATTCTGACCACACACAAATTTACTCTGGTGTCTGTTTGGCAACCAAAGCCTAGGTTGGTACCAAATCCTCCCCTTACCCAAGCCATTATTCACATCCTAATGTAAACAGCAAATAAAAACAGAGAATGTAATGAAAACACCAAGGTCTTGCCTACTCTAATACACAAAAGAGTAAAATACTGTTTTTGATTAATTTCCGTTTGAAATGACCTTCAAAACATTTAATTGCTTCCCACTAAATACCTACATGTATTTGAGGCATCAATAGTAGCATCTTTCTTGTTTTCAAGCATTTGAAAGCAAGAGGGTTTTCCATTCACAAGCCTCAGAGGGACCCAGTTAGAGTGCATAGAAACTAGGCCATGTATGAGAACGACCTGTGGCCAAATGGAGAAAGTTCTGGGCGTTGATGCAGTAGAACTTTCATCCTCTTCATTTCCTAGAGTACTTTGTGTGCTCTGATGTCAAAGGCTCTTCCTTGGCTGAAACTAAATATGACTTTAAAACAGTCATGGAAATAAAAGAAGCAGTGACTTCCCTCCCCAGTGTTGTTTTCTTTTTCTAGTCTTGCCTGCCAAACTTTTGTTTTTCTTTAAATGTTTTGAAGAATGTTACTTGCAGTAATCAAATTTCCTTAAATAGCTCTTCCTTCTCTTTTTAAATCCTATTATAAACCCCCTACCTGCCTCCCCACCCTCATCCTTCTCTAAAAAGCTTTTTGGGGTTATCTGGACTCAGAGTCATCTTTCCCTAATCTCACCTCTTTTCACAATTACTTCTGAACTATATCTGAAATTGTTTTTTAATTATTTTCAGGGTTAATATAGTATTGTTCCAATGGAACTTTAGAATCCTTGAAATAAAGTAGCAAATCTGATGCTTCTTTTGAAGAGTCTGGAATACATAGCTTAGTGTTGACATGAGAAGCAATAAGCCCACGTTGATTGAATTCTCCTTTCCTTGAAATTTAAACCTCCTTGATAGAGAGTAGAAGGATAGTTACCAGAGGCTGAGAAGAGTAGTGGGAGGGTTGGGGGGGACGTGGAGATGGTTAACGGATACAAAAAATAGAAAGAATGAATAAGACCTAGTATTTGATAGTGCAATGGGGTGCCTATAGTCAATAATAATTTAGTTGTATGTTTTAAAACAACCAGAAGAGTATAATTGGATTGTTTGTAACATAAAGGATAAATGCTTGAGGGGGTGGATACCCCATTTACCATGATGTGATTATTACACATTGTATGCCTGTATCAAAGTATCTCATGTACTCCATAAATATATACACCTACTGTGTACCCACAAAAATTAAAAATTAAAATTCAATTTTTTAAAACCTCCTTGAAGTTCGGAAGTTAATGTTAAAATGAGAGTTGCTAGCATTTAATAAATCAATCTTCTCTAAGTATTATTAAAATGCTTTGAATAAAGTCCGAAAGTCTTTTCTATAACTGGTAACCTTCATTTTTAATTCCAGATGTAATAGAATGGTACCCTGCCTTCCCTCCTTTTAGTAATGGTCACTTTTGATGGTCTGGGGTCAGGCCCATTCATGGCAGCTAAGGCCCATTCATGGCAGCTAAGGCCCATTCAGGTCAGCTAAGATGAAGGCAGTTGTGCGTAAGCAATTGCCATCTTCCATAACAAAAGCATTATACAAAAATAACTTTAAAAATCCAGATCCTCCAAGATCGGCAGTCCCTAGGCGGGGGAAAAAAAGAGTGAGTGGAAACTGTGAGTGGAAACAGGGACTGAGGAATCTAGGGAGGGAATATTCTTCCTCAAGAACAATAAGGGGTTTGTGGTTTTTGATTGAGGATGTTTTCACATCCCTTAGATGCTTTTGGAAATGTGTTGGATGAACAGTGGCCATAGTGCCAGCTAGCCAGGGTGTCATCAGAGTGCTAACGATCTGGGCACTATGTAAAGACATACCCAACAAAGAATTGCCCTGCCCCAAAAGCTCACAGCACCCTTACTCAGAAATCCTGCAACCTGGCCACGGTGGAGAGGAGCTCTGCAATCTATTAGCAGCCTCCCTCCACAAGCTCTGGCTTACACCTGCCTGGCTGTACCCCAGCTACAAGCGTTCAGGTCATGGTCTAGTTTTCTGATATTCTTCAGGCAGACAAGGTCTTACCTAGAGTCTTATTTATAAGAAAATATAACTTACTTTCTTACCTTTAGTAATCTCATGGGATCCCTCAATAGGAATATCTCACTGCACTGTTCACCACATGCAGTTCCCCATATCAGTGCATTGATATTTTGTTTAGATTAGCCAATTTCCACAGTATCTTGGGTCTCTTAAACATAAGCAGTTTATAGCTCTCATTCTCTCTCCCTTAAATGCTCTGTTTCAAACTTCCCTTTATATATCTTGTCCATGATTTAGTAGTGGTGGTTGTTATTCTAATCTAGAACTTCAAACACTCATGCACACATGAGTACATGCAAAGCTGGTGAAATTTGAACGAGGTCTGTGGATTTTGCCAATACCAATTCCCTGGTTCTGTTATTGTTCTAAAATTATGTAAAATTTACTAGTGGGGAGAACGGGGTACAGAGTACACGTCTGTTCCATCTTTGCAACTTCCTGTGAATCTATAATCATTTTAAAGTAAAAAGTTAAAAAAATTAGGTTAAATTTCTTAAAATATGCAAATATTTTCTTAAAATTCTAAAACTGATCAATGCTTTTTCCTCTCCTTCTCTTTTTTCTCCCCTCTCCAGCCAGGACCAGCCTTGGAGATAAGCAGAGTGAACAGAAATTTATGGTCTCAGATTTAAGAAAAACAAAATTCTTTCTTGCTTCTTAAATCATACTCCATCCCATTGGCTTGCAAACATGCTGACACTCCTCATAATTTCACTCTTCATAAACCAAAGCATAAGGTCAGAGGAGAACTTGACATATTAGAACACTTAGGCATTGAAAGTGGTTAGTCTAACTAACCCATTGAAGTTTTGGAGAACCTGGGACTCAAATTTTGGAAGATGTGACAGATGATATGTTAACATACATTGCACCGAGGCTGAAGTGGGAGGATTGCTTGAGACTGCCTGGAAGGCAGAAGTTGCAGTGAGCCGAGACTGATGGTGTCACTGCACTCCAGCCTGGGCAACAGAGCAAGACCCTGTCTTAAAAAAACAAAACAAACAAACAAAAGAAACCAAAAAAAAAAAAAAAAAAAAAAAAAAAACCATTGCACCAAGTAACAGTCAACTTTTCAGCAGAGGTGAGTAGAGTTAATCAGTTAAGGCTTTCTGGAATACCAGCCCACCTCAAGGCCTTGTACATACTGTTCTCTCCACATAGAGGGATGGCCAGAAATCCCCCAGATGGATCCAACAATGCTCACCTCCTGTGTGCAAACCACCATGTATTTCCCTCCCAGGTTGTATCAGGGTTGATCACTGTAACCAGCAGAATGCTGCAGAAATGATGAGTGTGTGACTCCCAAGGATAGGTCACAGAAGCTATTGCAGCTTCTACCTCTTGCTCTCTCTTGTTTATACCTTTACTAAAGTATAATTCGAGTACAAGAAACTGCACATATTTAAGGTATACAACTTGATGAGTTTGTCAAATATATACACCTGTGAAACCATCACCACAATCAAGGTAAACATTTCAATCACCCCCAAAAGGGGTGACCCTTTGAAATCCACCCATCCTCCACCCCTTCCCTAGGCAGCCACTGATCTATTCTCTGTCACTGTATGGAAACACCTTACCTGTTTCCTCTGTGGGATGTAAAGTCCCATTTCTGGATCCTTTCAGGTCCCTGTCTAATGTCTATTCTCTTTGCCTTGCCCTTACTTTTGTTCAGATCAACTTTAGCCTTAGCAGGGAATTTGGTTTTGTAATTCCGAACCCTAAGCAGTCTTGGATTGCTGTCTGCTGAGATGGGGCATGAGAGCAGTGAGGAGCGTGATCTCTTTTAACAAAGCCGTATGCTGTTCCCAGCTATCTAAGACCAAGGCTTATCTCTTTCTAGTAGGATCTTGACAGGAGCCACAAGAAGTAACCAAGACAACAAGAGTTAACCTGTCCATATGCTTTCTAATTGCCAGGCCTATTCTAAGTGCTTTATATATATTAAATCCCTTAATCTTCACAATAATCCAGTTAATTAGGTACTATTTTAATTCCCATTTCCCTGATGAGGAAGCTTAATTGTGATTAAGTAACTTGCCCTAGGTCACACAGCTAGGAGACAGGGTCTTTGAACCTAGGTAGTCTAATTTCAGTCTTTGCTCTTGAACCACCATATAATACTGCCTCTCACACCAGAGCAGCCTAATTTTGTTCTGCTGGATTCCCTGAAGCTTCTACCTTAGTATGTACAGGTCTGAATCCCAAAGAAACTACAATAACATCTTAATGAGCTGCTTCATTACCATATCATAAAGACTGCCCACTTCCCACCCAGGGATGGAGGGAGATGGAGAGAGCCTCACTGCCTCCTACTCCACCTTGACACAGTAGTTCACATTTTAGGATATTTCATTTCTAGCACTCTACTTCTGGGTACCAATGTCTCAATCAGTCGGTACTCTCAATCGCAAATGGCAGAGACCCACTAAAATTAGCTTACGAGAAATGTTAAGGAATGTATTTGTGCCCCCATAGGTAAATCCCCTACCCTAAGGATGTGGCCTGCCTCTGCAACCAACCTGAGGTCCAGGTGAAAACCACTAACCTGTGGGCCAGGAGCCCAAGCACAGCACTGAGGCCTGTTACTTGGAGACAGAAGTGCTCAGGCAGAGTCCAGGGTCATTACCTTCATTTGGTAAGAATTTTGATGTTGATTTCTAGTGTCTAGAGACCTCAATATCCAAAATAAACATTAATATATTAATTTTCTAGGGCCGCCATAACAAAATATCACAGACTGGATGGCTTAAACAACAGAAATTTATTTTCTCACAGTGCTGGAGTCTAGAAGTTCAAGGTCAAGGTGCTGACAGGGCTGGTTTCCTCTGAGGTCCCCCTCCTTGACTTGAAGACCACCCCCTCTCCTTGTCTCATACCTCAGAAAAAGAAAGAGAATTCAAAAGTTACAGAAAGGCAAAAATAAGATCAATAGTCAGACAGCCCACTGCAGCACCTCCAGCCTGGTAGTTAAAAATCAACCCCTGACCTAACTGCTTGTATTATCCATAGATTCCAGGCATTGTGTGAAGAAGCATTGTGAAATTTTCTGTTCTGTTCTGTTCTGCTCTGTCTTGATTACCGGTGCATGCAGCCCAAGTCCCATACCCCATGCTTGCTCAATCGATCACAACCCTTTCACGTAGACCACCTTAGAGTTGTAAGCCCTTAAAGGGGGCAGGAATTTCTCTCCCAGGGAGCTCGGCTTTTGAGATGCAAGTCTGCAGAAGCTCCCAGCTGAATAAAGCTCCTTCCTTCTTTAACCCGGTATCTAAGGAGTTTTGTCTGTGGCTCGTCCTGCTATAGCAGATGGTCGTCTTCTTCCTGTCTTCACATAGTCTTTTCTCTGTGTGCATCTGTGTCCTAATCTCCTCTTCTTATAAGGACATCATCAATCATATTGGATCAGGGCCCACTGACATGACCTCGTTTTACCTTAACCACCTCTTTAACAAGCTCATCCCCAAATACAGTCTCATTCTGAGGTACTAGGAGTTAAAACTTCAACATATTAATTTCAGGAGAACACAATTCAGACCATCACAATAAACAAAAAATAAAGCTGAATTTATTGCTTAGGTATATAAGGGAGAGCTATGCTGACCAGGCCCAGTCTCTCTAAGCAGATCAGGGAACTGATCTTAATACAGCTCTGCAGAAGCATGGAGTTTGGTGACTGGCAGAGTAGGTTGATGTCAGCTGAAGAACTGTAGTTACTTGAGTGAGACTTTAGTAGATTGGCACTCAGTGGTGTGTTCATTGAAGCAGTCCATTCCCAGGTGGTTTGCTTTCACAAGCAAGGGGTTTTCGCTGCTGGGTTGGCTTCCAGAATCATGCTTGCAGAGGTGAGTTGTTGACGGATTAAGTAGATTTAAAATCATTTCTGGTGGTTGATCTTGTATCCTGGCTGTAAATTTTTCCTAGGAGTGTGGGAACTTTTTAAAGTTTTCACTAGTGTCAAAATAATACTTAAGTTGGGCGTGGTGGCTCACACCTCTAATCCCAGCACTTTGGGAAGCAGAGGTGGGAGGATTGCTTGAGCTCATAAGTTTGAGACCAGCCTGGACAACGTAGCAAGATCTCATTTTTATAAAAAAATCAAAAAAATTAGCCAGGCATGGTAGCACACACCTGTAGTCCCAGCTACTCTGGAGGCTGAGGCAGGAGGATCACATGAGCCCAGGAGGCTGTGGTGAGCCATGATTGTGCCACTGCACTCCAGCCTGGGAAACAGAGCAAGAGCCTGTCTCAAAAAATAATACTTCAGAAAGAGTTAGTTATTGCAAGTAGATAGCTTACTTATATACATGAAAGAGAAGATTCAAGGAACAAAGGCAAAGCATTATTTAAAAGGGTGAAGAGAGAGACAAAAGTACAAGCAGCCAGGGAACAATACGTCTTGTTTGCACAATTTGTGGATAAATTCATTACCTGGCATGTAGCAAAGAGGACGCCCTGGACAGTTGCCCTTGGGCAGGTGGATTGAGGGAATAAAAAAAAAAAAAGTTTGTTTTTTTTTAACGGAGTTTTGCTGAAAAGCACACATGACAGGCTGTGCCCTCTGTGTAATGTCTCCCCCTGTGTCTCCAGGAAACACCCCCTTAGCTAGGCCAGGTCTGCACCCTTTCCCTCATCAGGATTCCTCACCAATCACAGGGTTCCCAGGAAACAGAGTGGACTGCCTGGTAAGGGAGTTGTGTTGTCAGAGAACTTTGGGCCTAAATGGCACAATCTCTGAGGCAGTTCTCATACCCCTCACTGGCTCCAATAACAGTGCAGGGAAGGGAAGACAAACCCTTACCTTTGTTCCTTCTGGTGTGCAGAGCTTACCATAACCAGACTGGCAATTTTCTCTCAAGGAGTGAGGCCTTCCTGTCCCTGCAGCGCAGGACATGACTATGCCATGGATCAGTGGGAGGTCTCATTGTAGTTGTCTTTCCCTCTAACATTGGATATTGTGTGTGTTGGAGGTTTTTACATGTATTATTTAATATATTTAAATATATTTGGACCACACCTGCACCAAAGGAATATACATCAACAGGTACCAGACTTGAAGGTGAATGCCAGTGACTTTGGGTTGTCTTTCTTTGGGAAGCAATGCATGGATTATATACAGAAGAGTTGCATTTTGTCATTAAGGGGCACTTTAAAAAATAATAAGGGAAGAAAAGTGTGTAAGCACTAGTCAGCCAGTGGCTGCATATGTGACCAACACCTGGCCAAAGAATGCTCATTCCCCCAGTCTAACTGATGAGTTCTGGGATGGACACATGAGCCCAGCCAACCACTCAGCATCCCTCCAAGGACTCACTGGCTAGTGCTGTTGGGGGAGATTTTCTGTTGCTTTGGGAAAATGTGACCAAACTCACTGACCAGGTGGAAGAGGCACATTTGAACTATGATAGAATGAGAACAACATGCAAAGAAAAGCAGAAACAGACATGAAAGATGAATGAGGAGAGCTTGGTCACTGTTAAATCCCTAGTTTTTGAGGCTTCTCCCCTAGTTCTATGACCCATTCTGTATTCTTCCCATTGATATTTGTGTCAACAACTTCTTTCCTTTTTTTAACTCAACTAGTTTTTTTTCAACTAGTTTAAATTGAATTTCTGTCACTTGCAACCAAGAGTCCTACACAATATAGTGCTTTTTACTTTTATTTTATAAAGATCATCATAATTATGACTTTATTATAATTTTGACCTTAATTATAATTGCAATTTTACTCATGTTATTTTCTCTCCTCCATCATAAATTTTTTCCTCTGTAAATTTGCATCAGCATAAAACATGCACAATATGTTCCATCTTAAAGAAAAAACATTTCTTTGATCCCCCACATTCTTCTCCAGTTATTGTTTCATTTTTCTCTGCACCCCTTTAAATCAAAATTCAATAGTTATCTATGTGCAGTGTTTCCACTTCATCATCTTCATTCTCTCTTCTACTTATGCCGGTCAGGCTTTTGTCCCTACTATTCCACTGAAACCACTCTTCTTATTGTCACCAGTGATCCCCATCTTGATATATTAAATGATCAGTGGTCAGTCTTCATCTTACTCAACCTCTCAACAGCATTCGACACAGCTGGTCATTTCCTTATTTTTCAAACCCTCTTTTTTTTTACTTGGTTTCCAGTGATTTCCCTCTTACTGATATAGAAGTTAAAAAGAAATTATTTAGGCAGATAGGGTAAGGTTTTCCTTTTAATGAAAAGCAGTCCCCAAATCATTTTCTTTTCTAACGCAGAGTAGCCTGTAAAATCAAGCTGCAGACAGAGACAAGAAAGCTGGAAGCCTGCATGGGTGAATGCCAGCAGTTGGGTCAATAGGAAAAGGCGACTTGGGACTAGGCATGATCAGAATGACGGCCCCATCTTCCCTTCTTTTTGACAAACCACGTGTACAGTAAGGAGGAGAAAACATGACAATGGCCAGGTGAAGACCCCATTTGCATAGTAAGATTAGGGTGGGGCAGCCAGCTTCCCCACATATTATGTAAATGTCACATCTGGTCCAACCAATCTGTGGGCCCTATGTAAATCAGACACCGCCTCCTCAAGCCTGTCTATAAAATCTGGTGCACTCAGCTGTGGACTGGAAGTCTGATTTGGGTGCCCCTCTCTCTCGCAAGAGGCAGAGCTGTTCTTTCTCTTTCTTTTGCCTTTTAAACCTCCGCTCCTAAACTGACTTCTTGTGTTGGTGTCCTTGATTTCCTTGGCGTGAGACAACGAGCCCCAGGTGTGTACCCCAGACAGTGGTGCTACTTCATTAGCTCATAGGTGCTGGTTCCTTCTCAGTCTCCATTGCTGGGTTCTCCTTTTCCTTTTCCTAGCCTTTGAATTTGGAGTACCCCAGGACAGTCTTCGACCTTCCTTTTCTCCTCCATCTATTCATATATGCTGGTGTTCTCTGTACTCTCATGAGTTGCAAAAGTGTGTTTCTGGCACTGACCTCTCCTGTCAGGTCCAAACTCACATCCTCACTAGTTGCCTAATCCTCATCTCAATCTTAAAATATCTAAAACAGAACTCATGATTCCTACCTCTAAACTGTTCGTACCTGCAGTGTTCTCCCATCTTAGTAAATGATACTCTATTTGTGCAGCCCCCAAACCTCAGAATCATCCCTAATAGGATGTTGAGTGGAAATTTTCTTGTGGCCTCAGAATTGGCCACTAGAATCCAGCTCTGAGAAAAAAGATACATCTTGCACAATCCATATTCTAAAAAGAGCCAGTCATCTCCTTGGGCTTATTCATAGGAAAAGAACCTGTCATGCCACTCCTCAACATGACCCCAATGATTCCCTCTCCCATTTTTAACCTGTCCTGGAAGGAGATGTCAGAGAGAGTTGTGGGAAATGAGGCAGTGAGTCAACAGCCTCAGGGAAGGCCCATGGCTTTTTCCTCCTTCCTCATGCAAAGGGAAAGTGAGTGCTCCCTCCTCTAAGACAAGCGCAGGGAAGCTCACAGGAATTGGGACACCTGAAAGAAGGGAGACTGGCGAGAAGGGAGACAGCTGTTAGCTTTTGCTCAGGCAGCAGACTTAATTAAGCAGGGAAAAGAGAAGTGAGAAGTGAGATGGCAAAGCAGACAGAGGGACCACAGTGGGGCTGCCTATAAGACCATTACTGGGTGTGGCAAGGACTCTAGAATTTCCTGAGGCCCAAGTGATGGGAGGTAACAAGACTTATGTCACCACATCAGAGGACTGGCAGCATGTCAAAGGGAACCCAACAGTAAGACCATGGGGATGGAGCTGAGAGATTAGAAGAGATTGGATTGGAATCCGATCTCCCCTGGCAGAAAACTAGGCAGAGGGAAGTCTCCTTGGAATTGTTCTGAGAGCCTCCATATGACCACTGAAAAGACCCAAGAACTGGGATGTCCGCTGCACAGAAGGCATCAACAAAGTGGAGAGGTTTGCAATTGCACAACCACTTAAATGAAAGTGAAGGCCGGGTGCGGCGGTTCACGCTTGCAATCCCAGCACTTTGGGAAGCCAAGGTGGGAGGATTGCTTGAGCCCAGGAGTTTGAGACCAGCCTGGGCAACATGGCAAGTCCCCGTCTCTACAAAAAAAATTAAAAATGAGCCCAGCGAGGTGGTGTGTGCCTGTAGTTCCAGACACTGGGGAGGCATGAGGTTGGCTTCAGCCCAGGAGATAGAGGCTGCAGGGAATTATGATCATGCCACTGCACTCCAGCCTGGGTGACAAAGTGAGACTTTGTCTCAAAAAGAAAAAAAAAAGTGACTTGTCCCTTTTCATCTCCCCTCTGCCATTCCAAAATTGGCCTGCATGTGTAGCAATGGGAGATGGGGAGTGAGCATGTGTGGACAGGGGGTAGAGAAGAGATGAACATGAAATTAAAATTGAGATAAAGTTTTAAACTGGAATAGGCTAGATCAGGCATTATAATGCTTGAACATGATCAGATAACTGTGCCACCTGTCAGAAATACTGTAAAGGGACAAGAAAGGAAGATTTAATAGTAATTAGAATAAAATGAAACTGTTTCAAATGTATACCCCTGTAGATTGAAATAGTCAAATAAGCCAGTTACTATTTCTAGCTCTAAATGTGCTTCTCTTCTAGTTGACTACATCCCAAATCCTGCCATTTCTTACCCCATTCATTCTTATTATCCTGGTCCAAGCTAACACCACCTCTCCGCTTAATCACTGCCATGGCCTCCTCACTGGGCCCACGACTGTCACTCTCCGCTCCTCCTCCCCCATGTCTATTTTCTACTCAATAGCTAGAGTTCTCTTTTAAAAGCCTAAAAGTCAGTTACCTACTCAAAATATTTGGAATGAAACCTAAACTTTCACTGAACATAGTGGTCCACACTATGTAATCCCAACACTTTGGGAGGCCAAGGTGGGAGTATCACTTGAACCCAGGAGTTAGAGACCAGCCTGGGCAACATGGTGAGACACTGTCTCTACAAAACAGTAAAAAATTAGGCAGGTGTGATGACATGCAACT
Organism: Homo sapiens; assembly: GCF_000001405.40. Taxonomy (NCBI): domain Eukaryota; kingdom Metazoa; phylum Chordata; class Mammalia; order Primates; family Hominidae; genus Homo; species Homo sapiens. Next base: position 60,177,107 of record NC_000014.9, read on the forward strand.
GTAGTCCCAGCTACTCAGAAGGCTGAGGTGGGAGGATCACTTGAGCCCAGGAGATCAAGGTTGCAGTGAGCCTTGATGGGGCCACTGCACTCCAGCCTGAGTGACAGAGCAACATCCTGTCCCCAACAAACAAATAAAACCCCTGAACTTTGCCAAAGGGAGCAGCCGTTGGTGTGTTGTATTTCTTTAGAGTATCAGTAACCTATTATATTAATCAGCAGTGATGAGTAATTAAAGAGAAATCTAATTCAAATAGGAAAAGAAAAATATTGTTGCCTTTTGTTGATTAGGTACAGAAAATTTGGTACCATATTGTAAAAGTACCAATTTCCTTATCTCACCCAAGTTGATACAAAACCATCATTACCACTGTCTGCCATCTCACAGAATCACACAAACTACTGGAGAATTTTCATCTTCCTTTTCACTCCCTACCAAAGCATTCATTTATTCATTTAAAAACAATTGCACTCACTATATAACAGCTTATGAGCTGTAAATACAACAATGGATAGAACAGACAAAAATTCCTTCCCTCATGGAACTTACATTCTGGTGAATGGGCCTTTTACTTTAATGATTAGATTAAAATAATGCTGTGAAGTATGCATGTGGGGGGGGGGGAGGTATCAAAATGCTATAACTCATTTATTCATTTAGTTATCCATTAGGCATTAAATTAGGAAGTGCATGTTACATTCTGAAACTTACCTTTTCAGAAGTCAGTTGCCAGTATAATGAAACACTTGCTTTGAAATGATGAAAATTAGATTTCAAATAAAAAACTTTTTCATTTTTATAAATTAACATTAATAGATTTTTTTAAAATTAAAAATAGCAAAAGTTTATTGCAATCCATGTAAATAAATGATGCAGGAAGGCATAAGGAAAAGTAGATGACCTTCCCTGTGTGAACTCTCACCTACCACAGTAGGCTAACCATAGCTCAGAGCCTGGGATGAGCCTTCCTACAACATTCCCTTTCTCATATAAACATTCCCAAATATTATAATTAATTTTATGTAATTTCCATTTTCATTTCATTTAAAAATGATCAAATATCAGCAATATCCCTATGGTTTTTTGCTTGAACTTATAAAAACAGTATTGTATTATACACTTCACACTGAGACTTGCTTTTCCAGTTTACCAATATCATGAACATCCCTCCAGATAGATTTAGTAGATTTGACACTTTCTTTTTAATCACTGTCTACTATTCCATTGAATAGATATACCACAATTATTCAATCATATCCATTACTGATGGGCATTAAAACTGTTTCCTTTTTGTATTAAATAACTACAACCAATGGTTTATATCCATGTGTATCTGTGTTCCTTATATACTGATGCTGTTATTTCTATGAGATGAATTCCTAAGAGTAAAATTGCCGAATTAAGAGTATATTTAGGTTTGTTTAGATATGCAAATACTTACCATTGTGTTTTAATTGCCTACAGTATTCAGTACAGTAACATGCTATACAGGTTTGTAGCCTAGGGTATAGTATCTATCCTAGGTGTGTAGTAAGCTATACCATCTAGGTTTGTTTAAGTACACTCTACGATGTTGATATAATGACAGAATCGCCTAACAACCCATTTCTCAGAAAGTATTCTCATCATTAAGCAACACATGGCTGTGTTTGTTCCTTTGTACTCCGTATTACTTCATGCTATTTCAAATTTTGTGTTCTTTTAAATTGTGTTTTCTAGTTACTTGCTGCTGGTATATGAATATGAAATTAACTATTATAAATTGCTTCGATAACAAGGCACTGTGCTAAATTATCCTATTTTTAAATTCTATATGTTTTCTATGTAATTAAACCTATTATTAATAATATAATGATAGTCTAATTTCTTTTTCCAATACTTATGTCTTGATTTCTTTTTTTTTTTTTTGCACTGTCAGGAATTTCTAATACAGTGTTGACTTGAAGTGATAAAATGGGTAACATTGCCTAGTCCCTAACTTTATTAGGAAAGCTTAAAATTTTTCTGATTTAGGATTATGTTTGCTGAAGTTTTTTATAGATAGATAGATAGGCAGAATCTTTAGGTGAAGAATATTCTGTTTCTTTTACCCTCCATTTTTTACTACAAAACTTTCCAAATATACAAAAGTTAAAAGAATAGTACATGATCATCCATATACCCACTAACTATTAGCAATTTGTCATATTTGTTTCATCTATAAGAAATATAAATGGGGCTATGAAGGCTGTGGGAAATCGTACAGTGATTGAAATCATATATAAACATAGCAATGTCTTTGGGGTCTAAAAAATTAGTGCTTTCTAAACTTTATGAAGGAGTTTCCAACAAACGACTTATTAATGTTGATCAGCACATTGGATCGGAATGTTGGAATGCTGGCAGCAGGTTTGTAGGCAGATGCTTGTTCTTTAGCAGACATAGCAAGAGAAGAAGTTTCCAACTTTAAATCTGACTTTGGTTATAACACTCCACTAAAACATCTTGCAAACAGAGTGGACATGTATGTACATGCATATACACTCTACAGTGCTGTTAGATCTTTTGCCTTCAGTTTCATGTTAGGGTCTTACAGTATGAATGACAGTGCACAATTTTCCATGATTGACTCATCAGGTGTTTTATATGGTTATTGGGCCTGTGCCACTGGCAAAGCCAGGCAAGCTGTAAAACAGAAATAGAAAAGCTTCAGATGAAAGAAATGACCTGCTATGATACTGTTACAGAAGTTGCTCAAGTAATTTACATAGTACATGATGACGCTAAGGATAAAGTTTACGAACTCAGCTGGGTTAGTGGTTTAACTAAAGGAAGACATGAAATTGTTTCAAAAGATATAAGGGAATAAGCAGATAAATATGCTAAAGAATCCTTGAGTGAAGAAGACAGGTCAGATGATGATAATATGTAAAATTTACTCCAGTATCTATTCTATGTTAAATTCCTATTACAATCCCGCGTAACTATATAGCCCTGTGGATTACACATACCCACTGACCAATTTTTTATTAAATTTTCATCTTGTAAAAGACAAAACAGAAACAACAACAAGATAATTTTAAAAATTAAAAATATTACCCCACTACTTTCTGGCCTCCATGATTTCTAATGAGGAACCCGCCATCAGTCTTATTAAAGATCACTTGTACATGATGAGTTGCTTCTCCATCTTTGTCTTTTGATAATTTGATTATGTGTCCTGGCATGATTCCTTTTGCATTTATCCTTCTTGGAGTTAATTGAGCTCCTTAAATGCTTAAATTCATGTTTTAATTTTTAAAAATCAAATTCAGGAAATTTTAAGCCATTATTTGTTCAAATATTTTTTTCTGACCACTTTGTCCTGTCCTCTCCTACTGGGATTCCCAATATGTGTATTTGGTTTGCTTAATGGCATCCCATAGGTCTCTCAGGCACTGTTTGTTTTTCTGCATTCCTTGACTGAATAATTTCAAAGGACCTATCTTTATGTTTGCTAATTCTTTCTATCATCCTGCTCAAATATGCTATTAAAATTCTCTAGAGAAATTTTTATTTCAGTTACTCTACTTTTCAGGTCGAGAATTTCTGTCTGGTTTCTTTTTATAATTTCTATTTTTTATTGATATTTTCTATTCATTTATCATTTCCCTGATTTTCTCTCACACTTTCTCCATGGTTTCCTTTAGCTCTTTGTGCATATTTAAGACAGTTTGACTAGGTAGTCCAATGTCTGTGCTTCCTCAGAGATAGTTTTTGTTCATTTCTTTTGTGAATGGGCCATACTTTCTTGTTTCTTTGCATGCTTTATAATTTTTTGTCAAAAATGGAAACTTAAAAGCAAGATAAAGAACAGTATTATAATATTTATTTAATAAACTCTTCTATAGCCAGGTATTTTTCTGCATGTTTTACAAATATGAAATCGTTTAGTCTTCTGAACAATCCTGTGAGATAGTGTTGTTATTATGTTCATTTTACAAGTGAGAAAACTGAGGGATAGAGAAGTTAATGTCATTGCAGCTAGTAAATGGCAGGGCTGGGATTTGTAGGAGGTGGAACTCTAGAATCTGTGCTTTTTCTCACTGTGCTGTATTTCATCTCTGTAGCTAGAGATTACTCTTTTTTTCCATTTATTCTTTATCATGGTAAAATATACATAACAAAATTTACCATTTTAACTATTTTTAAATATACAATTCAATGGCCTTAAGTATAATCAAATTGTTGTGCAAATGTGATCCAAATTTGCAAACATTTTTTCATTATCTCAAACTGAAACTCTGTACCCATTAAACAATAACTCCCTATCATCTTCCCCTGGCCCTGGTAACCACTATTCTACTTTCTTTCTCTATGAATGTGAGTATTCCAGGTACCTCACATATATGAAATCATATAATATTTGTCCTTTGATGTCTAGCTTATTTCATTTAGCATAATATCCTCGAGGTTCATTCATGTCGTAGCATGTTTTGGAATTTCATTGCTTTTTTAAGGCTGAATAATATTCCTATATATGTATATTCTACATTTTGTTTATCCATTCATCTGTCAATAGAAATTTCAGTTGTTTCCACCTTTTAATGAATAATACTATGAATATTGGTGAATATTTGTGTGACAGAAAGATAAATATTGTATACTCTTAGTCATATGTGGCAGCCAGAAAAGTAAGCTCATAAAAGTAGAGAGTAGAATTATGGTTCTTAGAGGCTGGGGAGAGTAGGGGCAAGAGAATGACAGAGAGAGGTTGGTTAACAGACACAAAATTACAGCTAGATAGGAGGAATAAATTATCGTGCTCTATAGTACTATAAGAACTATATTCTGAATATGGTTAATAATAATGTATTAATTATTCAAAAAACTAAAAGAGAGGATTTTGAATATTCCCCACACAAAAAATGATAAATGTTTGAGGTGATGGATATATTAATTACCCTGATTTGATCATTGCACATTGCATACATGTATTGAAATATTATTCTGTATCCCATAAATATGTACAATTACTACATGTCAGCTAAAAAGGAAAAATATTTGTGTAAGTTCCTGCTTTCAGTTCTTTTGGGTATAGATCCAGAAGTGTAATTACTGGATTATATTATAATTCTATGCTTAACTTTTTAAAGAACTGCTATGTTGTATTTCACAGTGGCTGTATCATTTTACAGCCCCATGAACAACACATAAGGGTTTCAATTTCTCTACATTACTAGCCACACTTGTTATTTTCTAGTTTTTGATAGTAACCATCCTAATGGATGTAAGATGGTATCTCATTATGGTTTTGATTTGCATTTTCCTAATAATTAGTGATGTTGAGCATCTTTTCATGTGTTTATTGCCCATTTCTACATCTGCTTTGAAGAAATGCTGTATCAAGCCCTTTGCCTATATTTGAGCTGTTTTATGTGTGTGCTGTTGTTGTTGTTGTTTTGCTATTGTGAAGTTATAAGAATTCTTTATATATTTTGAATATTAATCCATTATCAGATATATGATTTGCAAATATTTTCTTCCATTTGCTGGTTACATTTTTACTCTGTTTGATAGCTTACCACTTTAGTTCCCTTTTTCTTCATTCAGTATTCACTTTTGGAGATGTAAATTTTTTTGTCTGTTTTACAGAATTCTCACAAACTTGATTCTGAGAGTTTTTGCTTCAGTTTTTGATTTTTCTGTGGAGAGACATGCTCTGGGAGCTACCTACTCTACCATTTTTGCTGACATTACTCTAGCTGCCTTTTTCTGTAAATAAAGTTTTATAGGAACACATTTTTGCCCACTCATTGTTATACTGTCCATGGCTGCTGTGTTAGGTATCTCCTGACATGGATCCCTCTCCCTTAATATTCACGTCCTTATGCAATTCTCCTGTTTCAATGGGGGCTGGATCTAGTCACTTGCTTCTAACAAATACAATAGAGCAAAAGTGATGGGAAACTGGATATGGTTGCATGCATCTGTAGTCCCAGCTACTGAGGAGGCTGAGGTGGGAGGATTTCTTGAGTCAGGTAGTTCAAGGCTATAGTGCACTATGATAACACCACTGAATAGCCACTACACTTCAGCCTGGGAAACATAACAAGACCCCATCTCGGGGAAAAAAATGATGGGGTGTCATTTCTGTGGTTCAATTTGAAAAGACTGTGACCTCCTCTTGCTATTATTCTCTCACTCTCGCCTTCTCAGCTTGCAAGCATGGATGCAGCAAGCTGCCATGTGTGCAAGGCCCACAGGCAAGGAACTGAAAGTGGCCTCTACTAACAAGGAATCAAGGCTCTCACTCAAACACTCTATGAATCCAATCAACAACCACATAAGTGAGCTTCAAATCAGATCTTTTCCCAGTTGAGCCTTCTTAAGAGACCATACGGCTGGCCTACACCTTGATTATAGCCTTGTGAGAGACCATGAAGCAGAGAACCCTGCTAGTTTATGCCAGGATTTTGAACCACAGAAACTGAGATAATAAATGTGTGCTATTTTATGCCACCAAACTTTGGGTAAATTGTTACAAGGTATAGACAACTGATACAGCTGTTTTTGCATGACAACACTAGAGTTGATTATTGTTACAGGGACCATATGATTCATAAAGAATAATATATTTACTATCTGGCTTTTTACAGAAAAAGTTCTGTGTGAGAATGCAAGCAAGGAGGCTGGCAGGTATAGTCTTCCATGACTCAGAAAGGAGGGAAGAACCAGCTCCACGAGCACTAGTAACTAGATGAGCTACATGAGCACTAGACAATTACTGCCCTCTGATGTCCTGATGTACATCAAATGTCTATTTTGAACTCAAACTGCTTTCTTGGTATGACATCAGAACTTCTTCTTAAGTGTATAAAAGTTGAAGGCTCAGGAGAGCCAGTGATATATGTGTTCTCCCACACCACTCACAATCTGGTCCCCTTTATTTCCTGGAAAGTCCTGCAAAGGCTTTGGAATGAGACTACTTCAGTGATTCTGATGAGGAGTAAGACTTGGAAATTACCACTTTAAACTTCCCCAGAAAATCTCTTTTACAGAATTAATGTGCTTAACATACTGGTTCACAGAATAAGTGCTTCTTAAAGCAAAAGGGAATTTACCCTCTATCTGGGCCAAATGTGTCATTTTCTAGGTGAGAAAAATGAGGCTCGGAGAGCTTAAAAGGCTTTCTAAAGGCCACAGAGCCCCAGGTTTAAAGGAAAAGTGAAAGCAGATTCATTAATTCTCACCCCAGGGCATTTAAAAACTATTATTTAATTCAGTCTTTGAGCAAATTATCACAAGATCTGATTCAATTAAATGTGAATTTATATGATTTTACTGCATTAAGAATCATCTGATCTGCATGTTGGTTGAACAATTTACGTCAAGAAAAGTCTTTTATTACTTAATTTGCATTTTCTACCGAAGGCACCCATAAATAAGTCAGCATCGCCCTCTACTGGATGATTTGTATTTGTTACTCATTCGTTGCATCCAACATGATTTATGTAGAATTTTGGATATTTTTTCTTAATTTCAATGAAAGGTACATGAAAACCAGGACATTCCAGCTGTTTGGATATTCCCCTATGCCTATTAATCTGGTTGGATAACATTTTCCTCTTCCAAAAGAGGCCTTGATTTTCTAGTTTTGAGAATTATAAGTTTAAACAATGAATTCCAACATGTTAACAAAGAAGGAAAAGACAGAGTCAGAGAAACCAAGAGATGCAGATAGAGATGAGGAAAAGCTAGAGAGAGAGATATTAGAAGAGAGGGACAATTCTGGTCAGAGTGAAAGCAGACTGTTTTTCTACTTTGGCAGCTTCAAAAATAAACTCAAATAAATGCTTTCTTTGTGGCATCACTAGCTGCAGTTTTTATAATGCATATGCTAGTTCTAGCTCATGGAATAAACTTTTTATCTTCTTGAGACCACATTTAAGCTGTGAGCTGGGTTGACTACAATGATCGGTTCTTCTGCCTGTGAAAATGGTATGCTCCTATCAAAGCAGATTAAATTGTGGTTGGTTGGGAGTCAGCCAGCAAACTGTTAATAGCATTAAAACTGACTGAATTGCGGCTTAAATTTCGACATATAAGGTAAGAAAAAATAAACAGTAATAAAAAGATACCACTGCACACTTAGCTCTCACATTACAAAAAAAGAAGAATAACAAGTATAAATTAAATCATGTGATGTAAATTACTATAACAAGAACATCTAGTCGCAGTTGCAACAAGGCAAATGCAAATGCAAATGAGTGAGTCATCATTTCTGGGTTAAGCATCTGCAACCCAGACTCTTCAGCCCCGACCTCTATCATCTAGCCCAGAAACAGCTTCAGATCCTGGAAAGAATATGGGCTTTGGCATAGACACACCTGCATTCAAATTGCAGCTCTGCCACTGTGTGGCCTTGAGAAAAGCCTTGCTTTCCTTATCTGTAAGGTGGAGGTAATTGTATATAATTCATACAGTTTGGGAGAAATTAAATGAAATAAAGCATAGAAATCACTTAATACAGTATCTGCCATATATGGCTACTACACAACTCCAGGTGACACACACAGGCCATCATTTCCAAGCAACACATCCAAAACTCTCTCTCTCTCTACCTCTTCGTCCCTAATTACTACCCCCACTATTCACATGGTTGTCCAAGCCATAAGTTTGAGCACCACCCCAGATTCCATGTTCCTGCTCACCTCCATATATGCTTGCAAAACTTCTACTCTGTCTTCAAGACAGTTCAGGTGTCACCTCTCCTGGGAAGAATCTGGATTTCTTTGCCCCTCACAGACTAAGTTCTTGTTCTACTCCCATGTTCCCAAGCGCCCCATATATATGTCTATTAGACAGCTAGTTATACCATATTGTTGTGACTTGTTTCTCTTTCCCACTGGGCTGTAAGTACTTTTAGAACAGAGAATTATATATGATTCAAAGTTTTATCCCTAAGTTATATCAATGTACCTGCCACATGAAAATGCTGGAAAACATTTGTAGTATAAATGAATCAATGACCACATAAACGTGTTGGAGTTTCTTTTGTTTTATTTTAGCTATATGTATGTATTTGTTATTTATTTTTTAGAGACAGGGTCTTGCTGTGTCGCTGGGCTGGAGTGCAGTGGCCTCATCATAATTCACTGCAGCCTGGATCTCCTAGGCTCAAGCCATTCTCCCAGGTCAGCCTTCCCAGTAGCTGGGACTATAGGAGTATGTTACTACCCCCTGCTAATTATGTAAATTATATTTTTTGTAGCAACAGGATCTCATTACATTGCCCAGGCTGGTCTCAAACTCCTGGCCTCCAATCCTCCTACTTCGGCTTCTCAAAGCACTGGCATTACAGGCGTGTGTCATGGTGCCTGGCTTGGAGTTTCTTAAATGTTCATCTCATCCCTTTCCTCTATAGATTCTGAACCAATTGAACAACAGTCAGGAGTGATGTGAAGAATGCTACATGGGCTAGGTGAGATGGCTCACACCTGTAATCCCAGCACTTTGGGAGGTTGAGGTGGGAGGATCACTTGAGGTCAGGAGTTCGAGACCAGCCTGGCCAACATGGTGAAACCCCGCCTCTACTAAAAATACAAAAATTAGCTGGGCTTGGTGGCAGGCACCTGTAATCCCACCTACTCGGGAGGCTGAGGCACAAGAATCACTTGAACCTAGGAGGAGGCGGTTGCAGTCAGCTGGGAGCACACCACTGCACTCCAGCCTGGGTGATAGAGCAAGACTCCGTCTCAAAAAAAAAAAAAAAAAAAAAGAATGCTACATGGACCGGACCTTCAGGCAAGACCAGGCTTCCTATTCCTTCCCCCAGGTTTAGATTTCTTGACCCTGTAAATCAGCTAAGATTTGCTCAACAGCCGCATTCCCACTGGGGAAACAGCTACCTGCCCCATACCTACCAGCACGGAGTGAAAAACAAGCCTGCCTCTGGAAGCTTGTCATTGGACCTTGATCCAGCTGTGATTACCCCATAGAATCAGGAACAGAGGAAAAAAGATGCCCTTTGCAGGCAGGGCAGTTCTGAAAATGAGAATGCTTACATCAGTGCGGGTTGCTCCCTGCACAGGGTGCCAGCCAAGGAGCAGGTGGGGATTGAAATCCAGTCCACATTTCACTAGCCAAGCTATACTCACTGGTTTGAATCCATGTTACATAAAGATACCATCCGTCCATCAAGCCTTGTGGACAGAGGGCTGTGTCCACCCAGAGGGAGCACTTTTGTGTCATCTGTACAAAAGCTCCATGTGAACTCATGGGGTTCTTTTCCCCAAATCTCACCAATCAAATGAATCTTTTCTACTCCCTTGTAGAGGAACATCATAGATGGAAGTAAGGCCAGAACTTCCCTTCCGAATACTTGCAAAAGAACCTAAGTTTTATTTTTATGAGCTAGGAAAGGAAGGGAAGAGTTCTACCTAAGACAGATAAGCAGGGAGAAGAGAATTGGCGTTAATTGAACACATACTGTATGCCGGGCATTGGAGAGCATGTGATATGGATAAGCCATTTCATATTATTTGACCAAGTGTGTTAAGATTGATACTTCAGATGAGCGTCTTGAAGATTACATTAAAGAAGACCACACATCCAAAAGTGATGACACTTGAATCCAAAGTCCATCATCTACTACCACTCTGTGGTACTTTGTACTCTTTCAACAAAAAGTCCTACTGGCAGTGACTATTCTTTAAGATTTCCAGGAGCTGAGGAGCATGGCGCTGAACAATACAGACACAACTGTTATCCCATGATCTGCAATGAGAAACACAAGCCAGGCAGGATCAAGTTTTTAGACAGGTGTGTTCCAAAAGTTCACTTCAAGACTAATGCTTAGCAAATATTTTTTCTAAGTTATAAATAAAGATTACTTTCCTGAGTTAGCTCAAAAAATTGTTTTTAGTGTGGTTTGGACCCTTAACCCCTGAGATAGAGCTTCCCTGATTCTCTCTGATCATCGAGTCCCACTGGGTACCTTTGTGAGCCAGTAAACTCCCAGGTGGACTGGCTGTGTAAATGAGGGGGCTTGTAAAGCAAGCAACATAAAACGAAGGGTCTATGTAAAAAGTCCTACAAATAGGGCTTTGAAAATCTCTATTGCAGGGTTTCTCAAACTCAGCACTGTTAACATTTTGGGCCAGATAATTCTTGGTTGTGGGCGCTGTCTAGTACATTATAAGACATTTAGCAGCATCCTTGGACTTAACCCACTAGATGTCAGTAACAACCTCCCACCATCACAAGTTATGATAATCAAAAATGTCTCCAGACATTGCCAAATGTCCTGTGTGGGACCAAAATAGCTCTCCATTGAGACTTCGGAGTGCAATGGCTTCTGAACAATGGCCTATAACCATTTAGGTATTCCATAACTCTCAAAGGCCTAAAACCCAGGTTCTGTGAATAAATTCACTAATGTGTAAAAAAGCATAACATCTTAAAAAGTAAAACACAATTTTTGATGGTTGTGAAGGGCTATTTAAAAATTTTTAAAGATTTAATACCTCTAAATACCTAGATTTTTTAATACCTAGAAATATTTAATACTTTTTCTCATATAAAAGATGATTGAAGATTGTTTTTCAATCTCAAATAAAATATACTGTTCCCCAGACAGTGTAAGATATTTTAGAATAAGAATTAATTAAGAATTATGATACTCTTATTTTCAGGTGGTAATTTAGTATCAACAACAGGCCTTTTCTTTGGCTATAAACAGAAAAATGTGGGTGTGGACATAATGAAGCAATTGTACAGTTTGAAATAGTGAATAACTCACATCCCTCATAGAGAAAGGGTCATGCTACCTTCACAACGCAGGCCAAGAAAATTCCCATGATCTAAGCCACATAGAAGAGTTTCAGATTCCACAAAATACTTTGAGCCCCCTCCTTTATTCTCCCATCCCATTATTCTCTGTTTTTGAATGATCAAAAAGTGAAGTTTCCTTCACTTTTGGGCTAATGCCCAAATGCCCTTTGGGAAAGTTCAACTTCTCTTTTATTTGAAAATTAAAATTCTTATCTGATGAACTTCAAAATCTCCATCCAAAGATGAATACAGAGGTTATGAGTTGCTCTAGCTCTCTAAGTGCTACATAAAACAGACGAAGAATAGAATTCCAGGACTCGGCCTTCCCAGTCCGCTATAGACATTATTATAATTCTCCAACTGAAAGCCAAATTCTGGCTATAAATTCTGGCTATGTTACCATTAAGCTGACTTCTCATCCACATTTTCTAATACCAACACTTTCAAAAAGAATTGAAAACATATATGGTTAGTATATAAGCAGAGTATAGCGGCTGAGAGCTGGGATGCTGGCACCCAATGACTTCGATGCAGAATCTTGGCTCTGCCACTTACTAGCTTGTGACCTTGAGACCCTCCACCTCAACCTCTTTGTGCCTGTTTCCTCAACTACCCAGTGGAGATAATAAAAGTGTTCATACCTTAAGGTAGTTATAAGGAATTAATGAGTCAATATTTATAAAGCGCATAGATTGGTATCTAACACACAGTAAGTGCTAAAAAGGTATCTGTTAAACAAAATTATACAATAAATAGAGCAACACAAGGCCTTTGTCCCATTATTACAATCATGAAATGCTCTAGGGGAAAAATGAGAAAACAGGCTTTTTGTTTTTGCTACTGTCACTTCCTTCTTCCAGTCCCTTCTTCCTTTTTCTGTGTCTATTTCATGTCTTCTTTCCAGGTTCCTACCAGGGTGTTAGCAGAGAACAACTGGTGATGCTTAAGGTGCCAGTCTAAGCTTCCTTCGCAGAGGTGCCTTTGAATTTCCCCTGGAGACTCTGAAAAGCTAAAAAGCCCGCAGAACTTAAAGAAGTGAATCTCTAGCCCTGCAGCATAAGTGAGGAGTTGTATTTTCAGAGAGGGGGACCCTCCAGGCCTGGTCTGCACACTCCTCAGGCTGGCCCTGGGGAGAACAGTAATGCAAATTCATACCTTTGAGCTAAAAAATTAAATTTAAAAAATAAGCAGCCTCAAGTTTCTGCAGTCTAGCATATGGCAACTGTGGCACTGTCTTGAAATGAGTCATCTGAAGCCCAAGTTAGAAGCAGACATAATTTCCAGATGTCAAAAAAAATATTTTTCCCTAAACAGAAAAGCAAGCAAGATGGAGTGCAATTTTCAAAACTGCTTATTTTACTAGCTGTTAATGTTTACTCACTTCTGATTTTCCCAAGATTATCCCCTTGTAAGCTGCGGCCTAAATGCATTTAAATTGCCTTTGAATATACCAAGCAATGCTTACTACCATGGAAACAGAACCAAGGATATGCAAGATGACTCCTCTGGGGCATAATTTGGTGCTCTAGATACTTTTGATTGGTTGCTCCCTGCTCTGTCACCTCTTCTCTGAAATGTAATCATGTTGGTTGGATTTATTTTTATTATCCACAGGAGCACACAATTCACCAAGTAGTGGAAAATGCCATTCATTCATCAAAGTCCTTCCAGAGAGACATGGGCGGCATTAGCGAGCAAATCCTTATGTGTCAGAAAACACGGGCAGATTGCTCCAGAAGGATTTGGGCCTTTGCCCAACAGTCTAGGAGATAACCTGCACCTTTAAAAATGTTATTTGTGTAGGAGAAAGGACTACAGACTGGTGCCCCAAAGAATGCTGCCTAATGCCCTGGTTCTGGAGAATGTAAGTGGATAGTAGTTGTACACTTCTGTATAAATGGTATATGAAATAATAATAATAAGGGATGAAAACAGAAATATCCAATTCCTGGCTTTGTTGTTAAGGTATTTATAAGCTCAATAAAATTACTTAGCTCTGTTTTTTTAATGTAAAATGGCCATTTGTAGAGTGGAGTAGAGAATAGGACTTGGGTTCAGTTTGAGGTCAATGTTTGTAAACTAATGAATCCTTTGGATGAAGGATCTAGGCATAAAGAACAAATAGTATTTCCCTTGCCTGTCTCATCAATCCACAATGAAGATGAGAGAAAAATATCAAGGTCAAGTCTGTTGTTTTTGTTTAAAAAATACCATCTGAGCCGAGAGCATCTATCTTAGCCACTTGAAGGGATAATGTCCTTATGCTTCCTACAAAACTTGATTCATGTAATGTGTACAAACACAAAACAAACAAATACTGTGATTTTTGGATTCATATTTCCTTCTCTTTCTGGAGTGCCTTGAAATTCTCTGGGCATATGTCAATGCATGGGAACAGAGACCAGCTGCTTCTTGGAATAAACAATATCACAGCAATGAAAAGATGCAAAGGCCAGAGTTGGACAAGCTGAGGCTACCTGACCTTCACTCTGCACAGAAATGATTGTGGCATTTAGATGTTGATAGATGTTGAAATATTAAAACATTGACAACTAAGTTTAAGCTCTATAGTACAGAAAAGTTCCTGTATATCCCTAAGAAATATATTAATAAATATATTTACAGATATTTCTAACAGAAAAATTGGCAAGGAAGGTGGACTGATCATTTATGTAAATGAATATAAAATTAGTTCATAAAAACTTGAGGGGAATTTAATTAATAATCAGAAAAATTAAAAAACTATTTTATAACTGATTCGCAAAACAATTTAATCATTTAATGCTGGCAGAGTTATGGAAAGTGAGGCAGACATATGTCATGTTTGTGGCCAACGGCATCTTTTGAACAATGTTCTTATATTTGGAGAAGTTCTTATGAGTTCTGCCTTTTAAGGAAAAATAAATAACTTATTTTCCCAACCTCCTTTGCAACAGAGACGTAGACATGTAACCTAGGCTCCACCAATCAAATATAGCCAATTGAGATTTTGTTAGAGAAGAAGGAAAAGGGAGGATGCAGATGCTTCACAGAGTTTATTTTCTGATGGAAGTGACAGCAGAGTTCCTGGCACCAGCCAGTGCCCAGACTCAGCAAATGAGCTGTGGTGGTATTTCCTGATGGCAGCAGCACGCTTTTCTCCAAAGCAGTCCTGGAGGGTGATGTGAGCATCCTTCATGGCTGTGTAGTCTTCCAAGACTTACTCTCTGGACTTCCAGAGGACCAGTTAATTCCTAAGGACACTGGTTAAATACAGCATGTTCATTTGCATATCCTGGGTGCAAATATAAATAGGAATGCCACTTCAGTATTGTATCTCAAGTTCCAGAAAAAAATTACCTTGCATTTATTAAGCCTTCTTATAAAAATATGTGCCAAGGAAATAGCCCAAAAGAAGAAAAATGGCAATATGAGTGGGCAATTTAAAATTTCAAAGGATTGGAAACAACCTGCAGGCTCACCAACAGGGTAGGAGTTAAGTCAGTCGTGGCATACTCTTGGTAGTCAGTAGAATGCCAGCATTTCTACATGGTAGGGGCTTGGGATACACTCTTTTGTAAGAGGGAGGACCAGGGACTTAAATCTGCATTTAGATAGAGTATATGCTCTTTTTACTTAGATGGAATATTTATTTGGGGTTGCTTGTGGGTAATGAAGAACGGGACTGGAGGGCATTAAAACCTGCCACAACCATCTCTCTATTGGCAAACTATTACACAGTGAATAAAATAACTACCAGGAAGTATTTGGGTTTTTTTAAGTTTTTAATTTTGGGGGGTACATTGTAGGTTTATGTATTTATAGGTTACTTGAGATATTTTGATACAGGCATGCAATGCTTAATAATCTTATCAGGGTAAATGGGGTATCAATCACTTCAAGCATTTATCCTTTGTGTCACAGACAGTCCAATTATACGCTTTAGGTATTTTTAAGTTTATAATTAATTTTTATTGACTATAGTCACCCTGTTTTGATAGCAAATACTAGGTCTTATTCATTCATTCTATTTTTTGTACCCCTTAACCATTTCCACTTTCCCCTTCTGACCCCCCAGTACCCTTCCCAGCTTCTGGTAACCATCCTTTTACTGTCTATCTCCGTAAGTTCAATTGTTTTCATTTTTAGCTCCTGCAAATAAGTGAGAACATGTGAAGTTCGTCTTTCTGTGCCTGGCTCATTTCACTTAGCATAATGACCTCTAGTTTCATCCATGTTGTTGCAAATGACAGAATCTCATTCTTTTTTATGACTGAATAGTACTCCATTGTGTATATGTACCACATTTTCTTTATTCATTCAACTGTTGATGGACACTTAGGTCCAAATGTTGGCTATTGTGAATAGTGCTGCAATAAACGTGGGAGGGCAGATATCTCTAATATAATGATTTCCTTTCTTTTGGGTGTATACCTGGCATTGAGATTGCTGGATCATATTGGTAGTTCTATTTTTAGTTTTTTAAGGAACCTCCAAACTTTTCTCCATAGTGGTTGTATTAATTTACATTCCCACCAACAATGTACAAGTGTTCCATTTTCCCTACATCCTCACTGACATTCATTATTGCCTGATATAATGAATAAAAGGTTTTTGGCTTAAAGCCATTTTAATTGGGGCGAGATGATATATCATTGTGTTTTGATTTGCAAGGAAGTTTTTGTAGCAATATAGAAAAATATTCATATGTTGTTAAAGGAATAGAACAAAACCCAAAATTATATCTATGATGTGACTACTACTGTTATGTAAAAAATTGAAATAGTGTTCTGCCAAGGTTTTTCAATGCAATGAATATTTTTGTGCTTTGCAAAATTATCGTAAGTGTTCAAATTATATCTTCTCTTTGGCAATGTCTCACTGATGTTATGGTGATATCGCTACCTGCTCAGTGAGGATGACTTTGACACCTACTGTCTTTCGGCAGAGTTAGACTCAATCTGAGCCTTAGGTGGTATGGCTTCTTTGGGTATTCATGGATCCACAGGGCCAAAGGGAAGAGAAATCACTATGTAAAATCTCCAGCCACATAGGCCTTTCCACCAGAATTGTAAACATGCACCTGCTCGCATGGGGAATGGGGGAGTGCTGGAGGGACAATAAATTGGCAAACCTCTTGGCATTCTCTAATAAAGTCGGAGCTATCCATACCTTATGACCCAGAAATGCCACTCCAAGAGAATTATCCTGGGGAAACTAGAGGCACATATGCATCAGTAAATATGCCCAAGAATGTTTATAATAGCACTATTCCTATTCAACAAAAACTAAAACAACTTAAATGTTCGTCACTAGTAGGATGGATAAAAATGGGTAAATATATAGGGTAATCATGTAATGCTATACAAAAATGAGTGTATATATAAACTACATTTAGACTCAACAAAATGGACGAGGCTCAGAAACATAACGATGAATGAAGGCAGCAAGATATATGGTATGATTCCATTTGTAAAAAGTTTAAAAACAGGCAAAATTAAGCTATGCTATTAAGGTATGAATATAAAATTGGTAAAACTATAAGGTAGGAAAATGATTATCACAAATGTCAAAATAGTGGGTACCTCTGAGGAGGGAAGGAAAGAGGGAACTGTGTTTGGAAAGGGGAACACTGGGGCTTCTGGCCTGGCAATGCTCTTTCTTGATTAGGCAAGGTTTTCTTTTTTCACATTCGTCATTTTGCATTAAACAGTGGGACATTTGTATTTTATGCTTTTTTATGTGTATATTATAGTTTTGTTGTTGTTGTTGTTGAGACAGAGTCTCACTCTGTCGCCCAGGCTGGAGTGCAATGGCATGATCTCAGCTCACTGCAACCTCCACCTCCTGGGTTCAAGCAATTCTCCTGCCTCAGCCTCCTGAGTAGCTGGGATTACAGGCACATGCCACCATGCCCAGCTAATTTTTGTATTTTTAGCTGAGATGGGGTTTCACCATGTTGGCCAGGCTGGTCCCAAACTCCTGACCTCAGGTGATCCGCCCACATCGGCCTCCCAGAGTGATGGGATTACAGGTGTGAGCCACGGCTCCCAGTCTCTAGTTTATTTTTAAAAAATAAAAAGAGGAGACTCTAACAAAAAGGTCTGTATGTCAGGAGTTAGGCAGTGGAGAAATCACATTTCTAGAAACAAAAACCCTCTTCAGGTCACTGAAGTGGGAGTTGAAGAAGTTAGTTTAAGATCTTGATTAATAAAACAGAGCCACCTCAGGGATTTGGTTATCAGTGAGGAGCAGGGTTCAGAAGCACTGCTTAATGAATAAATATGATCTTTTGAATTCCTCCATGGGAAGTCTAGATCATCAGGAATTATGTCTTTGAAAGACTCCAGGGCAGTGGAAAGGAGAGCTCTGTAGGTTGTAGAGGCTGGTGCATGGGAAGGAGTCCTCGCTTAGTTTATGCCTGTATCCTCTCCTGCTTCTGCCTCTTCATCTCATGCAGTATTGACTGAGAAACTCAAGAGGGAGGCATGGACCTGCCAATAGAGAAGTCAAGGTTACAGTTTTTAGATCCAAATTAGGGTTATCCATCACTGTCATAAAGTCATGAACACAGGGGTGTTTATTAACTGGTCAATCCACACTGGGCATGGTGGCCCATGAGAGGGCTCTGAAATGAAGGGGAAAAGCATTTCAGGAACTGTTAGACTGAAAGCAGGACTCCAACAATCTTAAACGGAACCCAGAACAGCAGAGTCGTGAAGAGTGGACAGTACTTACTACATTGTACTATGGCCAGTGAGGTTACCTGACTCACTCTCCTGCTTATAAACTGTTGCCCAGGAAAGTTTCAAGCTCAGTCTTATCGAGCCCTCTTCAAACTGACATGGATAGCAAAATACCTAGCAATTTTTCAGTTGATTGATCAACCTGGGCGGTCTGCCCCATACTAAACATTTTACCAAGAACCAAAAGATTGTGTTGATTACTTGTGAATTTGAAATCTGTCATTTAAAGCTCAAGACCTGAAGATTCTCACTGGCCTAAGTTTAGTGTTGTGTTCCCGGCATACTATTAAACTAGAAACTTGGAAAGAAACAAAAGAGATTACTTGGTGCTCTTGCGATGTAGTGCTGAGCTTAACTTCCTATTGACTCAGTTATTTTACAACTCTGTGGGGGTAGAAGTGAACTTAAAAGTTCTCATCTGGCAGAGACGCAGATAATTTCTTTCTGATAGAAGAGATAACCACAAAAGTTATAGTTATGGCCCTACTGGACATTAACCAGTTTTGTATATAAGCCAGCAATCTTATGCCAGCACTGTCAAAGACACCTAGTTTCTTAAATGCTCTTTGGACAGATTTGAAACTCAACTTGACATCCATAGGCTAAAAAAAAGACCTTTCCACTGTGAAAGACCATGTGAATAACAAAGACTGTGAAGAAGATAAACAGACAAGCTACAGACTGGGAGAAAAATATTTGCAAACTACATATCCAACAAATTAAAACTCAAAACCTAATACTAAAAAAAATAAATAAACAATTCAGTTAGAACATGGACCAAAAGCATGAACAGACATTTCACTGAAGATGGTAGATAAGCCCATGAAAAGATGTTCACTAGCTATCAGGGAAGTTAAAATTAAAACCACAATGACTAATCACTCTATACCTACCAGAAGGGGAAAATAAAAAAAATAGTAACAGCACCAAACGGTGATGAGGAATGAAGAGAAACTGAATCACTCATACGTTGTTGATGGGAATATAAAATGGTACAGCCACTTTGGAAAATACTTTGGTAGTTTCTCTAAAAGCTAAACACACAAATATTCATATGACCCAGCATCTGTACCCTTGAGCATTTATCCCAGAGAAATGAACTTATACCCACAACAAATGTTGTTCACAAATGTTCATATCAGCTTTATTCATAATGGCCAAAACTGGAAACAGTCCAGAGGCCTTTCAATGAATGAATGGTTAAATAAACTGTGACATATCTATACCATGAAATACTACTTAGCAATAAAAAGAAACAAACTATTGATACGTGCAATAATGTGGATGAATCTCCAGGGAATTATGATGAGTGGGGGAAAAAGTCAATCCTAAACAGTTACATACTATATGATTCTACTGTATTTCTTTAACAACAGTTCAATGTTAAGATTTAACATATTTTAACATTTTGAGCATTTAATATTCTTTTATTTAACATTCAATATTTAAAATTATTTAACAAATTTAAGCACATATTTAACATAAAATTTCAGAAATGAAGAACAGACTAGTGGTTTCCAGAGTTAAGAACCAGAGTTGGAAAGTGGGGCAAAAGAGAGGAGAGAGGCAGAGTAAGATGGTCAGAGAGAACATTCCAGTAATCATCCCCCCAGCAGGAACACCAAATTGAATAACTATCCACAGAAGAAAGCACCTTCATAAGAACCAAAAATCAGGTCAATAATCACAGTACCTACTTTTAACACCATATCAAGGAAAGAGGCACTGAAGAGGGCATGAAAGACAGTCTTGAATTATCAATACCACCCCTCCCCAATCCTCAGCAGCGGCTACATAGTGCTGAGAGAGAATCTGTGCATTTGGGGGAGGGAGGACAAAGTGACTGTGGGATTTTGCATTGGAACCCAGTGCTGCTCTGTCACAGAGGAAAGCAACACGAGGCAGAATTCACCTGGAGCCCATGTAGAAAGCATTCAGACCAGCCTTAGCCAGAGGAGAATTGCCCATCCCAACAGTTGGAATCTGAGTTCCAGCAAGCTCTGCCACCATGGATTAAAGTGCTCTGAGGTCCTAAATCAACTTGAAAGGCCATCTGTGTCACAAGGGCTACAATTTCTGGGCAAGTCCTGTTGCTGTGCTGGGCTTGAAGTCAGTGGTCTGGGGGTGCATATAACCTAGTGAGACAGCAGCCAGGGTGGCCAAGGGAGTGCTCACACCACCCTTCCCCCAACCCCAGGCACTGCAGCTTGCAAATCCAGGAAGGACTACTTCCTTCTGTGTGAGGAGAAGAAGGAGTAAAGAGGACTTTGTCTTGCAACTTGGATACCAGCTCAGCCACAGAAGAATAGGGCACCAGAAAGAGTCCTGATGCCTCCACTGTAGGCTCTAGCTCTTGGATGACAATTCTAGACACATTCTGGGCCAAAAGGGAACCTGCTATTTTGAAGGGAAGGACCCAGTTCTGGCAGGATGAGTCACCTGCTAACTAAACAGCCCTTGGGCCCTGAATAATAAGCAGTGGCACCCAGGCAGTTCTCACCATAGGCCTTGGGTGGGACTCAGAGCTGTGCTGGCTTCGAGTGTGACCCATCACATTCCCATGTGTGGTGGTCACAGGGACAGACCCATTCTGCCTGAGAAAAGGAGAGGAAATAACAAAGGGCACTTTGTCTAGCAGCTTGGGTACCAGCTTGACCACACTGGACTAGAGCACCAGGCAGGCTCCTGGGGTCCCAGATTCTAGGCCTTGGCTCCTGGACGGCATTTCCGCACCTGCCTTGGGCCAGAGGGTGGCCCAATGCCCTGAAGTAAGAGACCCCGGCTGGCAGCATTCATCACAAGCTGACCAAAGAGCCCTTGGGCCTTGAGTGAATATTGATGGTAGCCAGGCAGTACTCATCAGAGGCACCTTCTGGTTGAAGAAAGGAGAGGAAGGCATGTGAAAGACTTTGTCTTATGGCTTAGATGCCAGTTTGGCTGCGATAGGATAAAGCACCAAGTAAATTCCAAGGTTCCTGGCTCCATGCCGTGGCTCCTAAATGGCATGTCTGGGCCCACCCTAGGCTAGAGGGTGGGTGCTCACTGACCTGAAAGCAAGGACACATACCTGGCTGGACTCACCACCTGCTGATTGAAGAGCTCGTAAGCCCTGAGTGAACATCGGCAGCAGCCAGGCAGTGGATGCTGCAGGTGTTGGGTAAGACCTAGTGCTATGCTGGCTTCAGATCTGACCCAATATGGTCCCAGTGGCAGTGGTCACAGGGGGCTTGTGTCACCCCTCTCCTAGCTCCAGGAAGCTCAGCACAGACACAGAGAGAGACTCCATTTGTTTGGGGGAAAGTAAGGGAAAAGAGCAAGAGTCTCTGCCTAGTAATCTGGGGAATTCTCTCAGCTCTAACCCAAGACCACCAAGGCAGTACCTCTATAACACTGCAAGAGTCACAACTTTACTGGGCTTGGTGGGGGCCCCTAATGCAGATACAGTTGCAGTGACCAAAGACTTACATCACAGTAGTCAATTCCCTTTGAATACTTGGAGAGCCTTTCCAAGAACAGGTACGATCAAGCCCAGACTGTGAAGACTATAATAAATGCCTAACTTCTCAATGCCCAAACATTGACAAACATCAAGAAGCATAAAGACCATCCAGGAAGACATGACCTCACCAGATGAACTAAATAAGGCACCAATGACCAATCCTAGAGTGACAGAGATATGTGATCTTTCAGATAGAGAATTCAAAATAGCTGTTTTGAGGGAGCTCAAAAAATTCAAAATAACACAGAGAAGGAATTCAGAATCCTATCACATACATTTAACAAAGACATTGAAATGAAATTTAAAGGTCAGGCAGAAATTCTGGAGCTAAAAAATGCAATTGACATATTGAAGAATACATCAGAGTCTCTCAACAGAATTGATCAAACTGAAGAAATAATTGGTGAACTGGAAGATGGGGTACTTGAAAATACACAGTCAGGCCAGGCACAGTGGCTCATGCCTGTAATCCCAATTCTTTGGGAGGCCAAGGCAAGAGTATTGCTTGAGGCCAGAAGTTTGAGATCAGCCTGGGCAGCATAGTGAGGCCCCACCTTTACAAAAACATTTAAAAATTATCTGAGTATTGCAACACATGCTCATAGTTCTAGCTACTTGGGAGGCTGAAGTGGGAGGATCATTTGGGTCTAGGAGTTTGAGGTTACAGTGAGCTATGATTGTACCATTGCTCTCTATCCTAGGTGGCAGAGCAAGATCTCATCTCAAAAATAAGTTTAAAGGAAAAAAAAAAGAAACAAAATACACAGTCAGAGGAGACAAAAGAAAAAGGAATAACAGAGAATGAAGCGTGCTTACGAGATCTAGAAAATAGCCTCAAAAGGGCAAATCTAAGAGTTATTGGCTTGAAAGGGGAGGTAGAGAGAGAGAAAGGGGTAGAAAGTCCATACAAAAGGATAGTAACAGAGAACTTTCCAAACCTAGGGAAATATATCAATATTCAAGTACAATAATGTTATAGAACACCAAGAAGATTTGACCCAAATAAGACTACCTCAAGACATTTAATAATCAAACTCCCAAAAGCCAACAATAAAGAAAGAATCCCAAAAACAGCAAGAGAAAAGAAACAATAACATACAAAGGAGCTCCAATATGTGTGACAGCAGACTTCTCAGTGGGAACCCTACAGGCCAGGAGAGAATGGCATGGCATGACAAATTTAAAGTTCTCAAGGGAAAAATATTTTATTTTAGAATAGTATATCCAGTAAAAGTATTCTTTGAACATGAAGGAGAAATAAAGACTTTCTGAGACAAACAAAAGCTGAGGGATTTCATGAACACTAGACCTATCCTATAAGAAATGCTAACAGTTCTTCAATCTGAAAGAAGAGGATGTTAATGAGCAGTAAGAAATCATCTAGGCTGGGCATGGTGGCTTACGCCTGTAATCCCAGCACTTTGGGAGGCCAAGGCGGGAGGATCACCTGAGGTCAGGAGTTTGTGACCAGCCTGGCCAACATGGTGAAACCCTGCCTCTACTAAAAATAAATAAATGGTGCTGGGAAACTGGATATCCTTATGCAGAAGAAGGAAAATAGACTCCTGTCTCTTGTCATATACAAAAATCAAATCAAAATGGATTAAAGACAAATCTAAAACCTCAAGCTATGAAACTACTAAAAGAGAATTTCAGGGAAACTCTCCAGGACATTGGTCTTGGCAAAGATTTCTTGAGTAATATCCCACCAGCCCAGGCAACCAAAGCAAAAATGGACAAATGGGATCACATCAAGTTAAAAAGCTTTTGCATAGCAAAGAAAACAATCAACAAAGAGACAACCCACAGAATGGGATGAAATATCTGCAAACAAATATTTATCCCTTCATTTCGCAAAGGATTAATACCCAGATTATGTAAGGAGTTCAAACACCTCAATAGGAAAAAATGTTGTAATAATCTAAAAGTGATAAAAATACGCAAAAGCTCGAAAAGACATTTCTCAAAAGAAGGCATACAAATGGCAAACAGGTATATGAAAAATGCTCAACATTATTGATCATCAGAGAAATGTAAATCAAAACTACAATGAGGTATCATCTCGCCCCAGTTAAAAGGTGGCTTTTATCCAAAATACAGGCAATAATGAATGCTGGGGAGGATGTGGGGAAAAAGGAACCCTCATACACTGTTGGTGGCAATGTAAATTAGTATAACCACTATGGAGAACAGTACGGTGTTTCCTCAATAACTCACAGAACTACCATGTGATTCAGCAATCCCACTGCTAGGTATACATCCACAAGAAAGGAAATCAGTATATTGAAGAAACGTCTGAAGAAATAAACTTCCATGTCTATTGCAGCACTATTCACAATAGCCAAGATTTGGAAGCAATCTAAGTGTTCAATAACAGGCGTACAGATAAAGAAAATATGGTACATATACACAATGGAGTACTATTCAGCCATAAAAAATAATGAGATCCTGTCATTTGCAACAACATGGATGGAACTGGAGGTAATTATGTTAAGTGAAATAAGCCAGGCGCAGAAAGACAAACTTCACATGTTATCTCTCATTTGTAGGAGTTAAAAATTAAAACACCTGAACCCATGGAGATAGAGAGTAGAATGATGGTTACTAGAGGCTGGGAACGATTGTGGGCGGTGGGGAAAGTCAGGATGGTTAATGAGTATAAAAATATAGTTAGATGGAATGAATAAGAGCTACTATTTGATAACACAACAGAGTGATTACAGTCAACAATAATTTACTGTACATGTTTAAATAACTAAAAGGATATAATTAGAATGATTGTAGCACAAAGAAATGATAAGTGTTTGGTGATGGATATTCCATTTACCCTGAGGTGATTATTATGCATTGTATGCCTGTTGCAAAATATCTCATGTACCCCATAAATACATATAACTTCTATTAATATGTATCCATAAAAATTAAAAATTTAAAAAAGTGGAATGTAGGTGAGGGTATAAAGGTAACAGGAGAGATCTTTCTTATGGTAAAGGAACTGCTCCGTATCTTGCTTATGCTGGTGAATAACCAAACCTACAGATGTGATAAAATTGTATAGAACTAAACACACACCCATATGCAAATGAGTACAAGCAAAACTTGGGAAATCTGAATAAGATCTACAGATTGTATCAATGCCAATATCTTGGTTGTGATATCATAGTATAGTTTTGCAAGATATAACCATTGGGGGAACCCAGATAATGGGTACAGAGATCTCTCTATTATTTTTTACAATTACATGTAAATCTATAATTGTCTCAATTAAAATTTTAACTAAAATGATAATACATGCCCTCTGTAAAAAAAAAAAAAAGAGAAAAAGAAGAAAATCAAAATAATCCTCAATTTCACCACTTAGAAATAAGCAGCTGCTAAGACTTTGAAACATATTTTTTCATCCCTTTAAGAATTCATATTTTAAAATGTTGGTATTGAACTGTTTTATAAGCCAGTTTTTTTTTAACATCGTATATTCTGTTAAGTTTTCCATGTTATTAAACAAACTTTTTTTTTAGAGGCAGCGTCTAGCACTGCCACCCAGGCTGGAGTGCATTGGCATGACCACGGCTCACTCTAGCATCAAACTCCTGGGCTTAAGAAATCCTTCTGCCTCAGCCTCCCAAGTATCTGAGACTACGTGTGTGCACCACCATGTCTGACTTTCTTTTTTTTTTTTTTTTTTTTGGTAGAGATGGGGGTCTCACTGTGTTGCCTAGGTTGGTCTTGAACTCCTGGCCTAAAGCTCTCCTCCTGCTTTGGCCTCCCCAAAGTCCAAAGTGCAGGGATTACAGGCATGAGCCACCACTCCCTGCCAAACACATTGTTTTTAGTGACTGTATATTATTCCTTCATATGGAAAATCCAATCTATTTATCCAATCCTTTGTTTTGTTCTGTTTTTTCCTACTATGAGAAATGTTCAGTATCTTTAAAGATAAGCCTTTGGCTACATTCCCAATTATTTCCCTCTGACAAATTTTAAGAAGTGGAATTACTAGTCAAAGGCTATAAGCATTTTTAAGACTTTTGACACACCACTAAAATACTCTGAAGAAATGTTGTAGCAAAATACACTCCTATTAACAGTACTTGAAAATATCCATTCCCCAAACTCTCACAAATACTGGGGATTATAATTTACTAAAAGTTGTAAATTCATTAAAAGAGATATAGTATCTCATTTTAAGGGAACTGCATTCCTTCAAATATTAATCTAACTGAAATTTCTTATTTTATTTTGGTCATTTAGTATCTTTTGGGAATTTACCTTTCATGTCCTTTACCCATTTCTCTGTTTCAGTGGGCATCATATTTTCTAACTGATTTATAAATGAGCTTTATCAAGTAATGCTCTTGACCCCATATTCAACTTTTCCCCCGTTCTTTAATTTTTTAATATACAGAATTTTAATAATTGTACATATTAAAGTCTATTTAGCTGTTTCTTTATGGCTTCTCCTTTATTTTTAAGTGAAGTCTTTCCTTTCCTTGATAGCTGATTATAGTTATCTTTATACTCTATCCTTACTTTTCATCCTTTCATATTTTTATTTTGTTTTTACATTTAACCTTTATCCGCCTGTAACTTAGTTTGGTATAAATTATAAAAAACAGATTTGATGACTTTTCCAAATGTCTCACCATTTGTCTTACTACTATTTATTGGGTGGCTCAATTTTTCTTCCCAAATTTCAAATGTCAATCTTGCTAGTACTAAATTCATGTGTGTGTTTGGGGTTGCTTTTAGAGGTTTCTATTCTGTTCCATTGTTCTGTTTACTGTTACTACAGTCTCATTTTATTTCACTGATTGTACTGATAGGTGGTATAAAAGATAGTAATGCCTGGAAATGCAAGTCTTCATTTTATCATTGTTCTTTTTAAGTTTTCCTGACTATTCTCACTGGTATGTTTAACATATTTTTTGCTGACTTGAGCATCCAACAAAATATATATGTAGCTGTGACCTATACTTTCATTTCATCAACTGCTAATTGCACAAGGGACATCTATCGGGTGTTTACTTTGTGCCAGGCTCTGTTCTAAATGTTTTATATGCATCAACTCATTCAATGCTAGCAGCAACCCTGTAAGATCGATACCTTTATTGCTCATGTTTTATGAAAGAGGAAACGCAAGCATGGAGAGGCAAGGTTAATTTGCCCAAGGTCACACAGCTGGCGTGTGGCTAAACTAGCCGTTGCATGTAAATAAGACTGCCTGCCCACTCAACCCAGGCAATCTGATTTCAGAGCTCACTGCCTCTCAAACAGTATGGCAGGGGTTAATACTATCTTGATTCTTTGCTTTAAACTGGAGATACTGTAATTTAATAATCGTTTGATATGCCAAAATGACTACAAACACTGTTCAAATCAGCGTTTTACACACATTCTATAGCAATGTAATACTTTTCCTCTTTAAAGTATTGAAGGATGAAATTTTCTTCAAATTATACAATACTACTTAAAGTGTTAAATTCCAATAAAGGAGAAAAAAAAGGCAGCAAACTATTGCCAGAAGAGCCCTGGATTGAGCAACAGGGAAACAAAAGTTCTAGTCCTTGTTGTGTTGCTAATTAGCTTCCTGCCTCCACCCCCACACGGACACATACACCCACCCAAAATATTGTCCTTATTAGTCTGTAACCCTGGCTAAATTACAATATTACAGATTCATTCCTTCAGGTTAACTCTCTTTCTGAGATGTGACTAGCCCTGGTGACGTACTACTTGTCAGAGTATTGATTATTTGCCCTGTTTTGAGATTTTAATTCCTCTTAATCAGGAACATTGCCCTGACAAGATAGGAGTTGTCATGGTTCAACAGGGAGCCAGGAATAGAAAGCAATGTTATTCTGGAGGCTGAAAGGCTGTGAGAGGTATGTGTGGTGAGGGACCACAGCTGACAGAAACAGGCTATGGGGAGTAGCTTGGGTATCTCAGGTGACAGAGAGTGGTGAGAGGGGAAGCTGAGAGGAGGAAGATGGTCCTGTGGAGGGAATGTGGGTAGAGCCTCCTCTACTTGAAGTTTTCCCAGCGCTGGTGCTGGGCGCAGCCAAGGATTCTAAAAGAAGGCCTTCCTCTGGGGATCAGGAAGGGAGAGGGAATATGAAAAGAGTCTGCCCTCTTGACATTGACCCAGAGTCTCCACGAGTCATTGGAAAAGATGCATGAGAAGCTGCATCTAAGGGCATGCAAACATATACACACAACACCATAAAAGGAGAAAGCTTTTTAGGCTTTCTTCAACTCATCAGGCTTGTGAATTTCTTTAATAAAAATCTCGGAACATCATGGCTCTACCAAACCTTTGCCTATTCGTCATTGCCACAGTGATACTGACTTTTGAATTCCAGTACCAGGGGAAAAAGATGTGTGTGTGGTGGGGGGAGGAGGGAAATAGTATCACCTTTTATGTAAATTCTTACTTGCTCATACAAATACTTTCTTTTTTTTTGTTTTATGGGGGTGTGGGTGGAAAAGTTTCAGTGTTTTTGCTGATTATAGAAGCAGTGAATGCTTACTCTAAAAAAAAAAATCAATGACACAAAGAAGAGAAATTCTGTCACCCTACCACATTGTAGTGTGTCTCTTCCAGATTTTTTTTCAAATTGGATCACACTGTTCTGCAATTGGCATTTTAACTTAACATATACAATAACTGTAGCATTCCATCTCATCTATTACTGTCCATAGTATTCCATTATATGTATGTACCATAATTTATTCAACAAACCAAGCTGATAAACATTTAGGTCATGATAATTTTTTATTATATATCATCCTTGTATTAATTGTTCCCAATGTATCATAATTTCCTAAGGGAAGAGGAACTAAATGACACATGTATAAAATTTTACTATACATTTTCCTATTTCTACAGTTTGTTTATATCTTTTTTCATGTCTTTTGCTGGTATCCAGCTCTTTTGTAGAAACCTCTTAAATTTGTCCTTTGTTCTTTGTTCCACTTCACAATTGGTAGAACACGGGTCAATAGGGAGCTCAAAGGTTCTCAAATTTGGGGCATCGTGTAATCTTTAGATCTTAAAGAAATCTTTCTAGGAGTAGCAGACATCAAGCTACTGGCAAATGAAAATTCTATGTGAAAAGACTACCTCAACAAAGGAGTGAAGTTCTATGTCCTCGGTGTTCTGTCATATAATTACATTTTCATTATGATTGTTCTGGTAAAAATGAGTCAGGGAGAAAAGTGTACCGTTTTAGGCTTGATTACCTAGGATCACATGAGAGTACCTGGGAAGGAGTTGCTGAGACCAATGACTACCCTTTGAACCAAACAATATATATGAAGATCAAAGTTTGGGTGTAATCTCTTCCGGGGCCACTTGGCTGCATTTTTCTTCCTCAGCACATATTGTTCCCTGCCAGAATTAATACATGAGAGCTGAGATTATAAGAAGCCCAACCAAGACCACGTGCATGACATCAGGGCAGATCTATTGGCACCAGTCAAAGAGCAGAGCACAACGTCCGAGCAGATTAGAACACATTACACTTAGTTCGTAGACTGCAGGCTGCACTGAGAATCGGGCCATAGTGACTATTGGAAGATCAATAGGAGAAGAAATAAAAAGAAAGAAAGAAATAGAAAATGTGCCGAGTCAGGGCAGGAGGGTCTTTCAAATCTCCCAAACTGGGGTCATGGTCATCCATGACAAGGTTGGGGTGTCGCTGCTGAAGAAAGCACAAATTCAACTGATGGGAACTCAATAAAATACGTGCCCAGCATCGACTGAGTCTTTTCTCTTCCTCAGCTGACCTTGTGCTTATATTCTGTGGACTTTCCACAGAATTCCTGTCAGGGACTTTCTTAAACCTCCTCCAACCCCCATTGACGCTCCAAATCTGCGCATCTTTGTGTTCTTGTTCTCTCTCTCTCTCTCCCCTTCCCCTGTTTCTCTTTTCTCTTGCTTCTTCCCTTTCCTTCCTTCATTCCCCTCATCCCAGTTGCTGGAAATCCATTGGCAAATGAGACCTATATTACTTCTTTCTTTGAATGTCTTCTCTGTTGCCTACAAACTCTCTGAAGTATTTCTTCCTTCAACTATTTTCTAATTAAAACTGTCTTAGTATCTACTCACCTTATCACTCTTGTTTCTCAGTGAGGTTTCAAAGATTAGAAAGTGGCTAGAGTGTATGTGTATGAGTGTGTGTGTGAGAGAGAGAGAGAATGAATTCGTGTGTGCATAGGAACCATTGGCTTTACGCAATATAGATGGGAACTTCCCTATGACTTGAAATGGGACCTTAGGCTCTAGGGCAGGGTTTCTCAACCCTAGCTGCTCATTAGAATCACTAGAGCAGTTTTTAAAAATCCCCATGCTCAGACAGAATCCCACACCAATTAAATCAGAATCTCTGGGTGTGGGACCTGGAATCATTCCTTTTTAACAGCTCCATAGCAATTCCAAGGTGCAGGCAAGTTGAAACCCTCTTCTCTAGGAGAAGTTAATGTATTAGTTAACCTGCTAGAATTAATGACCTCTCACTCATTGTTATCATTATCAGGTGGGAGCCTTGATGGTTTATGCCAAAGCCCCCACCAATAGAAATGTGGCAAAATTCTGACACTGCTGGATCTGAACCAGTGGCTTTCTCAGCCCCAGGTAAAGCATCTTGCCAGCGTAAACCTAATTCTGTTAGATAACTGGATTTTACCGCCGGTGCTGTGAACAGCTCATTCCCTGCTAAAGTGGAAAAGGTCTCGTGTCACAGAAGTTACATGGAACCCTTGGGCTATCAGGGCTCTCCACTGTCCAGATTCTTGTGTCACACTTGTGTGTGTGCACACATGTGTGTGTGTGCTTGCGTGTATGTGTGTGTGTGTGTTTTCATGTCCTTTCTTTTCAAAGTGGTTATTACCAAATTTGACCCAAAAAAGAAAGAGGTGATGGAGTGTGGCCATATAGTCTTGTCTGTTTCTATTTGCCTTAATAATTTTTTGACGGCATCATGTCACTTAATAGGCACTTATTTTCTAAGCTATATAGATATTATCTTGCTCAATTTCAACACTTCTATGAGATAAGTATCATTTCCATTCTACAGTTGAGAAAACTAAGGAGCCTGGAGATTAAACTTGCCTGAAGGCAAACAGCTAAAAAGTGATAGAACCAGAATTTGAATTCAAGTTGATCTGACTTCAAAGTCCAAGCTTTTAGACACATTATACTGACTGTTAGAGTATTTTTTGTGACCATCCATATGCCCTTTATCCAATAGCAAGTATTAGTAAAATGTGCTTTTTACCTTAAGGAATTCCAGATTTATTTTTACTGATCAGACCCGTAATTATGGGTCATGGATCTCCACAAATGCACAGTGGTCAAGGTTGCTAAGGTAATGCTATGCCCAAGTTGAGTGCCTAATAAATGTTTGCTGAAGGATGGATGGATGGATGGATGGATGGATGGATGGATGGATGAATGGATAAGTCAATGCCAGAGTGGACAAATAAATGAATGAGGTATCTAATGATAATCTACATTATCTTCCCCATTAGATTAGGCTCCTTAAAGGGAGGGGATAGGTCTTGTTAACTACTGCATCTGTGCCTAACATAGTGCCTGACACTTACCAGGTGTTCATGTAAGTATAGAAAGCAGTGGAAAAATAAATAGCAGTACAGGCCACTGGACCAAAAATTACTCTGTTGATAGAATTTGAAGCAAATAAATTGTATCTCAATATCTTTCCATAGAGTAAGAAGGCCTAAATTCGGGAAAATAAGGATACCAAAGAGGTAGCTGAAAACTGAAAAATGTGGGAAATTCTTCATGTAGTCTCTAAAAGCAAGAATCTATACATTTCCCTATATTTGGAAAATACAAATTTTAAAATATATTTTCCAGTTTGATTGTATTTCTCAGTGTTGTGTATGCAAAGTTTCAGGGTTATACCCACCCACACATGAGAGCTATAATCACAGTGTACTTCATGTGTAGAAAGGAAAGTGGTATTCTCTCAGCACGAAGAGCTTTGAAATCTAATAAGCACCATACCCCTCAGGGTTGAGAAGTAGAACTGTTCTGTTTGTTGTTCTCCAGAGCCACTTTCAGACATTCCTCCTCATTCCATTTTCTCATAAAAACCTCTTCTCCTTTTAGGCTTGCACTGTATGGACTACACCACGCCCCACCCACCATGGAATAACAAATTGCCGATCTCCCTTTTGCTTCCTACTCAAATTCACTGAAGAGCCTGACTGACAGCCATCTTCTCTACATGGCTCCTGCTATTACCCTTGAATTTCATCCATTAGCCTTGCATCTCAGTTACCTACCCTCCTAATTCCTGATGATCTCCATTCCTGCACAGCTACCCATGGCCATGGTCACCCCCTTGTGCTTTTCACCCCCAAAAATTCATCACATTACAACCCAAAGGCATTTTTTTGTTAAATTTATGGACCACAAGTGCAATATTGTTACATGCATAGATTGCATAGTGGTGAAGTCAGGGCCTTTAGGTATCCATCACCCAATTCACATAAATTGTACCCATTAGGGAATTTCTCATTATTCATCTTCCTCCCACTGCGTTTCTCTTCTGAGTCTCCACTGTCTATCATTCCACACTCTAAGTCCATGTGTAAACATTATTTAGCTCCCACATATGAGTGAGAGCAGGTGATATTTATTATTCTGTGTCTTACTTGTTTCACTGAAGATAATGGTGGCAAGAATGTACACTGGGAAAAGAACATCCTTTTCACTAAATGGTGCTGGTAAAATTGGATTCCAGTATGTAGAAGAATGAAATTGGACCCCCATCTCTCACCAAATAAAAAAAAATCAGCTCAAGATAGGTTAAAAACTTAAATGTAAGACCTGAAACTTTAATAATATTAGAAGAATAACTACAGGAAACTCTTCTGGACATTAGTCTAGTCAAAGAATTCATGACTAAGACCTCAAAAGCACAGGCAACAAAAACAAAAATAGGCAGATGGGACTTACACTAAAAAGTTTAAGTTTCTTCTGCACAGCAAAAGAAATAATCAACAAAGTGAACAGACAACTTGCAGAATGGGAGAAAATATTTGAAAACTATGCATCTGACAGGGGACTAACATCCAGAATTTACAAGGAACTCAAACAACTCAACAACAAAAAATACAAATAATTCCATTAAAAGGCAGGCAAAGGGCATGAACAGACATTTTTAAAACAAATCATAAATTCGAACATCCCATTTGTCATTGTAATAGTCTGTCTTCATGCTGCTGATAAAGACATACCCGAGACTGGGTAATTTATGAAGAAAAAGAAGTTTAATGGACTCACAGTTCCACAAGGCTGGGGAGGCCTCACAATCACAGTGGAAGGCAAAGAGGAGCAGTCACGTCTCACATGGCAGCAGGCAAGAGAGAATAATGAGAGCCAAGCGAAAGGGTAAATCCCTTATAAAATCATGAGATCTTGTAAGAGTTATTCACTACCAGGAGAACAGTGTGGGGGAAACCACCCCCATGATTCAATGATCTCCCACAGGGTCCCTCCCACAACATGTGGGAATTATGGGAGCTACAATTCAAGATGAAATTTGGGTGTGGACACAGCCAAACCATATCAGTCATCCATTATCTCTTCCTTCCAGCTTTCCTGCTTAGCTTCATTAGATTTTTTTTTCTTTTTTTGAGAGAGGGTCTCACTTTGTTGCCCAGGGTAGAGTGCAGTAATGTCATCATGGCTCACTGCAATCTGCAATCTCGAACTCCTGGGCTCCAGCTATCCTCCCCACTCAGCCTCACAAGCAACAGGTGCATGCCATCATGCCTAGCTAATTTTTTTTTTTTTTTTTTTTGGGGGGTAGAGATGGAGGTATTGCTATAATTCTCAAGCTGGTTTTAAACTCCTGAGCTCAAATGATCTTCCTGCCTCAGCCTCCCAAAGTGATAGGATTACAGGCATGAGCCACTGTGCCTGGGTCAGGCTTTTTGATCTATGATCCTTTCCACATTTTTGCCATCATGCCCTTTTGCCTTCCCTTCTCCCACACCAGCTTAGATTCCTGAGCCCATCATTACAATCATCCTATCGCAAATATGCTAGGCTTAATTGGCTTTTTCTCCTTTCATAGCATCTGCCTACAGAACCCCCAGTCCTCCCCTGTGTCAATGCCTAAGCAGCTGAGCGTGGCCGTAAAAATCACAAAACCAATCCAGATTTGTATCACAATAAAATCTTAATTATAGATATCAGCAGGTGGTCTACATAGCCCAGCAATCTTACCTTTGTTCTCTAGAAAGCTTGAGCTCCCATTCTCTGCCACTGCTGTTTCTCTGACTCACTCTCAGAAGACTACCTATTGCAGATATTGTAGAATTGTCTTTGTTTACAGAATCCTAATTTTATTTGAGTGATGCAGAATGAAGTTTGGGCTAAACCAGCAGTTTTTAACCTGTGTTATGTGAACTCCCAGTGGAACACAAAGACTTTCCAAGGGAATATGGGCAGAGATACTCAACTACCTTTTGCAAAATTTAAAACAATTTTGTACATTTTTATAAACCTATCCACCTGAAAATGCACCTGCCAGTTTTTGGTTCTTATCTTCCTTTTCACAATTACCCTTTTCCACCTTACAGAAGAAATTCATACATTTCTCCCTTCTTAAATCTTACTGTGGTGCATTGTACATTAAAGCTCTGATGTACTTAATCAAGGGAGTGTGTGTGTGTGTGTATGTGTGCGTGTGTGTGTGTGTGTGTGTGTGTGTGTATGACAGGGTCTCACTCTGTCACCCAGGCTGGAGTGCAATGACGTGATCTTGGCTCACTGCAGCCTCGACCTTCTGGGCTCAAGCAATGTTTCCACCTCAGCCTCCTGAGTAGCTGGGATCACAGGCATGTGTCGCCAGGCCTGGCTTATTGTTTGTATTTTTTGTATACATAGGGTTTCCCATGTTGCTCAGGCTGGTCTCGAACTCCCGAGTGCAGGTGATCTGCCCGCCTGAGCCTCCCAAAGTGTTGGGATGACAGACATGAGCCACTGCATTTGGCCTAAATCAAGGGATTTTTCTAACTATTGATAGCAGAGAAGAATTTTGAAAGTTAGGCAACTCCTCACATATTTTTAAATCAACATCTAACCACTTTTATCAGAAGTTTGAATGGTTAATAAAAAGGTAATTACTGATAAAATTGAAATTACTATTAAATAATAAAACTCTTGTACCACTCTTTCAAATGTAGCTAGTAGAACACAAATACTGTAGTGATTTAATACCTACTGTTATTCATTTAAAAAATAAACAGGTTCTTCTTTAATAATTGGACACTTCACTCATTATTTTTCTTCTTGAACAATTTGTTTCAGTAAGGATCATCTCGATGTGGCAGGGAGAGCTCATGTATGAGTTAATCTGACTACGTGTTCTGTAAGTCCAGTAATGCATTTTATGTGCTTTGTTCACCTAGATATGCTCAATGACCAGAGAATCTACATCTAAACCCTTAAGCTCAGCATTACCCTCTGCACTTTTAAGCATGTGCAGCAAAAATTCAGCAAGCTTTTTGGGCCACCAACCCCATCAGCCCCACTGCTTGGCCTGGGCACACCCAACAACTCCCCCCCTGAAATGTCGGAATGGTACACCCTGCTTCTGTAAAGTGACGTCTTTCAGATACTTGGGGCTTTTTGTATATGCATACCCCTGATGGCCTGGGCAGTTTCATGAGTGTTCTGAAAGTGAACACAAAGATTTGAACCTCTTGATTTGCATAATTTTGTGGGATTTTCTGGGTCAAGTGAATAGTGAACTATTTTCACAGATCACCTCAGGTCACTTAGGGGAAGAGCAGTCTCATCATCTTTAACTTCTTAGCAGTACTTGACACTGTCAACTACTAACCAATTATCAAATCACTCTCTTCCTTTGGCCCCTATGAGACCATGCACTCTAAGTTTCCTACCACCCCTGTGGCCTCAGACTCCTGTCCTGATCCCTTCTTCTCAAGCCACTTCTGAATGTTGGGGCTCCTCAGGGCTCTGTCCTGAGCTCAATCTGTTCCTCGTGCTCTGTTTTGTCATTCCAGGATGATCACATTTACATAGGCTGCTGATTCAAATATATATCTCTAATCTAGTCTCCTTGCAGAGCTCCAGGTTTGCGTAGCTAATTGATAACTTGAATTCTCTATTTGGAGGTCTCAGAGACATCTCAGATTTAAGATTTACAAAACCAAATTCTTAATCCTTGCCTGCTCAAATGTGCTTTCCTTTGGTCTTCTACATCAATAAATAAGATCTTCACCTACTTAGATGCTCTAGCATGAATACTGGGTGTGTCATCCTTGATATAGCCCTTACCTTCAACCTCACCTCCCTCCTTCAACCCTACCTTCAATCCTAACTAAGCCATCACTGAGTCTCATAGATGTATCTCTCTAAAATATTCCCTGTAATCCACTTATCTTTGTTTCCACTGTCACCACAATCCAAGCCATCAGACTTTTACAATAGCTTCTTAACTGGTTTTCCTCCATGCTTTTTCTTTCTTTCTTTCTTTTTTTTTTGACAGGGTCTTGCTCTGTCAACCAGGTTGGAATATAGTGGCATGATCATAAATCACCGTAACCTCAAACTTCTGGACTCAAACAATCCTCCTGCCTCAGCGTCTGGAGTAGAGGGGACTACAGGTGCATGCCACCACACCCAGGTAATATTTTAATTTTTTTGGAGAGACAGGGTCTCACTATGTTGACCAGGCTGGTCTTGAACACCCAGGCTCAAGTGATCCTCCCACCTCAGCCTCCCAAAGTGCTGGGATTACAGGCAGAAGCCACTGTGCCTGGCCCCTTGATCCTTTTTCTAATCCATTCTTCACATAGGAACCAGGGCAATGGTTAAAAAGATAAATTTGATTGTGTTATTTCCCAGCTTAAAACCCCTCGATGACTACCCACTGCACTTAGATAAATAAAAATCCTCCATCCTCAATATTGCCTACAAAACATTGCACAATTTATCCCTACTATCCCAATCTTATGACATGTCTCTCTCCTTGGCTATGGCCCTACCACGTTAGCCTTCTTCAGTTCCTGGAGGGTGCCAAGGTTTTGCTTACTCAAAGCCTGCTCAGTGTCCAATACTCTTTACCAGGCTTTACCCTCTAGTCTAAATGTAAGTGTCATTTCCTCAAAAGTCCTTTTCTAACCTCCCAATCCAAGTCATGCTCCATTTTGATACACAATGTTTATCATTAGCCATACACATTTCCCTACTTATTTGCTATTTCGAACAGTGCTGCTATAAACATTTTATGTATGTGTGAGTTTCTGGGGCAGTGCTTTTCAAACTGTGGGTCCCAATTTGCTGGTGAACTAGTAATATCAATTTTTAAGAAAACAAGAAGGAAAAAAGAAATTGAAGAAGATAGAATAAAAATACTAGAGCTATTGCATGTAACAAGCATTAGCTTTGTTTTATGACATTTTTATTTCAGGGTGTGTGTGTATTGGATCACAAGGTAAAATGGATTTATTACTGCAGGTCAAAGTAGAAGAAGGTTGGAAAGCCACTAATTCAGGGTATATTTTAGGAATGGATATCTTGGGTCATGGCCTTTGATTATAATTTCAAACACAAATATAGAAAATTAGAAGATTCAGAGAATACATTATATATTTATACATACATATATTGCACTTTGCTCTTGGTTTACTCATGCTAGTTTCCATAAACTTTTGCTCACAGTAAACGTACTTTTTTAAGGGGAAAATTCTTAGAGTAAATTATCTTACATATATTTTCTAAGGGGTGAGTTATTTATGTAGAAATCAGTGTTGTTTAAGCACACAGAGCAGTGACAGAAACCAGGAGGTCTTAAGTTTTTGGATGCATTCTCTTTTCATAACTTTCTACATCACCAATTTACATTACAGCTAGAAATAAATCCTCCATGTTTATTTAAACACTAAAAGTGCAGAACACATTTATTTTATTGTATAAAACTCTACTGGAAAAATCCTGGCTGCTTAGGATAGTAATCCCCAATCCATGGACAAAATACCATCTCCATGTGCTGTTTTCTATTCTTGTGCCATTCGGTGCTGCCCTTTAACCTACCTTTACTGCACAGCAAAGATCTGTAACAGAGCCAATCCTACCCAGCCAGAGCAGACAGCTGCCTCTGTGTAGATCTTGAAAGGAACTGCAGGGCAATCTACGCAGAAGCATCTCCCTACTGCCTGACTTTTCACCATTAGAGTGACTTGTTTGATATCAACCAGATGACCCTTGTTAAAATACAAATATCTTAGGTAAAAGGAGGAAGTCACATTTTTAAACTATCATCCATTAGCTAGTGAATTGGTTTATTGGATTAGTTTTAAAACCAGGATCAGGATCTTGAATGAGTGAGATGAAAATAATTGACATGCTAGGCCAAAGAAAACCAAGAGGCAACAACGGCACCTTTAGTGAGAGGGCAATCTGAGTTTCCCTGCTGAAACTGAAGAAAGAAGAACTAGAGATAAACTCTCCCTGCTTTGCAGTTTGCCCTGCCTGTAAATACTAACTCTGTTATGATGGCGCCATCTTGGAAGCACCATGAATCACAGCAGTCAACATTTCAGCTCTGTTCTATCCAACCTCATTCACATTCTCCATCCATTGTGAGGCATCAGGCATTGCTCCATTCTTGCATTCAAATACAGCTACTCAGAGTCAATGTTTGGAACACAGAAACCATCCAGGTTTGGATACCCATCTGGTTTATGTGTCGCCCTTTTATTTCTATTTTAATTATATTTAGGACTGTCCTGATCCTTCTTTTAGCCAGTTTTGTTTTTTCAATCAACTCCAAATAGAGACTCCTCTTGAGCAAAACCAGTACTGCCCTGTAGCTTAAGCCAGAAATGAAAAGAGGAATGCTGGATTTAAAAAGCAATAAAAGAAAACAAATCCAGACAGGGAACAGGTCTGTTTCTTGGGACACATCAACCTTACACCACATTGTCAAAGTCACTTTTTATTGAAGAAGATAAACAGCAAATTTTTTTTTAGATGAAATCCCTCCATGGCTGATGTAAGAAAGAGGTCTTTTGGTAAAAATAGCAGTAATGACAACTTTAGATTGCCATTTAGATTTAGGTCCAGGTTTAGATTGCTGTGCCAAGATTCAGTTGTAGGGGTGAGTTATGAACAGGCCAGCTGCTCATGTATTCAAGTGGATTTTGCTCCCAGAAGCCCAGGGGCTCTGCATTTGGGGGCAGGCTGAAGACAGGCAGAGTTCCTCGCCTTCAGAGCCTGGAACTTCTACTTCCCCGTCACTTACTCTCTGGCTAAGCTTTGATTAAACTCATTCACAGTGAGGTGTAAATGACAAAGGAGGTTCCTTGTTTGGTGTTAAGCCTCCTCCCACTAGAAATTCATAATGCACATTAGCATATTAAGATGTTGAGAAGTTCTACTGAGAAGAAACCTGTCTAATTTTGTTTTGCCCGAAGTGTCCAATTTGACCATGTACCTCTTTTTGACTTCAGAATAACTACTAATATTTTGGGGAGCACTAGCATTGTGACAACTGTACTCCTTTCAGTTAAATGATTGCATTTCTCATCCATTCCTTCTTTCAACAAATAGCTACTGAGACCTAGTATGTACCAGGCACTGGTGAGTAAAACAGGCACCTTCATGGAGTTTACATTGTTTAATGTTTGTCTCATCCATGGTTTGTTGTTTAATTAATTAACAAACATCTTTAAAATAATCGCACAAGTGAGAACAAAGCTGAGCCAGGGGAGCCCTTAAAGGTTCTCTTCAAGGTAACTGAGGAGACCTGGAAGCTGGTGCTAACTGGATGAACAGAGTGGAGGCCTGAAGGGAACAGCGTTCTAGGAAGAGGGAACAGCAGTGACAAAGATCATGGTGGTATTCAAGGAAGCAGAGTGCGGGTACCATTCCTGTTTGAGGCTAAAGAGGTGCATAAAAGCCAGATCATGTCAGAAAATTGTCGGGGAAAGATTTCTTTTGGCCCAAGGGTCCTTTCTCAGTGCAGCTGAAATCGCAGCACCTCTGTGTGTTGGGCACTTGCCAGGTCCCAGGTAGGGGCTGTGTCAGGTCACCACACAGACAGGCATTAGTGCCTTTGTTTTTCAGAGGAGGAAACAAAGGTCAGAGAAGCACGTGGCCTGCCAAGACCATCAAGCTCCTTGGGGGCAGAGTCAGAATTTAAATCCAAGTCCGTCTGAGTCCAAAGCCATGTGCCAAACTAACAAGCTGCTGAAGACTGCTGTCTGACATTACTGACTCCCTCCCCAAAGCTGGCGCTTCTGTGAGATTCCAGACTCTGGTGGAGGGTGTAGCAGGGAAATGACAAATGCAAGTGTAATGTTTCGTGTCAGAAAGTATAGCAGTGGACCAAAAGGTAGCCATTCTGAGTACCAAGTGTGGACACAATTTTCCTTTTCATGCTTTGAACTAGCCTGTTGTCCTAAGCACAGCAGGGAAAGCCAAAGCAGCCTTTGGAAGTCCTGGTTTCCTGGGGCTCTGAGTCCTGAGATGTGGTAGTGGATTTTAGATATCCCAGGAGCACAAGCCTGTGGCCCCCATGGGCCTCTGTGCCAGCACCCCAGACCCCAGACTCCTGAGAAGTTCCGGGACCCCCAGGGAGATGGGT